>NC_000002.12:201429011-201732042 GCF_000001405.40 Homo sapiens | reverse complement strand
CTCAATTAATAAAAAAATTTTCCACCAGATCAGCTTAGAATTGTTGAGAGTCAGAGTTCAGTTTCCCTGGATGTAGCTTTCATATGCTTTATATTTCCTTCCTGAAACACTCCCACTCCCATCCTCATTCTGGGACAAAAGTCATTTTATCATGAAAATAAAGCCCTCTTTGACTATATTGGTTCTCTTTCACCTATCCATCTCTGAAGGATTATTTACTCTGTGTTTTGCTAACACTTTCTTTCTCTATTATTCACTTCTCATGTTATATCAATGGCCCTTATCCTTATCACAGGGGTTCAAAATCAACTGTGGAAGCTTTTTCAAAACAAAACCTGCCTGTATTCCATCACTATACGTTATAATTTAGTAAGTCTAAGGCACAGCCTTGACGTCATATATGTGTGTACACATATATGTATTTTTTTAAATGTCTCCATATAAAAATAATGATGATACTTTTATTGAATGAATTCTATATGCCAGGCACTGTTCTAAGCAAGTTATATGTATTCATATATACATATAACTTTAATCCCCACATCAACTCGGTGAAGTAGGTATTATTATTATTACCGATTTCATCATCAGCCTTTTACAGATAAGAGAATTGAGACACAGCTGAGAATTGGCAGAGCTAGAATTAATATCCAGGCTCTGGTTCCAGAATCTGTCCTCTTAACCTACTTTCCTAGATTGTCTTTTATGATATATAACCTATTAACAAAACCACTGCATTATTCTGGTACATTTTTTATCTTGTCTAATTATGGTACAAAGATCATACCTTATTTTTTTTTCCCTAGCACTCTAGCAGAATGTTTTATATGTGGTAGATACTCATTAAATGTTTCTTAAATGAATGGAAAAAATGAAAATGAGTGACTCTCAGAATTGTAGCAAGTAAAGTAATTACTCATAAACGTGAGAGATCATCCTTTGATCTTACCTTCTGCTCCCTCGCTACATGGTGTAGCGGTTACACCCATCCCAGTAGTTGTTTCTCAAAACTTGGTTTGCAGACCCCTGGGGCTTCCAAAGACTATTTCAAGGGGTTCACAAGGTCAAAACTATTTTCATGACAATACTAAGATATTTGCCTTTTCCACTGTATTGTCATTTACACTGATGGTGCAAAAGTTAAGGTGGGTAAAACTGCTGGCTCCTTGGTAGGAATCAAGGCAGTGGCACCAGACTATACTAGTAGTCACTGCGTTCTTCACTGCCATGCAGTTGCAGTTAAAATACAATTTCGCTTAAGAATGTCCTGTTATGTGTGGTGACATGCAAAGTACATGTAAAGCAGCTCTGCTGCATGCTGAAGTGTGGCAGTTTTTCAAGAAAAAGCATGACTGTGATAGTTGAGTTGAGAGCTCCTCTTGAAATAAATGGGTTGCTTTTTTTTTTTTTAAACTTGAAAGGACAATTGACAGATAAACTGATTTTTCAGATTTGGATATTGGCAGATATTTTCTCAGAAATGAGTAAATGAACCTGTCATTTCAAAGAGAACAACTGATAGTATTTGTTGCCAATAATAAAATCTCAACTTTTAAGCGAAAATTAGAATGTTAGAGATGGATCTGCCACTGTGAGTCTGACAGTTTCCTGATACTTAGGACTTTATCTCATGAGATTGGTAGTTCTATTATCCTGTGATTTTTGATGTTATAGAAAAAAAGGTATCAACATTTGGAAAATCTGCATAATTCAGTCAACCGATATTTTCCATATGTCCAATCCACAATCATAGATGGTACAAAGCCATAGATGGTAAAAGACCCATTCAAAGTGCATGATAGACCCCTGGATTTTAACATCACAGGGTACAAAAAGCTCATTGCTGTGGTTTCAGATTCTACATTGCAGCTCCCTTTAAGAATCTACCACATAGCAAGTTTTAATATAGTATCAAAGGAGAATATCCACATTTATTTGAAATGGCTATTAAAATGCTTCCCTCTATTCCAGATATATACCTTTATAAGGCCACATTTTCTTCATAGGTTTTAACCAAACAACATATAACAGATTAAATGCAAAAGCTGATATAAAAGTCCAGCTGTCATTTTTAAAGCCAGATAATAAAGAGATTTGAAAAAATGTGGACCATTGCCACTTTTCTCACAAAAAAAGTTGTTTTTTTTTTTTTTTTTTTTTTTTGAGACGGAGTCTCGCTCTGTTGCCCAGACTGGAGTGCAGTGGCGCATCTCGGCTCACTGCAAGCTCCGCCTCCCGGGTTCACGCCATTCTCCTGCCTCATCCTCCCGAGTAGCTGGGTCTACAGGCGCCCGCCACCACACCCGGCTAATTTTTGTATTTTTTTAGTGAATACGGGGTTTTACCGTGTTAGCCAGGATGGTCTTGATCTCCTGACCTCGTGATCCGCCTGCCTCGGCCTCCCAAAGTGCTGGGATTACAGGTGTGAGCCACCGCGCCCTACCATTAAAAAATTTTTGTAAGTGAATTAATAAAAGCTTCTAACATTTCTTAATTTTATGTTCTAATATGGTAAATATCAATAGATACAGTCCACATAAGAAAAATAAAGGGATCCCGAGACCAAAATATTTGAGAACTCCTGCTCTATCCTGGGGTCTCTGCTGCTCTATTCACTAACTGCCAGGTTTTGTCTCTGTCACCTGAGTTATGCCCCTATTTCATATGTACTTTTATGTAGTAGAATTTTTCTGAAACCAATCTCCTTTTCCCAGTCTCCTGCAGTGTGCTACTTATGCTCGTGGGCTGAATTTTCTCCTACATTTAATACTATATGTCTAAGGCAGACTGAGGCTACAGATTCTGCATAATGGTTTTATGTTCTTTTTTTTTTTTTCCTCTTTAATTTTTGCCCTGTAGGCATCTCCAGAATATCAGAAACTGCAGGATTCCAGTTCTTGTTATGAGTGTCTTGCTCTCCATCTCGGCAGGAAAAGGAAGGAAGCAGAATACACACTGGGCTTCTGGAAGACCTTCCCCGGAAAAATGACGGTAAGCCATGCCAGTTGTCATTTGTTACCCTAGCAAACAGCAACCATTTCGATAACAATTGATACAATTTTCTCTGTTCCTCACTTGTTTGTGGTAATAACCTTTTAATGACCCCTTTCCTAAAATGTCTAAGGACCATACTAATGGGTACTCTAAATACCTTCTCTCATTTCTAGAAATCCTCTCTGAAGACTTACTCACCTTCTTTAGTTTGTTTTTGTCTTCTTTTTAATCTCCTTTGAGCTCTAATTTTGTGAAGTGTTTAGATCCCATATAAATTTAGATTTTACACCAAGCTAAGCTACGACCAGCAAATTCCCTTAAATGTGATTTGTGTCTGTTTTATTTTCTCTTTACATGTTAAAATAATTTTGATTGTTTGACTTGTATTATATTTGTCTTTAATTCCAGGATTCCTTGAGGAAGCCAGAGCGTCGACTGCTGTGTGAGAGTAGTAACCGAGCCCTGTCTCTGCAGCATGCTGGGAGGTTTTCCGTGAATTGGTTCATTCTCTTTAATGATGCCCTGGTCCATGCCCAGGTAGGCTGGATTCCTAACCTTAAAAGAATTCCTGAAAGGTGGACCCCTATCCTTATTAACTGTACTATCAGTTTATGTTCAAAACTAGTGTGATTTTACTGAAACTGTTGACTAAAAGAGGCTAGCCATCATTCTCAGCAAACTATAGCAAGGACAAAAAACCAAACACTGCATGTTCTCACTCATAGGTGGGAACTGAACAATGAGAACACTTGGACACAAGAAGGGAAACATCACACACCGGGGCCTGTCGTGGGGTCGGGGGAGGAGGGAGGGATAGCATTAGGAGATACACCTAATGTAAGTGACGAGTTAATGGGTGCAGCATACCAACATGGCACGTGTATACATATGTAACAAACCTGCACATTGTGCAGATGTACCCTAGAACTTAAAGTATAATAATAATTTTTTTTAAAAAAGAGGCTATTTTAGCTACAGCATGGATTTCTGTATGCGTTGGATTTCAGAGAACTTCTTAAGTTTCCAGCTTGAGAATGAGTGTCAGCCATGTGAAGAGGGCCCTGCAGCAGAGATGGCAAGGCCCTTTGGGTTAGCTGTGTTATGGGGACAATGTGGCAGAATTGGTGGCACCTACATGGGCTTAACTATTTCAAGGGGTTCTGCAGCAGAGACTGCAAGGCCCATGTGGGTTAATGACATGAAGGGGATATGGGCAGAGTCCCCGAGGTCTACATGGGCTTTCATAAAAGTGCCTCCGTGTTCTCTGTTTCAGTTCTCCACGCACCATGTTTTCCCTCTGGCCACGCTGTGGGCAGAGCCACTGTCTGAAGAAGCTGGTGGTGTGTAAGTGCGTCCCCCCTCCCCACCCCACCCCGTCCAAGTCTGTTACCCAGGTTGCTTCCTTAAATGTGAAAAAAAGCTCAGGAAGGCTTCGGAGACAGTCTCCTCATTCTGTATAATGAGGCCCACCTCTCAGCACATTAGACAGTAAAGTAGTCTATTGATAATAAAATGGCCTGTTGTGAAGATCATGGCAAGTCACGATTAGGTGATGAAAGGGCATCTTCATTGCACACATCCCCATCGTTCAGCACAGAGCAGAGAATTCTTTGTTCTTTCCACCGTGGTGGCGCCCAAAACCAAGCAAGCATTTACATTAATTGATTTCTGTTCCTCTTGAAATAAAGAGGTTGCTTTTCATATTTGAGGATCGATACTGTAATGACAGGTTGTTAAATGTCCTGGTATTTATCCTTGTGAACGTTTTAGGAATGGCTTAAAGATAACTACACCTGAGGAGCAGTTCACTCTCATTTCATCTACACCCCAGGAAAAGGTTAGTCTATTATGGTATTTTCCTTCAATCTTCGCCCTGGCTCTTTCTGCCTCTTGTGTAATAAAGAAGAAATATAAATTGTTCTTGCTTGACTAATGATGCACAGTTCTGTCTGATAAATCTTCATTAACCCAAAACTGTAGGTTCTTCATTGTTTTTTTTTTTAATGTGACTTAATTTTAAACATATAGCAGAGAAATACAAGAGCCAGTCAATATTACTCTATTAATAAGAAAAGCATTAGGACACAAATAATTTATTCACACCAAAGAAAACTAGCAGGATTTAAAGCAATGCTTGATGAATTGTTGCCTTAAACTTATTGACGTTACTTTTTGCTCCTAGACAAAGTGGCTACGAGCTATAAGCCAAGCCGTAGATCAGGCTTTGAGAGGGATGTCTGATCTCCCCCCTTATGGAAGTGGTAGCAGTGTTCAGAGACAGGAACCACCCATTTCACGCAGTGCCAAATATACTTTCTACAAGGATCCTCGCCTAAAGGATGCCACCTATGATGGACGCTGGCTTTCAGGGAAGCCTCATGGCAGGTGAAAATGTTGAAGATTTATGCCTGGGGTGAGGATGATCATCACATGATAGAAAAAGTATTAATTATCTGAAATATTAGTTGACATGCATTATTCTTTGCTTATGCATTCCAGAGGGGTTTTGAAGTGGCCTGATGGAAAGATGTATTCTGGCATGTTCAGGAATGGCTTGGAAGATGGGTAAGAAAATTGTGTAAAACATGACAGTAAATTCAAGTTCGGTAAGGTCGTAAATTATGTTATTTTGTATGCAGAGCTGCTTTTCAAACAAGTAGTAGATTTTTGTTGTTATTTTTTAGAAATGCACATGTATGAGCATGAAGAGAGCCAGGAGTGAGGGGTACAGCCTCTGATTTACCTAGACTGGGTCATTTTCCCTGATAGCCGTGTGACCTCAAATTACACAGCCTTCCATCTGTTAAAATGGGGCTATGTTTTCTATTCATTTCTCAGTTGTGAAGACTGAGATCTTTGGTAATGTTAATGGTGGGACTATTGAGATGGTAGTCCTCCTTTACACAAAGGACATAGAAAAATTTTCCTTTCAGTCGTTTTAAGTCATCTTTAATTTCTGTGATCTGTTAAAGGAGAAATTTTCCAAGTGCTATATTATCTCAATGATGCTCTAATGACTTTTTAAAAATAAGTTTATCATGTTTTCTAACACTGTAAATGTATTTACATGATTAGTTTATGGCAGTATTTTGTATAATGTTAAGGAAGTAATTTAGTATATAAAAAATGTTGGGTAGGTGATTTTGTGTGTCTGTGTGATCATGTAAATTCTTGTGATGTGTTAAAATCTCTTTTTAATAGATTGTTAGAATGAGAAGAGACTTTAGATCATCTAATTTACCCACTGAGTTGCCCCTCTTATTATCCAAATAAAGGAGCTAGATACCTGGGCTTACCGCATGGTGGTGCAGGTAATTAGTGACAGAGATAGGTGAAGGACACAGGTCTTCTGTTTTTCACTGGAGTTGGATTAAAACACCATATCTTAGTGTAGTGGGGCTGATGTCCCACTCCTCTTGCCAAACAGCTTAGGTTATAGATTCACCTTAAACCAAGATGCTGTTTTAACCCTTTACTCCTACAGGTGAATGTTTTCTCTGTCTTCCTTGTTAAAATGTTTACCAGGATATACATACAAAAGGTGAATATGTCATAAATGCATCTTCTTTTGTTATTTTTTCTTTTTCATGGCAGGTATGGAGAATACAGAATCCCAAACAAGGCAATGAACAAAGAAGACCATTATGTGGGCCATTGGAAAGAAGGAAAAATGTGCGGTCAAGGAGTCTACAGGTAACATTGGAAAGGCTGTTGGACTGGTGTTTGTTTTTCATATAACCATGTAAACCTGAATGTTTGCATAGCCAAAATTTCCAAGTTTTAAGTTTTGTTTAGTCTTATAGATAAAATTTAGAGGAGTAAATAAAATTGAAACTCTGTGTGATCATCTTTTAAAGGTTAACCCCTCATCTATCGCAGGATTAAAATACTGGATTATTAAATTTAGTTCTTATCTAAATTTTTTTTTTTTTTTTTGAGATGAAGTCTCGCTCTGTCACCCAGGCTGGAGTGCAGTGGCGCAATCTTGGCTCACTGCAAGCTCTGCCTCCCAGGTTCATGCCATTCTCCTGCTTCAGCCTCCCGAGTAGGTGGGACTCCAGGCGCCCGCCACCACACCCGGCTAATTTTTTGTATTTTTAGTAGAGACAGGGTTTCACCGCGTTAGCCAGGATGGTCTCGATCTCCTGACCTCGTGATCCACCCGCCTCGGCCTCCCAAAGTGCTGGGATTACAGGCATGAGCCACCGCACCCAGCCCTAAATTTTATATACCTTATAAACCATAATTTTATGAAAAAATGGTCTTATCTATAATAAGACATATAGGATTCTAATGGACAAAACTTTTATTCTTCCCTCTTAAAAATAACTCATTATTTCATTTTCCCATAAGAGAATAAAAACACATTGTTTTTCATGTTAATGCAAAATACCACACATGGTGTCTTTAACTTTTTAACTTTAATCATTCGAAAATGAGGTTTTTTTAATTGGTGAAAAATAATCATATAAACAAATAATTATAGCTACCAGTGAGACTGAGTATGGTTTTGGATTTTCTAAACTTTGTAAAAATGAGCATCAGAATTCAATGTGCATGTGATAATTATCCATTCTTTCCAACCACAGCTATGCTTCTGGTGAAGTATTTGAGGGCTGTTTTCAAGATAATATGCGTCATGGTCATGGTCTTCTACGAAGTGGGAAATTGACGTCCTCTTCTCCTAGTATGTTCATTGGCCAGTGGGTAATGGATAAGAAAGCAGGATATGGTGTCTTTGATGATATCACTAGGTACAGTATTCTCCTTCTATTCCCACAGTTTAAGCCAATGATTAAGCACCATCATTATTTAACAAGCAGTTTATACTTATTTTGTCTTTTTCATGGAGATTAGTAAGATTTCTTTGAGTTTGAGTAGGTGAAAAATGAACCTTCTTTTATGACAAACCCTTTTATTTACTTTTTTATTTTTTGAGACAGGGTTTCACTCTGTCACCCAGGCTGGAGTGGTGCGATCTCAGCTCACTGCAATCTCTGCCTCCTGGGTTCAAGGGATCCTCCTACCTCAGTCTACCAAGTAGCTGGGACCACAGGCACACACCACCACGCCCAGTTAATTTTTTGTATTTTTGGTAGAGATGGGGTTTTGCCATATTGTCCAGGCTGGTCTCGAACTCCTGGCCTCAAGTGATCCACCTGCCTTTGCCTCCCAAAGTGCTGGGATTATAGGCATGAGCCACCGAATCCAGCCTCTTTCTTTTTAAGTTAGCAAACTTTTGTGTAAGAAAAACCTGTGCATAGGTTTTATTCTGCTTATTACATTTTAAATGAAATTATTTAGAGTTGAATTCTAGACCTTCTTTTTAAAAATTATGTATTTTAAAGTTACCAAGTAACTACCTGGGATATATACAGATCTGTGTCAGACCACAACATTAAATTCCTCAGAGAGGATTACTGAGTGAGATGTCTTTTGCTATCACTTTGTCCCATATTTGAGGAGACAAAGTTAACTATTTTAACTAGAAAAATGGAAGCAATACCAACCTAGGGTTGATGCCTGGGATCTCCCATGTGATAATTGTCTTTTCCCTACTTTATCCTTATCTTCAGTGCTTTTTCTTTTCTTTTTATTTCTGTGCAGGGGGGAAAAGTATATGGGAATGTGGCAAGATGATGTGTGTCAAGGGAATGGTGTGGTGGTTACCCAGTTTGGATTATACTACGAGGGCAACTTTCACCTTAATAAAATGATGGTGAGTGGAATATTTGCATGTAGTTATTACTAACTTTTTAAAGCTCCTTTGTCCTTAACTTTTTAAATCATCTTTTGATTAGTTTCCACCTTCTTAGTACTATTTTCCTTCTTTTAAGATTCCATAAGGCTTTGGGGATATGACTGCGTGCACTCTTAAGTTACTCTGTATTTTATGTGTTGTAATTTTTCTCTTGTTTCTTCTTGTAGGGAAATGGGGTTTTGCTTTCCGAAGATGATACTATCTATGAAGGAGAATTTTCAGATGACTGGACTCTTAGTGGAAAGGTTGGAAACTAGCTTTCTTTTTTTTTCTCCCTAATAAATTCTTTTACTAATTTTTTTTTACTTTAAAAATAGCTGATTTACATGCCATAAAATTCACCCCTTTCAAGTGCACGTTTCAGTGATTTTTGGTCAACATGGCTGTACAAACCACCACCACAATCCAGTTTCAGAACATTTCCATCGCCCAAGAAAATCCCTTCTGCTCATTCAGTGACTTCCATTTCCACCTAAAGTCCCAGCCAACCACTAATCACCCTTAATCACTCTATAGATTTGCCTTTTTTGGGCCTTTTGTATAAATGGAATCATACATGCAATCTCCTCTATGTGGCTTCTTACACTTAGTATAATGTTTTTGTTTTTTCCATATTGTGGCATGTATAGTATTTGTTCCTTTTTATGGCTGAATAGTGTTCCAAAACTACATTTTGTTTATCCTTTTACCAGTTGATGGACATTGGGTTATTTCCAACTTTAGACTATTGTAAATAATGCTGCTATAAACTTTTGAATGCAGTTTCTTGTGTAGACATATGTTTTCATTTTCATTTCTCAAGTAGATGCCTGGAGTGTAATTGCTAAGTTGTATGGTAAATTGATGTTTAACATATTAAGAAACTGTCGAACTTTTTTCCAAAGTGTCTGTACCATTTTACATTCCCATCAGCAATGTCTGAGGATACTAATTTCTCCATATCAAAAAATATTTCTTATTTTCTGTCTTTTTTCTTATAGCCATTCCAATGGGTATGAAGTGGTATCTCCTGGTTTTAATTTGCATTCCCTAGTGACTAATGATGTAGAACATGCTTATTAGTGATTCATATATCTTCTTTGATGAAATGTCTATTCAGATCTTGGCCTATTTCTAAAATTTTGTTTGTACTCTTGTTGAATTGTATGGGTTCTTTCTGTATTCTGGATACATGTCCTTTATCAGATATGATTTGTAAATATTTTCTTGCAGTCTGACTTGTCTTTTATTTTCTTAATAGTGTCTTTTGAAATAGAAAAGTTTTTCATTTTAATAAACTCTATAAAAAATTTTATGAATTATGCTTTTGATGTTATGTCTAAGAAGTCTTTGCCTGTTGGCTCAAACCTGTAATTCCAGCACTTTGGGAGGCCAAGGCAGGTAGATCACGAGGTCAGGAGATCAAGATCATCCTGGCAAACATGGTGAAACCCCATCTCTACTAAAAATACAAAAAATTAGCCAGGCGTGGTGGCGGGCACCTGTAGTCCCAGCTACTCAGGAGGCTGAGGCAGGAGAATGGCGTGAACCTGGGAGGCGGAGTTTGCAGTGAGCCGAAATCGTGGCACTGTGCTCCAGCCTGGGTGACAGAGCGAGACTCCGTCTAAAAAAAAAATGAAAGTTTTATAGTTTTGCCTTTTATATTTAGGTCTGTGATTCATTTTAAGATAACTTTTGTATATGGGCTGAGTTATGTGTCCAAACTAATCTTTTTGCATATGGCTATCCAAATTTCCCAACACCTTTTCCCATTGAATCTTGGCACCTTTGTTGACCAGAAAATGTGTTTATTTCTGGTCTCTCAGTTACATTTCACTGATAAACATGTCTCTCCTTGTGTTAATACCACACCATCTAGATTACTGTTGATTCCTAGTAAGTTGTGAAATCAGGAATATAAGTCCTCCAAATTTGTTCTTTTTCAAAATTGTTCTGGCCAATCTAGATTCTTTGACTTTTCATATAAATTTTAGGACTGGCTTATCAAGATTCTGCAATAAACCTTGCTAAGATTTTGATAGAGATTGCATTGAATCTATAGATTAATTTGGGGAGAATTGCCATCTTAATATTGACTCTTCAACCCATGAACATAGAACACCTCACAGTTTATTTACATCTTTAATTTCTCTTGGCAATATTTTCCAGGTTTCAGTGTACACATCTTGCATTTCTTTGGTTAAATTTATTTCTAAGTATTTTATTGATGCTATTGTAAAGCGTTGTTTTCTTAATTTCATTGCTATAATATAAAAATGCAGTTGATTTTGTATTTTGTTCTTGTTTCCTGAAATCTTGCTGAATTCGTTTATTAGTTTTAGTGGTTTTTTTTGTGTGTGGATTTCTTAGGATTTCTTACATACAGAATCATATCACCTACAAGTAAAGACATTTTTGCTTCTTTCTTTACAATATGGAAGGCTTTTATTTCTTTTTCTTGTCCAGTTGCACTGGCTAGAGTCTCCTGTGGAATGTTGAATAGAAAAATGTTAAGATTGGACATCTTTACATTGTTTTCTATTTTAGAGAAAAGCTTTGTGTGTGTGTGTTTGTGTGTGTGTGTGTGTGTGTGTTGAGATAGTGTCTCACTCTGTCACCCAGGCTGGAGTGCAGTGGCGTGTTCTCAGCTCCCTGCAGCCTCAACCTCCTGGGCTCAAGCGATCCTCCCTCCTCAGCCCCCCAAGTAACTGGGACTATAGGCACATGCCACCATGCCTGGCTAATTTTTTTTTTTTTTTTTTTTTTTTTGTAGAGACAGAGTTTCGCTATGTTGCCCAAGCTGGTCTCAAACTCCTGAGCTCAAGCAATCCACCCACCTCGGCCTCCCAAAGTGCTAGGATTACAGGCATGAGCCACCATGCTTGGCTGAAAAGCATTTTTTGTTAAAGTGCTTTTCCATTATCTGTTGAGATGATCATGTGGTTTTTATCATTTATTCTACTAATATGGTGTATTATATTGGTTGCTTGTCTGATGTTAAACCAACCTTGCTTTCCTGGGATGAATTGTACTTGGTCATGGTGTATAATTTTTTTTATATGTTGGTGTTGCTGGATTTAATGCGAATATTTTGTTGAGGATTTTTGCATTCATATTTATGAGAGGTAATGGTCTGTAGTTTTCTTTTATTGTGATGTCTTTGTCTGTCTTTGATATCAGGATAATTCTGGCCTCATAGAACAAGTTGGGAAGTGTTCCCTCCTCCCCTATTTTCTGAAAGTTTGCGAAGCTTTGGTATTATTTCTTCTTTGAATGTTTGGGAGAATTCACCAATGAAGTCTTCTGGGCCTAAGCATTACTTTGTGAGAAAATTTTTAATTTCTAACTCAGTTTCTTTACTTGCCTTAGGTCTATTTAGATTTTCTATTTCTTATTGAGTCAGTTTTGGTACTTTTTGTCTTCCTAGGAGTTTTTCTATTTCTCTATGTTATCTACTTTGTTGGCATAAAGCTGTTCTCTTAGTATTCCATTCTGTCTTCGTATGTTTGTGATGCTTTAACAAAATGTCATAGACTGAGAAATTTATTTCTTCACAATTTTGCAAGCTGGGAAGTCGAAGATCAAGGCTACAGCATTCCCTGTTTGGTGAAGGCCTTCTTGGCTGAGGCCTCACATAGCAAAAGATGGAAGGGCAAAAAGGCCTAAGATAGTTCCCTCTGGCACTTTTATTTTTATTTTTATTTTTATTTTTATTTTTTTCGAGACGGAGTCTTGTCTGTCACCCAGCCTGGAGTGCAGTGGCATGATGTCAGCTCACTGCAACCTCCACCTCCTGGGTTCAAGCGATTCTCCTGCCTCAGCCTCCTGAGTAGATGGGATTACAGGCACGTGCCACCGTGCCCAGCTAATTTTTGTATTTTTAGTAGAGACGGGGCTTCACCATGTTGGTCAGGCTGGTCTCGAACTCCTGACCTCATGATCTGCCCACCTTGGCCTCCCAAAGGGCTGGTACTACAGGCGTGAGCCACAGCGCCCAACCCTCTGGCCCTTTTCTAAGGCACTGCACCATTCATGAGGACACTGTCCCTAATCACTTCCCAAAAGACCCCACCTCTTACTACCATCACAGTGGGGTTTAAGTTTCAGCACAGATTTTAGAGGAGACACACTTTCCAAACAATAGCACCTTCTAACTTTTTTAATTCTATAGGCTGGTAGTAATAACCTGTTTCACTCTTGATTTTAGAAACTTATGTTTTCTCTTTTTTTTCTTGATTAATCTAGTTAAATGTCAATTTTATATATCTTTTCAAAGAAGCAACTTCTAGTTTCATTGATTTTTCTTTATTTTTTGTTTTCTATCTCATTTACTGATTTTTGCACTAATCTTTATCATTTCCCTCCTCTTTCCTGCTTTGGGTTTAGTTTGTTAGTTTGTTCCTCCTTTTGTAATTTTATTAGGTGGAATTTTACATTACTGATTCGAGAACTTCCTGAAAAGATAGGTGTTAACAGCTAAAAGTTTCCCTCTAAGCACTGCTTGTAATTTACATCATCCCCTAAATTTTGATATATTGTATGGTCATTTTATACAGTTCAAAATATTTTTGACTTTTCCCTGTGTGTGTGTTTTTTTCTTTTACCCATGGATTATTTTCATATACTCTTTTAGACATGCATGTGCCCATATTTTGTTTGAGTTTTAAAGAGTTGGAGACTGGTAAAGAGCAAGTTAAAAAGGAAAACAACCATTTAGTGCTTTTTTTCTCTTGATTTTAAAAATTGAGGGCTGGGCGTGGTAGCTCATGCCTGTAATCCCAGCACTTTGGGAGGCCAAGGTGGGTGGATCACTTGAGGTCAGGAGTTCAAGACCAGCCTGGCCAACATGGTGAAACCCCGTCTCTACTGAAAACACAAAAAATTAGCTGGGCGTGGTGGCGGGCGCCTGTGATCCCAGCTACTTGGGAGGCTGAGGCAGGAGGATCACTTTAACCCAGGAAGCGGAGGTTGCAGTGAGCCAAGATCGCATCACTGCACTCCAGCCTGGGCAACAGAGTGAGACTCTGTCTCTAAATAAATAAATGAATATTGAATATATTTCCTCTAACCCCACATTTTATTCTCTGACTTTACCTAGGGAACACTGACTATGCCAAATGGAGACTACATTGAAGGTTATTTTAGTGGAGAATGGGGATCTGGGATAAAAATCACTGGAACCTACTTCAAACCTAGTCTATATGAGAGTGATAAAGACAGACCTAAAGTTTTGTGAGTAACTAGTGTTAATTCTGGATTAATTATTGAATGTTTGGAGTTGTCTTGCTTTTATCAAAGCTGGTTAATATTTTAAAAGCAAAGTCAAGTTCTTAAAGTCTTCTTTTTTATTTTATTTTATTTTTATTTTTTGAGACAGGGTGTCACTCTGTCACCAGGCTGGAGTGCAGTGGCATGATCATGGCTCACTGCAGCCTTGACCTCCTGGGTTCACGTGATCCTCCCGCATCAGCTTCCCTAGTAGCTGGGACTACAGGCACCCGCTACCATGCCCGGCTAATTTTTCTAATTTTTGTAGAGACTGGGTCTTGCTATTGCTCAGGCTGGTCTTGAACCTGAGCTTAAGCGATCCTCCTGCCTCAGCCTCCCAAAGTGCTGGGATTACAGGTATGAGCCGCTGCACCTGGCCAAAGTCTTTTTTTTTTTTTTTTCTTAAACAAGATGTAACCTCCTTGAATTGTCAACTGACACTGCTTTAGATGACTAAATCTGTAGTCTTGTCTGTAGTCTTGGTTTAGATTATAAGCCTTAAAGCATGGATGTTTAAAAGGAAAGTTCCATGTGTGAGAGAGTGTTCTTTTTTTTTTTTTTTGGAGGTGGGAGGGGAGATGGAGTCTTGGTCTGTCGTCCAGGCTGGAGTGTGGTGGCGTGATCTTGGCTCACTGCAGTGTCTGTCTCCCGGGTTCAAGCGATTCTCCTGCCTCAGGCTTCCAAGTAGCTGAGACTGTAGGTGCACACAACCATGCCAGGCTAATTTTTTGTATTTTTAGTAGAGACAGGGTTTCACCATGTTGGCCAGGCTGGTCTCGAACTCCTGACCTCAAGTGATCCACCCACTTTGGCCTCTCAAAGTGCTGGGATTACAGGTGTGAGCCACCGCGCCCAGCCTGAAAGAGCATTCTTAAATGGAATCTGTACACAACTTGATTTTGAAAAGTAAAGAACATACACACACACACACACCCCAAGTGGAATAGTAAAATCTGCATATATGAGGAAAAAAAGGCAAAATCTAAGTATATTATACCCATTGCATTTTTGGCTTTATTTTCTGTTCTCCCACCATCTCTCCCTAGATGTGGCACAATCACAGAAGTGGACAGTTTTTGGCATATGTCTGTTTTTCTTTATTGATTGCAGCTTTAATTTTATTATTATATTTGGTAGCACCTCAGGTTTTTGTTCCCAAGGATATGTTTTCTGTACCATGTTTATTCTTAGAGTCTTTTAGAACCCAGTATGTAATGCATTTTAAATTCTCATTATAAGATGTGCAAGGTTCAGAAAGTCCTTGTTCTAACAGGAATCAATTTTTATTTTTATTTTTTTTTAATTTTTAAATTTTTTTTTTTTTTTGAGATGGAGTCTCACTTTGTCACCCAGGCTGGACTGCAGTGGCGTGATCTCAGCTCACTGCAACCTGCACCTCCCAGGTTCAAGCGATTCTCCTGCCTCAGCCTCCTGAGTAGCTGGGATTACAGGTACGGGCCACCACGCCTGGCTAATTTTTTTTTTTTTTTTTTTTTTTGAGATGGAGCGTCACTCTGTCGCTAGGCTGGAGTGCAGTGGTGTGATCTCAGCTCACTGCAACCTCTGCCTTCTGGGTTCAAGCGATTCTCCTGCCCCAGCCTCCCAAGTAGCTGGGATTACAGGCATGTGCCACCATGCCCAGCTAATTTTTGTATTTTTAGTAGAGATGGGGTTTTGCCATGTTGGCCTGGCTGGTCTTGAACTCCTGACCTCAGGCGATCCACCCTCTTTGGCCTCCCAAAGTGCTAGGATTACAGGCGTGAGCCACCATGCCCAGCCAATTTTTTGTGTTTTTAGTAGAGACAGAGTTTCACCATGTTGGCCAGGCTGGTCTGGAACTCCTGACCTCAGGTGTTCCACCTGCCTTGGCCTCCCAGAGTGCTAGGATTACAGACATGAGCCACCACACCTGGCCAGGAATCAATTTTTTAAAATTAATTCTGTGGAATTATAGGAGGCAGAGTCAATTGGTTTGCTTTGTACTTAGTATTCCATACACTTTAATATCCAAAAAACAATAATTAGCTAAAAAACATTCCTTTAAAATTTTCATTTAGTGTTTTAAAAATAGAATTACCATCAGTCTTGGCAGTTTTGGTCACGAAAAAAGCATTCTCAGTTGTATGTTAGAAAGTTTCTGTTCTTTGGAACAATTTTGCACAAAAGAAATGATTAATAAAAGGTTGATATGACTTTATTAGCAGGAAGCTAGGAAACCTGGCAGTGCCAGCTGATGAGAAGTGGAAAGCGGTGTTTGACGAATGTTGGCGCCAACTGGGCTGTGAGGGCCCAGGCCAAGGGGAAGTTTGGAAAGCATGGGACAATATTGCTGTGGCCTTGACCACCAGTCGGCGCCAGCACAGAGACAGGTGAGTGAACACCTGCTCAACATACAGCAGAGCATGTTAGGAAGATGAAACTTAAGACCAGTAAGTAGTCAAGGCTCACCACATTTAATTTAAAAGTTAATGATTTACTTCGCTTCTGAGTAAGAGAGATTAAAACACACTTTCTTTATCTTCTGTTGAACTCAACTGTTAAACCTGAACAGAATACATGGACAGTTATTTATGAACTCTGAAAAGTAAATATCAACAAGTAGATTGAGGAAGAAAACCTGAATTCAAAGTACCACAAAACCAGTGGTGAGTTTACTTAGATGTTTTGCTCCAATATCCCTCAGCCAGAACTCAGTGCAGCCTGAAACGTGAAAGCAAGTACTGTGGTGCAGACAGACAGGGATACAGAAAAAATCCCTCTGGTTCTGGCTCAAGGAGTGACAAAGGGACTCCTAAAACTCAGAGTGGTTGATATATACTCAGTTTTCTTTCTGTCTTTTTTCTCTATTCTCTCATGCCCAAGCCTCCAGGACCTTCTGTGGCAGTAATGGTAGCAGCTGGAGCAGGCGTGAACAGGAAACTTGCAAAAGTCAAAACTCTTGAGAGAGTGGAATCTTCTTCCCCCTTTGGTGGCTCCTTAGCTCAAGGGAAGGCCAAGCCCCAACCCCATTGCATTTTTGGCTTTGTTCTCTGTTCTCCCACCATCTGTCCCTAGATGTGGCACAATCACGGAAGTGGGCAGTTTTTGGCCAGAGGACCTAAAAAGGGGTGCCTGCGAACCAGAAAATACTGGGGATGTGATGGAGAGAAGAGCTCTGGGAAACAAGCCCATAAAGTTGTTTGTGAACTCCTGGGCTCACCCTAGACCTGCACATGTATGAATTTGATCCTAATTAGTACCAAAGAGTTTGAGAACCAAGCTCATAGGTTGACCACTCAGGTCCCAGAGTAGTCATTAAGTTGTACACTCACAGAACAAACCCAGGAAGGATGCAAAGGCTTTGAGAAGTGAACTGGCATTGGCACCATGGCCCACAGGAGACTAAAGCAAAAATATCTGCTGTTTTAGGGATTCTCAATATCACTTACACATTCAGTGATTTGCTGGAAGAATTCACAAGACTCAGCATATAGTTGTACTCACAAGTAAGATTACAGCAACATGGTAGGGACGCACAACCAGATCATAAGGGAAAAAGACACAGGTAGAGTCTGGAGGAATCCATGTGTAAGCTTTCCATGATCTCTCCTTTCTGGGATGAGTCACACACAACACAGTTTTCCCTGCAGCAAAATGCAGCGACACGTGTCTCATGTTTCTGCCCAGGGAAGCCCACTAGAGACTCAGTGCCCAGGGTTTATACTGGGGGCGGGTCACATAGGCACCCTGTGCTTGGCAGTTGCCAAATTCCACAGTCCCAGCTTACAGGAAAGCAGATGTTCACCATAAATCACATTGTTAATCTAAGGAAAGCAAAACACCTTTGTCAGTATATGGAACTTTTACGAAGCTTAATTCCCAAGTGCCAGCCAAGGGTCAACCTTATAAGCAGGTTCTTTTTTATTTTATTTCATTTTTATAAATAGAGACAGGGTCTTGCTATATTATCCAGGCTGGTCTCGAACTCCTGTCCTCAAGAAATCCTCCTGCCTCGGTCTCACAAAGTGCTGGGATTGCAGGCGTGAGCTACCACACCTAGCTCAGGTGCTTCTAAAGATAGCAGTTTCAAGCCTGCTATGTTTACTGTTTTATGAATGTCAACATTCTCCATAGGATATAAACAAGACCCAGAGTTTTATAATGCTCAAAATATCCAAGACATTAACCAAAATTACTCAGCAATGAAAGAACCATGAAAATCTCAATTTATTTCAGGAAAGAGAATCAATAAATATCAACAGATGACATAGATGTTGAAGTTGTCTGACAAGAACTTCAAAGCAACTATTATAAAATACTCACATGTGCAATCACAAACACCCTTGAAATAAATATTAGAACAAATGTATCAGCAAAGAAACAGAAGATATAAAGAAGAGCCAAATCAAAATTTTGGGGTTGAAAACTGCACTAACCGAAATCACTTATTGTATGAACTCAGTGGCAGAATAGAGATGGCAATGGAAGAGTCAGTGAACCTGAAGATAGATCAGTATGGATTATCAAATCTAAACAACTGAGAGAAAAAACATGAAAAAATAAAAAAGTGAACACAGCCTCATGGACTTGTGGGTCTAAATTTGTTTCCTTAGAATTCCAGAAGAAAAGGAGAAAGAATGGGCTGGGCATGGTGGCATGCACCTGTAATCCCAGCACTTTGGGAGGCTGAGGCAGGCAGATCACCTGAGGTCAGGAGTTTGAGACCAGCCTGGCCAACAAAGTGAAACCCCATATCTACTAAAAATACAAAATTAGCCCGGGCCTGAATCCCAGCTACTTAGGAGGCTGAGGCAGGAGAATCGCTGGAACTCGGAAGGTGGAGGTTGCAGTGAGCCGAGATAGCGCCATTGCACTCCAGCCTGGGCAAAAATAGCAAAACTCCATCTCAAAAAAAAAAAAAAAAAAAAGAAAAGAAAAGGAGAAAGAATGAGGGATGGAACATTTTGTGAAGAAATAATGGTTGAAAACTTATCAAGTTTAGTAAAAAGACGTGAAACCCATAGATTCAAGTAGCTGAACAAACTCCATCTTGGGAAAAACCACAGATAACCATGTATAGACACATATTAAAATTCATGGACAAAGATCTTGAAAGCAGTTAGAGTGAAATAATGGGAAATCAGCAATTCAAATGACTGCATATTTCTCATTAGAAACCTTGGAAGCCAGAAGGAAGTGGCCCAACATTTTCAAAATACTGAAAGAAAAGTTACAGATGTACTTGTTCATTTCTCTCTTTTTCTCCTTTTTAAAATTTTCTTTTTCACCTTCTTTTCTTTTTTTTTTTCTTTTCTCCTGCTTTTCTCCATCTGCCTTTCTTCTTTAACTTGACCAGTAACTCCCACAAGCATTGCTTAGCATTTGGACCTAAAGAATTTACTAATCCCTGCAGCAAAACTTCCTAATTAACTGTGACTTTCTTGAGTTTAATTCTAGATAATGGTTTGTTTGAGCTGTGCCTTCGTTGTTAAAATATCAAGGAGCATACTTTAATCTGTGCGTGTAGCTACATACAGTTAATTTTTAAATGAGCTTTATGCTGGTCTTCATTTCCACATGTCAGTTGCTTTCTAAAGGGAATTGAAGAAAAATTGAGCAAGTATCCATTTATTCAGAATGTAAATGTTTGTTCTGAATAATTAAATGTTCTAGTTTGCTAAAAGTTACCAAATTCTTTAAATAAATTACCAGTATTCAAATAATTTTAATATACTAAAGTATAGTTACATAGAAATTAAATTCCAGAGGTTGAAAGATACTTCAGGAACTTTAAACATTTCACAGTCAAGTCTAACAAATACTAATTGTTATTCTAGCCTGGAGAGATTAGTTTAGAGTTTATCTAATTGAGTATCTCCAAAATTGATACTTAAAGTAAACCATAGTATAATTTTTGCTTGCTTGAAATTCGTGTATGTGTTTCAAGAAATTAAATGTAGAAAGAAGTAATTTTTTTTTCTATATTTGGGATAAATAGGAATTGATTTTAGTATTTCATTCATGAAGTTCATAATTGTTACCTTCTACTCTATCAGTAGAAGAAATGGAAACTCCCAGAATTGATGAAAGCCATTGACTGCCCCTTGTGCGTGATACAGATGGTCAGCTTAGTACAGCCTGTCAGTTCGACCTTAAGACTTTAGCCCTTCAGTTAACCTGGGTTAACTGTTGTTAGTTAGGTGTTTCTGAGAAGTGAAAATGAATGAACTCTTTATATAAAATTATGTTGCTACCACAAAGATCTTATATGTTTATCTAAAATCTCTAATAATAATGATTATGCACAGTTTTCAGTTTCTCATTGGTTGTCATCTAATGATAGAACACTATTACCAAAAATTTCAGTTGATTACTAGCGTGTGTTTTCTCTTAGTATCTTCATCCAGTTTCTGTTTACCCGTTATGTGCTTACATTGTCACCTGTTGGAGTGTCATTATCTCCTTGCTTCTTAACCTTGTTTTCATTTCTTCCTTTGCCCTTTGACTTATTTCCCTTTTTCCTTAACTCCCTTCCCTCTTTTATTCCTTTTATTCCATTTTTCTGTTGTCACCAACGGGTCTATCACCTTCAAGCTAATATTGTATTTATCTTCAAGCTAATGTCATATTATTTCCAACACCATGGTTTAGATTGGAGTAGAATCTTCATTAATTTATTGTAGAATCTTCATTGTAGAATGAAGAATGAATCTTTATTGTAGAATCTTCATTAATTTATGGTACAAAGTAACACTACCTGATTTTTTGAATGAATGTTATGTAAACTGAGTACCTAATAGCAGGATCGTGATGATTTCTGAGTTCGTTGGGTTTAGTACTACGTTGGATGCTCCACTTTGACTGGAGCTAGTGATTGTGTTTCATGTGAGTATTTACACGTATCTTGCTTTCTTGATGTGAAATACAACAGACTTTTCTTTCCCTTTTTATAGTCCAGAAATACTGAGTCGTTCACAGACTCAGACACTAGAGAGTTTGGAATTCATTCCACAGCATGTTGGTGCCTTCTCTGTGGAGAAATATGATGACATCAGGAAATATTTAATAAAGGTAAACTAGAGTAAAAATTACATTGGTCTTGTGAATTAATGATTCACCTACCACAATATATCATTCAGATAGACTCACAGCTTAATGTTATTCTAATCCTGTTTTTGCATCCTGTGCATTTCTTTTGTTAATTATCAAACTACCAAGATTACATTTCTACCTAAAGATTGTCCCATTATTATGATAGAACTTTTTAAAGTTTTTTAAGGCACTCAAGGGGGTTCTTAAGAAATAAGATTAGAGTTTTAAATTGCTTTTTGTTAATAACATTAGCAAACTAGAGATTGTGTAAGTAAAGCATGCTGCCCTCACCCCTGGAGAGGGTCTTTGCTTCCTTCGAAAACTTGTAAGACCAGCTACAATTTAAAGTGTGATGTATATTGATGGGAAGTGCAGGAAGGAGTATTCTGAGAAGTCAGGGGAACTGAAGGATGACTGTTTCAGAGTATCATCAACAGTCAGTGTTTAGTTTTCTCCAAGGTAACATTTTCTATCATTTTTGTGAAGTTTAAAGTATATTTGAATCTTTTTAAAATTTTGTATTCTTTTTTTTTTTTAGATATGGGGGTTCTCACTGTGTTGCTCAGGCTGGCCTCAAACTCCTGAGCTCAATTGATCCTCCTGCCTCAGCCTCCCTAGTAGCTGGGACTATAGGCATGAGCCACCACATCCAGCAGAATCTTTCTTTTAGTGGTATTCCATATCAGTACTTCCAAAGCTATTTGCCCAAAATGTTAAGGAGATTCTTTGATCAAGATTAGGAACTCCAGCTTCATATAATTGGGGTAGACAGTACTTTCAAAAAAATTAAAGTATTTGAATATTCCTGGTCCCAAAATTGACTCTTGACATTTTGACAATTGTGTGTCATTTATGAAGTTGTTTCTTGTTGATGGATTGTTTCTGCTGTTAATGCACATCAACTGACTTCATTGATTCTTTTCCTACTCAGGCCTGTGACACTCCTCTGCACCCCCTGGGCAGGCTTGTGGAGACACTGGTTGCAGTGTATAGAATGACATACGTGGGCGTAGGAGCCAACCGCAGGTTATTGCAGGAGGCTGTAAAGGAGATTAAGTCCTATCTTAAGCGAATTTTCCAGCTGGTGAGGTAAGAGAGCTTTTCACTAAAGTCTGCGGGCTATGGAATACTATTTTATACCAGTGCTTGGGTAGTTTCACCCTGAATCATCAAGAAAATAGTTTTATGCCACAGTCCTTTAATAGATTAAGTAAAACATGTTTTAAATGTATGTGTAAGCTATAAACATAAAAAAGATGAACCTTAGCTATTGTTATTTATTTATTTTTATGTCTTATTAAGTAAAGCTAAAATAAATGTTTGGGGTTTTTAAATCTAATTTTGGTATGAAGTATAGTAGTCGTCTTATTTAGATTCAGTCTCTAGGCAAAATCATGTATCTAAAACCCAACCACAGAGTAGACAAAGTTTAATATGAAGTTTTGCCCTTGAGTTTTTGTGTCTTGTCCTTTGGCAACAGTATCACATATGTTCATTTATTTAACAAATATTTATGGAGCGTTTCTATGTAATAGCCATCATTCTAGGCTCTCAAGGGATTTATCAGTGAACAAAGACAAACAGTCTTTGCTGTCATGGAGCTTACATTCTAATGGGGGAAAAGAGTAAACATAAAAAATATATGTAGTATGTCAGATAGTGATTAGCACTATGGAGAAAAATAAAGGGAAAGAGTACTAGATGTGAGATGCTATTATTTTGAAGAGAAGGTCAGAGCAGACTGACTAATACGGTGGTAGTATTTGAGCAGAGACTCGAAGAAGGCAATTAAATGAGACAGTAAGCATCTTTGGGAAGAGAGTTCCAGGCAACAAACAGATTTAAGCTTGTGAGATATAAGATCTTTTACTGAGTTGAAGCCAACAAGTAAATACTATAGTGAGATAATTATACAAAAGTTTGTAAATTTGTCCCAGAACTTCCATATATTGTTTGCCTCAACATTGGAAATGTTTCAGGTTTTGAGGGAGAAGTGTGGTCTATTAAAAAGATCACTAGCCTGGGCTAGCTCTGACATTAGCTAGATGAGTATAATGAAAGTAAGTGTCCTGACCTTTTTTAGTTTTTTTCAACTATACAATTAGGGCAGATGGAGGTGCAAGATGTAAGTCTACAAAAATAGAGAAGACTGCATATTGCCTTTAAAGGGTCAAAATTTAAGTCCGTAAAAATAAGAGAAAATAAACTTATTTATGGTAGAGTACACTAGCATACAAGAAGTCAGAGATAAAATCTATGGCAGAACTCAAAGCCCAGGAAAAAAAATTCCTCACCAATTTATCCCCTTGATCATTTGAAAAATTAATTTTCAGCAAGTTTTAAAAACACATTTTTAAATTTTAGGTTGAGTACAGAGGGAAATAATAGACACTGAGGACTCTAAAAGCGGGGAGTGTGTGTGGGAGGGTGAGGGTTGAAAACTTACTGATAGGATACAGTGTTCACTGTTCAGGTGATGGGTACACCAGAAGCCCAGACTTTACCACTACCTGATATATCCGTGCAACACAACTACATATGTGCCTCCTGAATCTATAAAAATAAAATAAAACTTTACATTGTGTCTTCTATAATTAATCATTTTTTCCCTTAATGTTGGACACTTAATTTCTGTCGGTGTTTGCTTATATTGTAGAAGAGTGGTCCTTGCTCAGAGTTAATATAAATTGACCTCAGATGAGATTTGCCAGTAAGGAACACATATCTCATATAGATCAGAATTCTCCATTCCTTGGTAACTAGACAGGAGAAAATCATAGCACGTGAAGATTTTGTAGTGGTATTATTCATTAGCTGCATTCTTAATTTTATCCTGTTAGAAACATCAGTTTTCTCAGGGAACTAAAATACTTAGTTGATAATAAAGCTTGCTCTCATAACTAATGGAAATGTGTTTTTATGCTTTTCAACCCCCCTAGAGGTATAATTGTATAATTATATTTTTTATTCTTCCTTAGGTTCTTATTTCCTGAGCTGCCTGAAGAAGGCAGCACAATTCCTCTCTCTGCTCCTCTGCCAACCGAAAGGAAGTCTTTTTGCACTGGGAAGTCAGATTCCCGATCTGAATCACCAGAGCCAGGGTAAATGGAGTTGGGTGGGGACAGTGAAGAAAGGGAATGGTGACTAGATGATCTTACTCAAAGAGTCCCAGCGAGAAAGTGTGTTCTCTAGATCTATTTCCTCATTTCTAAAATGATATGGTTGGGGCCAGGAGGGTTGGGGCCAGCCACAGTGGCTCACACCTGTAATCCCACACTTTGGGAGGCTGAGGTGGGAGGATTGCTTGATCTTAGGAGTTCAAGAGCAGCCTGGGCAAGATAGGGAGACCCCATCTCTACAAAAATAAAAAAAATTAGCAGGGCATGGTGGCACACACCTACGGGTTCAGCTACGTGGGAGGCTGAGATGAGAGGATCACTTGGGCCTGGGAGGTTAAAGGCTGCAGTGAGCTGTGACTGCACCATTGCGCTCCAGCCTGGGTGACAAAGTGAGACCTGTCTCAAAAAAAAAAAAAATGTAGCTGGGTAGGTGCCCCCTCTGAGGTCCCTCTTAGTTCTCTCAAGTACTATTAGCCATACCCCAGGAAAAAGCAACCACAGATGATCTGAGCACAAAGGCTGCTTAGCAAAGGAAGTAACATCACACTGTCCTAGAATAACCTCAGAGAAATCAGCCTCAAAATGGAAACAATGTAGGTTTTCAGTGAGATTTTTAATTCATGAAAAGAATTCACAGTTTCCTCTAAGACAAAATTATAGATAATGTCCTCATATCAACTCCATATGTAAAGAGCAGAGTAATATTATAACTTCTTTAAAACTTCCCATCTCTACTTTTGACTTTTTGAAACTGAAGCTCTACCTTGGATTCTGTATTCAATTTTAATATGAAAAATGCTCCTTTTCTCCCACTCCATTATTTTGTAGTTATGTAGTAACGAGTTCTGGATTATTGCTTCCTGTGCTGCTACCTCGGCTCTACCCACCGCTGTTTATGCTTTATGCTTTGGATAATGATCGCGAGGAAGACATTTACTGGGAATGTGTCCTTCGACTAAATAAGCAGCCAGATATTGCTCTCCTGGGCT
This sequence comes from Homo sapiens, assembly GCF_000001405.40. Classification (NCBI taxonomy): domain Eukaryota; kingdom Metazoa; phylum Chordata; class Mammalia; order Primates; family Hominidae; genus Homo; species Homo sapiens. The sequence goes on along the minus strand of NC_000002.12, from coordinate 201,706,861 downwards.
TTCTTGGGGTGCAGAGGTAAGTGTAGTAGTTACAAGCGCAACCAAATGGTTTTAATTTAAAATGCAAACTGCATTATTGGAAATTTGGCACTTTGATATCTAATTATATATATGGCTTGTAATTATTTTTTGCATATGTCTTCTTTAACAAAATAGTGATAGTTAATAATCTTTATTTCTGAGAATATTTGGAGATGAGTATGAAACCTGCTGATTCTTTGGAATGTGTTTTTTATTATGTTTTCATATATATAGTAATATATATTTATTATATATTAGTAATGTATTTTATATATTATGTATAGTTATATATATATATATATATAAAGTGTGAGCTATTTTGCCTGGTATTTTATAGCTCTTTAGAGCAGAATACATATCTTTGGCATTCTTCCTTCTCTTCTTTTCTCTCCTCCCTCTCCATTTGCAATTTTTAAGTTAAAGGTTTTGAAGTGTTTTTTTTTTTTTCTTTTTTTGAAAGAGAGTTTCACTCTGTCATGCAGGCAGGAGTGCGATGGTGCAATCTCAGCTCACTGCAACCTCCACCTCCCAAGTTCAAGCAATTCTCATGCCCCACCCTCCCAAGTAGCTGGGATTACAGGCGCACGGCACCATGCTCAGCTAATTTTTGTATTTTTAGTATAGATGGAGTTTTGCCATGTTGGCCAGGCTGGTCTCGAACTCTTTGCCTCAAGTGATCTGCTCGCCTCGGCCTCCCAACGTGCTGGGATTACAGGTGTGAGCCACTGTGCCCAGCCCTGCTGTTTTTATTAGAAGGTATTATTGCTTGCTATCCAGGGAATACTAAATTATTATGTTTTCTTTCTAGGGCAGTGATAAAGCTGATTCCACCTCCCCAATCTCTATTTGTGCTACCAGGAAAAGTGAATAAGCCTCAATTTTTTTTTTTTTTGAGACGGAGTCTTGCTTTGTTGCCCTGGCTGGAGTGCAGTGGCACCATCTTGGCTAGCTGCAACCTCCACCTCCCAGGTTCAAGTGATTCTCGTGCCTCAGCCTCCCAGCTAGCTGGGATTACAGGCCTGTGTCAACGCACCCAGCTAATTTTTATATTTTCTTATTTTTGTGCTTTTTTTTTATTTTGTGCTTTAATTGTTTTCAGTGGAATAATTCAGTAGTAGAAATGAGATAAAACTGAGTGAAGGAAAAATATTTGGTAATATCTGTAACGTGTAGGTTATTGGGATATAGAATGACAAATCCCTTAGGGAGATGATAAAAACTCTTAAATCACTTCTGGAATGTTTATAAAAACTTAACCTATTGTGGAGCAGTTCTTTTTAATGGGGACAAGGAAGCCAATATAGCTGTCAACTATTTTTATGGGATTTTGTTTACCATAAGTAACAACTTATATTAATAATTTATGGATTCCATTATAGGAAATTTTGGCCAGCAACCTTGTCAATCCTTGGAGAGAGTAAAAAGGTATAGTAGATTTTCTTTTCCTCAGCAAATATGCTTTTCTCTAATGGGAAGGATTTGAGATAGCAAAACTTTTTCATTTTACTTTGATAGAACAGTACCCAAGCTTGTGTTTGCATCTGTTATTACCAAAGACCTGCACTCTGACATCAGTATCATTTATTTCTGTTGTTGCAGAAAATAGTTTTCCTCCTTGACCTTCACTCTCTTTTTTGCAGGTTTTGCCAACCACGAAAGATGCTTGTTTTGCCTCAGCAGTAGAATGTCTGCAGCAGATCAGGTAATCTCTGATTTGTTGAAAAGCCATACAAATCAAAGTAGTGCTTGGTCTATTAAGATATTATTAATATGATCTTATCTTTACCTAAGCCTTAAGCATCCCCATTCTATATGCTGATGGTGTCAAACTCAATCTGGAAATCAGAAATCAGAATGAGACCCTTGGGTTATCTTTTACTCTAAAATGACCTTGCATTTTCAAAAGTAGGAGAGAGCCAAGCCAGAAATTTATCCATATAATCACATCTTTAGCCAATTGGAAATTAACCAAATTTCTCATTCAGAAAAGAGCATATATTAGGAGAATGAGATTTCACGTGGGTAAAAGGAAACAATATATGAATCGTAGACAGTTGGAGGCTACTTTTCTCATAGCACCATGGGAGTACAAAGTCATCCTTTCCAACGACTCATAATGCCTAAGTGTCCGGGTTAAGGCATGTGAATCCCAGGAGGGAATATTGTCAAAAAAGCACGATCAAATGGCTTTATTAAGAAAATTATAGGATGTCTTTTTGTCATTGTTTCTGTAACAGCACAACATTTACCCCATCAGACAAACTTAAGGTCATCCAGCAGACTTTTGAGGAGATCTCTCAGAGTGTCCTGGCGTCACTCCACGAAGACTTCTTGTGGTCCATGGATGACTTGTTTCCTGTTTTCTTATATGTGGTGCTACGGGCCAGGTAACTGTTTTATGACTTTGTTATTAGTGAGTCGTTATTTTTAAAAGTCTGCTGCTTGCATTTTCTGAACTGACAGCAGGAGTACGCTCTTCCACTAGAAAAAAATCGATTAACCCATTCCACTGTGACATTACCCTTTTATTGAGCTGTTCTTTCTTTTTCCCATCAACTAGATTCAAAAGGAGAATGGACATGTAAGTGAAAATAACTCAGCATCTTTTTCTCTCTGGGGCAGGATTAGGAATTTAGGCTCTGAGGTACACCTCATTGAGGATCTAATGGACCCCTATCTTCAGCATGGGGAACAGGGTATAATGTTCACCACCTTGAAGGTGAGTATAGTTATTATTTAATACTTTCTTATCTTCATATCTGTCTTTCATTTACCATATTATAAATGCCATTAACCACTTTTTTTGTATAAAAGTTTAATGCAAACCTTAAATGCCTTTAGAGCACATTTTGTTCTACACTTTAAAACATTATATAGTATATTAAAGTAGGATAAGCCAGTTGTTCCTCAAAATACTAAAGCAAATTCTTCATTATCTAATCCTCCTTGTAAATTGATCAAACTGTTATAAATGTTTACATTTATATAAATAATTGTAATTCTAAAAAAGAAACAGAAAGGATTCTTAGTGTCCAAGAAAGTTTCCAACAGGAGTGCTATTCAATGGAACAGGGTAAAACACAGAAGGCAGTATGTAAATAATGAATTTGAATTCCATCTTCTTTCTTTGCCTTGTATTTACTGTAACCAATAGATTACAAATGAGCTTCTTTGATCTGGGTGGCCTGGAGAGATTGTTAGAAGTCATTTGTTTCCTGCCTTGATTTTTCTTGGAATTTGGAAGAATCACTCTAAAGTTTATTGAAAAAACAGCAGATAGAAAGTGCAAAAACACTTGTGAAAAATGAGAAAGAATAGACCTACTCTTCCAGTTAGTAAAATTTATAAAATTACAATAATGAAGATAAAATAGTATGTGACTGTCACAGGAATACACAATTACCTAAATAGAAAGGATAGCTCCCATATAAACACATCATAATAAAAACTTCACATGAAAGTGGAAACACCAAACCAAAATGGAAAAGAGGAATTATTTAACAAATGGTAAAACAAAGTATTGGATAGCTTATTAGCAGTTTTGGAGGGAGGGTAGAATAGCAAATTATATAGATGCTTTGGGGTTTAAATATAGAGAAAGGAAGAGAGAAGGAAAGACAGGTAAATTAAAATAAGAAAAATAATTAGAATTCAATGTCAGGTTTCTGGCCTAGGTTAACTATTTAAACTTTTCAACTAAAATACCATTAATGCTTCTTTTTTTTGAGACAGAGTCTCACTCTGTCGCCCAGGCTGGAGTGCAGTGGTGCAATCTCGACTCACTGCAACCTCCACTTCCCAGGTTCAAGTGATTCTGCTGCCTCAGCCTCCCAAGTAGTTGGGATTACAAGTGCCTGCCACCACACCTGGCTAATTTTTGTATTTTTATTAGAGATGGGGTTTCACCAGGTTGGCCAGGCTGGTCACGAACTCCTGACCTCAGATGATCCACCCGCCTTGGCCTCCCAAAACGCTGGGATTACAGGCGTGAGCCACTGCACCTGGCCTACCATTAACACTTCTATTAAATAAACTGAAAAGGGGGAGAAACTGGGGAAAATATTGGCCACAGATGACTTAGATTATTAGTGTTTATGTTATTTGAAGAGTATCTCTAAACAGATCACCAAAGAAGAAACTGAACTAGTAAGTTTACATGTAGAAAAATACTCAACCTCACTGAAAATCGTAGTACTGCAGATTTAAATAAGGTACCATTTTGTGCTGTTAAATTATCAAGAATATTTTAAAATTACTGATGGGGTTATAGTGAAGTCATTATTATTCCCACATTGCTGATAATGGGGTAAGTAGCCATTACCCTTTTGGAAAGCAATTGTTACTAACATAGATATCAACAACATCAAAAAATGTGGAGTTTGACTCAATGGTTCTACTCCTGGGGATTTATCCTAAGAAACTAAAGAATGGAAAATGTTACATGTTATCTGGATGTGTTATTCATTGGGGTATGAGTAATTCCCATACCTGGAAACTCATAATTCAGGGTGCTTCTTAAAAATGCATTCTTGGAAGTTATGACTCCCCAGGTCTGCAATGATGCTTAATCTGTATATTTATTAATCATACTAGGTGATTCTAATTAGAGTTGTACCTTTTAATGATTGGTATACTCTAAATGTCCAATCAGTAATGGCAAATTGTGGTGTCTCTGCATGTGAAGAATATTAGCTAGCTTGTAAAAAAACTTTGTTTTAGAATAAGACGGGAAATGAAAAAATTTTGTCTATACTAATTACAAGTAGGCAAAAGACAGCCACTAGATAGGGGAACTAGAAGGGAACAGGGAAAAGTGAAATCAATTAAATCTGTTGGGCCATCAGCTGAATTTGTTCATAAGGGATTTTGTTTCTTTAGTCCCATATGCATTGCTCTCTTTATGTAATTTCTTTAAAAGTGAATTTGAAATTATTTTGAACTTTTCTTCCAGGCATGTTACTACCAGATTCAGCGTGAGAAGCTTAACTAGGCTGCATAACAGCTTGAAAACTGGATTATCTACTACAGAGTGTTATAACACCATCTGGAGTCTTCCTGTAGTGGCAAAAAAGAACAGTGTTGAAATTGGAAAGGACTTTGTGTTATTTAGGTTGTTAGAATGAGCCTTACCAATAATAAGAGCCCTGAGCCCAGAAAAAAGGACTGTATAGTTTAAAGGGAGGATTGAAAGGGAGGTAAAAAATCAGATTAGACCAGTTCTTGGCCTATGATAAGTTCCAAAAATACCATTTATCTACTATTTGAAAAAAGAAGAGGATATCCCTTCCTACAGTAAAGGGTATGTCAGCTACATGAAGTTGTAAGAAAAGCTTCCAGTAGAGCTTCTTATATTAAAGAAGTTGATGGATATTTTTGAATTTCTGGTTTGCCTGAATCCACCTGCAGTTACCCCGATCCGTTTGCAAGAACCAGATCGTACTTGAAACTATAGTGGCCACACTCTGCCTTCCTGAGTCCCTTCCAGTCATGTGTGCATCATGTCTCTTTGCCAAGGGAGGGGAGAAAGGAACTTTTAAACTGCAGTTTTAACTTTTTCTAAGCTGTTTCTTGATGGGAGAGGTTCTGTGCAAAACTACCACATTCTGTCCCCAAAATGTGGAATGCATCCAAATAGGAGTCTTCTGCCTCTTAACTTAAAAGAACATAGGAATTTTGTTTTTGGTTTCTTTATCATGCTACAGAGAGTGAATACACTGGAATTCAGACACCGACTCTGAGCTGCTAGGAACCTCATTTGTCCATGTGCAAACGCTGTATTCCAAGGCCTGTGAATGGCAGCCTGAGGAAGTTTTGCATGCAGGCTGTGTTTTCGAGCAGGACTAACAACTGGGAAATAAGCAAAAAACTGCATCGATCCCCAGCCTGGTGTTGTTCTTCCCTATACTTCACACTGAACTCAGGATGGGAAGAAAAAGGAAACAAGCTTTGGCTTTTTCCATCTCAAAAGTATTGTGGCACCTCAACATTTCAGTGTTTTGCTTTTTAAAAAATGCCCTATTGTAAGTTGTTGGTTTATACTGTATAAGTAACACTAGTAGCTGTTTTGAATAACATAGGTGCTCTTCCTCATCTCATCTCCTACACCGTGGTGAGCATACAGAGTGTCCTGATTTGTGTTAAGTGACTGAGAAGATGTTAATTACTTTTGAAAAAGGATCATGGTTTTTGCTCTACTTTATAATCAAGACAAGTGTTTATTAAAATACTGTTTTGGAATGTTGGCTGTAATGTAACAGCAATTTTCATAATAAAAGGCATTCATCTTTATGTGGTTGTTTTATGATTGTAGAAGAAATGAACAGGGCAGCCTAAAAGATGAAAGGAAACCCAGACTTAGTATTTCTTTAGCCCACATTGTAATCCATGCCTCTAAGTATTGGCCTCAAAAGTCCCTCTGGGGTTTTAGAAATCTCTGTCTTTAAAATAAACGTAAACCAATAGTTATAGCACCCTTTCTAGCAAAGAGCAAATTAACTTTCTGACCCCAATAACCCAAGGACACGGGTCTCCAAAGAAATCTATTATTTCTTTGAATAAAAAGCATATTTTGATAGTTACTCGTTATTTTTTTTCCTCCTAAACAGATCGAGGGAAGGGAAGGTGAGGCTTTAAAATTCTGCTTAGAAACGTTAGATATTAATTATCTCCCAGTTGTAATGTTTTCTCAAGAGGCCTTTCCATCTTGTTGCTGCCTCTACCAGAATGTGCCTGTCCTCTGTTGGAAGGGGACCAACCCTTAAAAATCCGTTTATGTTAAATACTTTGCATTTACATTGGAGATTGTTTTGAGTTTCTGAACAAACACATAAATAACCACATTTGCCTGGTAAAGCCAAATTTACAGAATTTCTGACTCTGGGCGGGGGTGGATAATATGTGGAAATGGACAAACAAAAACTTTGAGACAAATTGACCCATTGAGAAGATTTCCAATGATGATAGGCTGTCTCTGTTCTAAGAAAAGCCATGTTACAATTCGTCCTTTTACTGGAGTCTTGAATGAAACTGTTCAGTTACTTTGGATTCTTCCTACTATATGCTTTTCAGATAGCATATTAAAGTTATAAATTTTGAAGTGTATTGGAAGAAAAACCCTAAATCTCCAGGCCAATGTTTGTAAATAGAAGTCCTTGGCACTCCTGCAGCAGTTTACAATGGTCATTCACATGCGTAATGAATGCTTACAGCAGCCCAAGGATGCAGGTGTTATCCCCATTTCCCCCCATTTTTCAGACAAGCAGTGACCAAGATTTGCTCACTGCCAGAGCTGGGACTCCAGCCTAGAACTTCCCTACTCCCTACTTCCCTAGAAGTCCAGTGCTTTTTGCTACTACAGCTGCCAGAGATGTCATTTCATAGCTGGTTATGTATTGAAAGTTCTTAAAAGTGAGTTAAAAATGAAAATCTTATTGAAATCAAGTGCTTTTCACAAAATATGCTGTACTCAAAACACAAATGTATCACATTCCCAACTTGTGTTTTCATCTATGATGGAGAGATAAGGAAAGCCATGTGATTAATATGGGTAGAAGGGCTGAGGACCCTCTGATAATTGCCATTTGGTCTCTACCTTTTGCCTTGCTGTCAGCAATACCTTCCTCTCCTTTCTGCAATATCCCCTTCCAAATGCTCTCCCCACTGAGCACTCCCTGCAGTATTAAGTTTTCAGATAAAGAAGTAGCTCCTATCTGAGACAGAAAGCACTATTTGTTAGGTTCAGAACAGTGGCTTGGGAGGGGATTGACCAGAAGGTACTGTTTTTGATGGGTTTCTATTATTAGCTGAACAGTCTTCAGTTGTTTTCTCACCATAACATGAGAGATTTAATAAGGTTAGTAGGTTATTGGCTTATTTCCGGTCCTGCCACATTTTTTTCTTTCATTAAAAATGCTATCTTCTGTTGTGGAATGTCTGTCATCTTGAACTAATCAACAAAAATACTATGTTTTTCTGCCGTTAACTATGTGTTGGCAATTTGAGAGAAAATACTAGAATGTAGGTTTGAAAATGATACAAATTAGACTTCAAGGAATACTTAAGAAGATTTGTGGCAGGAAAGGCTTGTGAGTAATTTAGTTGTTAGGCTGGGTTAGGCATCTGTGGATTACATCAAAGAGGATGTGCAGAGATTTTATCGGGAGCAGTGAGGTGACTTTGGCAGCTAACAGGCCACTAGTATCCTACTAAAGCTTTTGTCTGGATAGGAGCAACATGCATGTTTACAGTCTTGCAGGTAAGAGACCTTGGCAAATAATCCTCAGTTACCAGAAGATGTATCCATAACTGCCTAGCTTGCCTGTCAGTTTTTAATAGCTAAAGATATAAATCTGGGTAATCTAACTCAAATGGCTTAGTTTCATTTTAACTCAAATGATATGGGGAATTTTATGATCTTGAAAGAGCAGGTTTTGCTTCGAGAAGCCATTTCTTCAGTATGGAATAATGAGTTGTCAGGAAGATTGAGTACAATGGGCATTTGCCCTGGTCCTAATCAACAGCATTTGGACCCAGAGGAAGCCAGCTATTTTTGTAAGGGCCATTTCTCATCATTAAGTTTCCAAGTGCTTTTTTAGGGTTTGTCTAGTAAAAAGCACTATTTTGAAAAACAAGCATAGTAAGGGTAGGGGGTTGTGGCATTTAATAGTACGTTTTAAAAAGCTAATGGAAATACTTTTAAAACAAGATTTAGGACAAATTCCTTAGGCATCAGTCACACTAATGCATCTTCTGAGTCAAGAACTGGCTATCCTTTCTGTGTACTCAGTCCGGAATTGCATGTGGTGGGTGCTTACTTATTTGCAGTCTCAATCAAGAATTCTCACTCTCAAGATAGCAGAAATAGATAAGCTTCAACTGACAAATTTGGTACAGAAGTCATGGAAAGGAAGGTAAGTCTTTTGCCAGGCATCATGCCAGGCATCAGCATCTTTCAGGACTAAGGAAACAAAAGAGGAAAACTCGATTTTACTACATGTTAACTCTACTGAATACCTCCTTGAATGTCAGATTCCTTATCTGTAAAACAAAGGTTTTGCATTTGATTATCTCTAAGATCCGCTTCTGCCCCCAGTTTTAAAGTTTGATAGGGAAAGAGGTTTAAGTCAGGATACCAGGCCAGGGAGGAAAGGAAGGGAGGGCACAGGCCTCTGGAGTTCAGCTGCCTCCCCCATTAGGATTGAAGTCCCAGCTGCTGGCTACTGCCTTGAGGGAGGTATCAGCCTTTTACTTCTGGATCTTGGCCTCTCCTTGTTCTACCCCTTCCCAACAACAACTGAACATACCAAGTGCTTGCTATGGCCCAAGCACTGTTGCAGGTGAAGCTGCAGCATGAACAAGATAAGCAACATCTCTGCTCCCCAGGCCCTCTGCAGACATGACACCTGCGGGAGACAGACACTGAGCAAGCCAGTGGATACAAGAACTGGGAAAATGAGAAGTGCTATGAGGGCAAGAAGTTGCAACTGTTTTCTTAGCTACCTGGAGGGAGGGAAAATCATTTTCTGGAAGTTTTTTTCTATGAGTTTTGTCTTAGCTTTGGCTGTCATAACAAAGTACCATAGACAGTGGCTTAAACAACAGAAATGTATTTTCTCATACAGTTCTGGAGGCTGGAAGTTGAAGATTGGGATGCCAGCATGGTTGGGTTCTTGCGAGGGTTCTCTTCCTGGCTTTCAGATGGCCGCGTTTTCACTGTGCCATCATCTGGCAGGGAGAGAGAGAACACATGAACTCTGATGGCTCTTACCCAGACGCTAATGACATCTTGAGGCCTCTACCTCATGACCTTAACCCAGTTACCTCCCAAAGGCCCCATCTTCAAATGCCATCAACAATGGGGATTAGGGCTTCAACATCTGAATTGGGGGTGGGGACACAACATTCAGTCCACCATAAATTTGTCATAGGAACCTGAAGATGAGGAGCCAAGCACAGTTTTTAGAATTTGCATAAGTTGTAGATTACTGTAATTATTGTTTTTGCCTCTATGGCTGAGAAACTTTGGGTCAAAACGAGCCTTTTAGAATGTATGAATTAGTTATCTAGGTAGCCCTGAAGTTGGCTCTAGATTTATTAGAAGCTATTTTAACCATTGCATTCACTCAAGAAACCACCGCCTATCTGTGAAGCACAGTCTATCTGTAAAGCTCCCTCACAATAAATTCATCTCAGAAATATGTAGTCTCTAGTGTGTGCCCCCAACTGCTGAATGGGTAGGCCTAGCTCAGCACAGTCATTCGGGCATTAAATATGGCAGAAATGTGGTCCACCTCATGACGTGCAAACAACAGTTGGCTTGTTTAATCTGCACTGCTTTGCCAAGGACGTGTGATTTGTGAGGTGCTGGAGGGGAACCAATTTTAAGAGTCAGCCTGAGTGTCAGCCTCATCTGTCTGCTCTGACTTTTGTCTGCTCTCTAGCAGGCACTCCATCTCCCTTTTCAATTTTCTACCCTGGAAGTGCTCCCCTCCAGGGAGGAAGATGAGTCAGATATGCAGCTGTGATGCTAAATGATTCAATAGAGTCAAAAACAACACAGAACACAGGAAAACGCATTGTTTAATCTGACTCAATTACAAGTGGGCAAGGTAGGTGATGGAGGGCAAGTCAAAAGCATAACGATGTCAAGCTTTGGTAGAACCTAGCAAACCGGAAGACTTCAGGGTGTTTGGAAAGGAATGTGTAGGGGAAAGTTGTCTAAAATGCTGTAACAGCTTTCTGTGTTGCTCTTCTCACTGCCTTAGAATTTAGAGTCAAAATAATAATGATCTTTTCTTCTTTTAGATAGCCTTCCTGGCTTCAACCCACAATCAGTCTAGATTCTAGACAGTGGTTCTCAACCCTATCAGAGTCAATACTCCAGTCTTTAACAACTAATTTGAAGTGTTCCTTTTATAACAAAAACCTTAATGTATTCTTTATTGTCCTACTATAACAATGTTGTTGGTCCCTACCCCCACCGCATACCCCTTGGTTGTTACCATTTTGGTGCACTCTGAGCCCACTCCAGCTGCTAGCCCCTCCACTTCCTATCCGAAGGTATACATGTTGCATGCTGGAAGAGTCAGAAATAATGCTCTCTGGGAAGAGCTCTTAACCTGTTGGCTCTAACAGGGGCCAAGAGAGTGAGGGTATTTATATACCAAGGTTGCCATTGGTGTATAAAAACCCTCATGTTGCCATTGGTGTGTAAATACTCTCACTCCCTTGGCCCCTGTTCCCCCGTGGGATTAAGCTCTAGTTGCCTACAGTGGTTACTTCTTGATGACAACCTATTACTGGCTTTTTCACCTTCCCTGCCTCAATACCCTACTCCCCATTGTATATTAAACCAGTGCAAAAGTGTCTTGTGTTTATATGTAAAGAAAAGTTGGCGTCTGGATTCAGATAACTACAGGTTTTATTGTTTTTCAGTGACATGATAGTTCAGTGGGACATTTGAAAGCTATACAGGGCATGAGGCGATTCTTCACTGTGTAGGGCAACTTGTGGAAAACTTTGCTTAAAGAGCAGTAGGCATATTTTCTTTGCCCGTGTTTTCTTAATCCCTTCCTCCCCTACCCTGTTGGCCGAAATGTAGGCGTGATGACTGGAGCTGCAGCTGCCATCTTGGAGCAGGTAGACAGAACCATGCTACACCCTAGGGTGACAGAGCAGTAGCCGGAAGGAACCTATTCCCTGAGGACTTCGTGGAGCAAGGCTGCCCTATTAGCCCTGGATTCTCTCTGTCTCTGAACTTTCACACGAACAAGATATAAACTACTCTGCTAAGCCAAAATTATTCTGGGTTTCTACTTCTTGAAACTAAATCTACCTAAAGCAATACCAAAAATAAACATTAAAATAAGCATTTCAAACTAGTTTTCAAAGACTGGTATTAAATCTGATAGGGTTAAGAAAACTGTCTAGGCCAGGTGCGATGGCTCACACCTATTATCCCAGTGCTTAGAGAAGCCAAGGTGGGAAGATTGCCCAGAAGTTGGAGACCAGCCTGGGCAACATAGTGAGACCCCATCTCTACAAGAAGTTAAAAATTAGCCGAGTGTGGTGGCACATGCCTATGGTCCCAGATACTCAAGAGGCTGAGGTAGCAGGATGATTTGAACCTAAGAGGTCGAGGGTGCATGATCATGAGCCATGATCATGCCACCACACTTCAGCCTAAGCAACAGAGTGAGACCCTGTCTCAAAAAAAAAAAAAAAAAAAAAAAAAGGGAAAAAGAAAACTGTCCAGACTCTATACAAATTGTAGGATTGAGCCAGGAAAGCACTCTAGAAACAAAACAAAACAACAGATCGTTACAGTGTTGTCTCTAAATTCCAAGAGTGTGCCTCAGTAATAACCCATAATTCTTGCAACTGTGACCAGACCAGCTAGTTCTTCTATGAAGAACTATAAGGTGCAATGAGAGGAAATGGGGCACCTGAGTGGAGCTGGTCCACGCAAGACTTTTCTGAGCTCTAATGATGGGTAAAGTCAACTGGGTAAAGAGGTGGAAGATAAATAAATATAGTATTTGTCATTTACTTCTAAAAAGTGGGTAGGTGTGGTTTCTAGGAAATCAATTCTTCTGAAAGGCTAAAAAATGTGTTTAAAACATGGAGTTAGGGGGAGCATTTTATGCAATAGTCGTTTTCTCTTTCACGCCACTGGTGATGGTTAAGAGTAGGCACCACAGGGGAAGACTGTGTTTCATTTGATGTGTATCCCAGTGTGTAGCACAGGGCCTGGCTTGCTGAGGAAATGCTATTGAAAATATATTCCAGTGTGCTGAGAGCTGGTGGCCAGTGGGACTGAGTGAGCTGTGTGCCGTGTATTGACCCGCTTCCTAGTCCTGAATTCCTTTCAGAAGCTCCGGCAGGGAGGATGATACAGTCAGACAAAGGAGCAGATCCACCAGACAAGAAGGACATGAAGCTTTCTACAGCCACCAATCCACAGAATGGTATGTGTCACCAGGACTCCTTTTCTAGACCAGAAAGTAATATCACCTCTGACATGTGATCAAATGAATAGGCAGAAATCCTGACAGACTTACTGTGATCCCTATGAGGATCTTGTACATTTTTGGTTGCACTACTGCCCTACCAGTGATAACTTTAAGAACAAATTTCAAGCCAGGAAGGAAATAAATGGACATGATGGATTCAAAACCTTTTTTTCCCTTACCTGACAATGTTTTATGTAAAACTTAGAACTTCTTAAGTTGTTCACATTCAGAATATCACTACAACACTGTGAAAATACTGTCAAAAAATAGAATATTCACTAAAATCTGTTTAGAGACCCTTTAATCAGGAGAATACTGAGCTTTGCATTAAATCTATTGGGAGTTAGAATTTTTCAATATCACTCTCAATAAGAATTTTTTGAGAGGATGAAATGACTCTTATGTTTGAGTTAGAGAAAGAGGATACAGAACACAAGTAGATAATTTTGGGATAAACGACAGGCTGGTAAGATGGGGGAGGGGAAAGCAATCATTTTCCTTTCATGACATCTTACATCTGCACATCACGATCTATTATTTTACTCAGTGTTAAGAACAACACTATGACAAAGCTAGCACCTTCTCATCTTGGGCAAAGAAACTGGGTTTCGGATAGCTATGTGACTTTGTGACGTTCACAAAGTAAGAGGTGGAACAGGGCTTGAAGTCAGATCTTTTGGCCTGAGATCCAGTGTCATTTCCACTCCTGGTGAGACCCCATGGCATGCCCCAGCTATCTGAGTTGCCTTTCACATTTACACCCGCACCTGCCACCCCATCTCTGCTCTCTTCCTTTCCTAGGCCTCTCCCAGATCCTGAGGCTTGTGCTGCAAGAGCTGAGTCTGTTCTACGGCAGAGATGTGAATGGAGTGTGTCTCTTGTACGATCTCCTCCACTCGCCGTGGCTTCAGGCTCTGCTAAAGGTGAGTGCTTCTTTGCTCGGAAGCCTTTGCTTGCTGAAGGGGTTGTGGGGAGTGTGTAGAAAATGACAGCTTCAGTCCATTCAGGCTGGATAGTGGAATAGTTTATAAACAACAGAAATTGATATCTCACAGTTCTGTAGGCCAGGAAGTCCAAAATCCAGTCGGCAGCAGATTCAGTGTCTTTTGAGGGCTCCCTCTCTGGTTCCTAAATGGTAACTTCTTGCTATGTCCTCACATAATGGAAGGGGCTAGCCAGCTCTCTTGGGGTCTCTTGTATAAGGGCATTAATTCCATATTCATGAGGGCAGAGCCCTGATGACCTATCGGCTCCCAAAGACCTTACCTATTTTTTTTTTTTTTTTTTGAGACAGAGTCTCACTCTGTTGCCCAGGCTGGAATGCGCTGGCCTGATCTCAACTCACTGCAACCTCCGCCTCCCAGCTTCAAGCGATTCTCCTGCCTCAGCCTCCTGAGTAGCTGGGATTACAGGCACCCACCACCACACTTGGCTCATTTTTGTAGTTTTAATAGAGATGGGGTTTCACCATGTTGGCCAGGCTGGTCTCAAACTCCTGACCTCAGGTGATCCGTCCGGCTCAGCTTCCCAAAGTGCTGGGATTACAGGCATGAGCCACCACACCCAGCTAGCCTTACCTTTTAATATCATCACATATGCATTTTGGAAGTACACATTCAGATCATAGCAACTACTTACCCAATGGTGTCATTTATCAACTGGTAGGAAATTTCAACTTGGAAAAAGTTCTTAGAAGGCAACTCTCAGAGAAGAGCTACACAAACTTCTTCGCTTAGGAAGGAATTAACTTAGGTGGAGGAGAATATGGTAGTCCCTTCCTTTTCTCCCCACAGCTCTTTTTCTTCCAGAGGCCCCCTGGAATCACAAAACAGCCACCACGATGGTCATTGGCAACACTTTATCAGCTGGCTACAACCGTTTGTCCTTGCAGCAACCCTGGATAAATAAAAGTGCTTTAAAAAGTTATTCCTATTTGTTTGTTAAAGTTAGAAAGTAAAATATCTACAGTTCTGTTTAGGTACCCTGAAGTTTCTTATTCTAAAGTTTCTTCTGGCCCAGTGTGATGGTTCATGCCTGTAATCCCAACATTTTGGGAGGCCGAGGCTGGTGGATCACCTGAGGTCAGGAGGTTGAGACCAGCCTGGCCAACATGGCAAAACCCTGTCTCTACTAAAAATACAAAAAATTAGCCATATGCAGTGGCACGCACCTGTAATCTCAGCTACTCTGGAGGCTGAGGCACGAGAATTGCTTAAACCTGGGAGGCAGAGGTTGTAGTGAGCCAAGATTGAGCCACTGCACTCCAGCCTGTGTGACAGAGAGAGACTCCATCTCAAAATAAATAAATAAAATAGAATAAATAAAGTTTATTCTTTTTTAATTTGGCTAAAATTCCATGCACTATACAATAGCGTCTAATAGATAGTAGAAAAATAGCATCTACTATCTAGTAGATGCCACTACTATAATTTTGTTGTTCTGAACAAGTGTTATTATTAAGAGAGATCCTTTTGAAGTTATTTTTTGGGATGTGGGTATTTCCTTCACTTAAGTGTGAAATGTGGTCTGTCTTATAGTGCATGTTAATATTATACAATAAAAGTGGCAACATCTTTGGCATGAATGAAGTACTCCTCATAGCACCTGTTATAAAACACCTGATTTCTATCAGGCATTTTCCCACAGGATCAGCTAAGATAGGAGTTTTAATTTCATGATGGGCATTGCCTTTGCTCACCACTGCTAGGCCCTTGGTGAGTTATCCAATCAGCCTTCATCACTTCCAGGTAAACCTGAATGCGGGCCCTGGGATAGAGCAGGGAAGCAGCATCATCACTAATCTGGATAGAAAAGACTGGGGGCTCAGCCGGCCCCTTGGGCCTTATTTCTTCGTCTGTAAGAGAAACTCAATTCCTAAAATAAGATCAAGGGGTGCATTGCAGAGCTAGGCAGGCTTTGGTGTCCTCAGCCCAAACCTAGATCTTGGTATGGAAAAAAATTCCCAAGGGTATGTGGAGATGAAGTTGGAATTTTAAAAAATGAACTTGTACTAGAGAATTAGGAGAGGAATGGGAAACAGCCCCAAAGCACAAAGCAGAGTACAGAGAAGCGTTTGTGGCATGCCCACCACTTATTCAGAACCTTCAGTGGCCCTGAGCCACACAGCTCACATGCTGCACAGGCGCCCAACACAGGGGTCCTCACAGGTGTCTGGTCCTAAAGGGCCCCTCCTTTAAGACGCTCCTTTATGCATCATCTACAAATCCCCATTGGTTTCAGTCCCAGACACCCTACCCTCACTCTGTTTAACAAGATTAAAAGTTTGAATTTCTTTTTATTACTGAAATGCTTGGAGAAGATCAATTTCCCAATGGCAGCCAATAATTAAGCTTTTGAAGCATCGGGGCCACCAAACTCAAGTTCATTTCTCTTTGGCAACTAGAGACACAACTTACTAAACACCAACCACACCGTGCTGTGCAGCCATTGGTGCAGTTGCCTGGGGTGTTTCTTCTCTTTGAGAGTCTTAAATCCAAAATGGCAATAGTCATATTATCAATATCAATTCTCCCTCCCTTGTCCTTCTGCAGATTTATGACTGCCTCCAGGAATTTAAAGAAAAGAAACTAGTTCCTGCCACACCACATGCACAGGTGTTATCCTATGAGGTAAGGAGATTTTATTCCACAGGATAGTAGAGCTCTGATGTGGTGCCATTTTCCCCACATTGCTAGTTCAAATGAATTAAAGGTTCTAAGGAAAAGTTTTATTGATGACTATGCATCTAATAAATGTTTCTAATTGAACTTTAATATAAGGAAGAACATTGGCTGGGTATCTCCCCAAATTAAAACACTCCCCACCACCACCCACGTCATTTTTAGCGTGTGTTCATTTCTTTCTTTTTTCCTAAGTCTCGTACTCCATTTGCCCTTCATAAACAGGGTAATGTTATAGTAATAATTCTCGGATTTATATCTCTAGCCTGGAGATTTCCCTAAATTCCAGTCTCAAATATCCAACCGCCTCCTCTCCATCTCACTTGGATGTCTAACGGACTCCTCCAAGTTCACATGTTCCAAACTGAGCTCCCGATCTTCCCCACCTGCCGATCACCCCCACCCACTCTTCTGGAAGCCTTTTCTATCTCAGAAACGATACCTGTGTTCTTGCAGTGCTCAGGCCAGAATCTTAGGGGTCATTTCGACTCTCTTTTTCTGATACCTCACACCCAATCAGATAGCAAATCCTCTCAGCTCTACTTTCAAAATATATCCAGGATCTCACCAAAATATATCCAGGATCTCACCACCCCATACCATCATCATCATCTCTTACATAGATAGTTGCAAAATTGCCTCCTATCTGGTCTCCTGTGTCCACTCTTGCTCCTCTACAGTCTACTCTCAACACGGCAACCAAAAATACCCTCTTTGAAAGCAAGTCAAATCATGTCACTTCCTCACTAACACTCAAACCCTTCAAATGACTTCCCATCTCAGAGTAAACACCAAAGCTCTTTTTTTGTTTTGCTTTTTTGTTTTTGATACAGAGTCCTGGTCTTTCACCCAGACTACAGTGCAGTGGCATGATCTCTGCTCACTGCAACCTCTGCCTCCTGGGTTCAAGCAATTCTCGTGCCTCAGCCTCCTGAGTTGCTAGGACAACAGGAACCCACTACACCTGGCTAATTTCTGTATTTTGGGTAGAGACGGGGTTTCACCATTTTGGCCAGGCTGGTCTCAAACTCCTGACACTAAGCTATCTGCCCACCTTGGCCTCCCAAAGTGCTGGGATTACAGGTGTGAGCCACCACACCTGGCCTAAACACCAAAGTTCTTACATAGCTGAACACAATCAAGCTGCTGTTACCTCTTTGACTTCACACTCAATGCTTTCTCCATTCACTCTGTTCCAGCCACATTGACCCCTTGTTATTGTTTAAATTCATCAGGCTGGGTGCAGTAGCTCATGGCTATAATCCCAGCACTTTGGGAGCCTGAGGCAGGCTGATCACTTGAGCCCAGGAGTTCAAGACCAGCCTGGCCAACATAGCGAAACCCCATCTCCACTAAAAATACAACAACAACAAAAATTAGCTGGGCGTTGTGGTGCATGCCTGTAATCCCAGCTACTTGGGAGGCACGAAAATTGCTTGAACCCAGGAAGTAGAGGTTGCAGTGAGCCGAGATCACACCACTGCACTCCAACCTGGGTGACAGAGTGAGACTATCTCAAAAAACAAACAAACAAACCCAAAAAACAAATCATCAGGCATGCTTCTGCCTGGGGCCCTTTGCACTCGCCATTCCTTATGTCAGCAATGCTCTTGCCCAGATATATACCTGATCTGTCCCTCATCTCCTTCCAGTCTCCACTCAAATGCCACCTTCTCAGTGAGGCTTTTCCTGGTCACCTATCTAAAATTGTATTCCCTCCTAGCACTTCCTAGCCAGCTTCCCTGGTTTATTTTTCTTCTTAACACTTGTCACCATCAAACAAAACTATTTTACTTACACATTTCATTTGTTGTCTGTGTCTCCTCCCTAGAATGTAAACTCCATGAGAATGGAGATTTTTGTCAGCCACTGCTGTTTTTGCATCACCTAAAACAGTTCCTAGCACACAGTAGTGTTCAATAAATATTTGTCGAATGAATGAATAAATATAATCCATTTTATTATTTATTGCCCATCCCATATTAAAAGAAACAGCAAAAAAGAAAGAAAAAACTTCTGCTCTCAATTCCAGTAATCAACAATTCAAATTGTTCTCAGTTGTCCACAGGAAAAGCACATATATAATATTTTATTCAGTTGAAATCCCAGTGAATGGAGGTAAACCTTTGTAAACTGCTTGTTTTCATTTGACTGTAGGTAATGGGGCTGACTAAAGTCTTGAAAGGTCTTATGTCCTCTGAAAGCAGGTCTACGCCTAAACCACAGCAGAGAGAGCAGAATTTTTTTCCGCTTAGCACTTTTTATTGTAACAAGCATTAAAATTGCTAATCAACTGATACTCTAAAAGAGAAATTATGATTTCCATTTTCTATTTGAAGAATGGAGCATCCCATGGGATTAAGCTCTTTGAGTTCCCCAGGTACGTTCCTAGAGAAACTCATACAGCTTCATAAGCCTGCAAAGCATTGACATCAGCCAACAGCTATTATATTTTAGAGGCACTAGAGGAAAAGTGCCTTGGTTCATATGCTGTTACCAAATTGGTACATCCTCCATGCCTATGTGCCAGGATTGGGCATTGGGTTTAGATCCATCTCAACTCTTGAATTCTATTTGCTATATTAAAGTAGCAATTTTAATGAATAAAGAAGGATGGTAGGCTTTAATGGATGGCTTTATAGATGAAAAAGAAGGCTCCAGTAATAGCTTTTTAAAGGTCAATATCATGTTAGTATGTATGTTATCCAGCCTGGGTGAGGTTAAGTAGGTGATAAAGATTTTTTAAAATTTTTATAATGTATCCTTTTCCATGAACCAGGTAGTGGAGTTATTACGTGAAACCCCTACTTCCCCTGAGATCCAAGAGCTGAGACAAATGCTCCAGGCTCCACACTTCAAGGCAAGTGCCTGCTAAAATAGAAAAGATGTCCCCATCTGGCACATAGACAAAGTTGGGAAGGAGAAATATATGTGATGGAAAATGTTCTCTCTGAATAGATGTTCTATTACTGTACACGGTTACTGACCAACAGATTGTACTTAAATATGTGGGACTCAGATGTGACTAGCTCAGTGTTGTCAATCATGCAGTCAAGCCTGCTGTGTTTATGAGGAGGCATCCAGAACTTTCCATGGTGCTTTGTTTCCCCTACAAAGCTATTGCCCATCCAAAAATCTTGGGTAGCAAACAGGGAATGTTCTAGTTATAGAGGAATACCTCCATGCTTCCTTTCCAAAGTGGGACTATTTTGAGTTTTAGATAATGTGTGTGTATTTGGAATATACAGTATAATGATGATTATCCCTGTGAGAGGGTTTATGAAGAACATTTGATTGCAGAACAGAAACCTATCTCTTAGTACTTACAGATTTGAGACCAATTTATCAATAAATTAGAACTTTAAGACAATGTCTGTATTTGGAGTGCTGAAATTTATCAGTCAAAAGTTATAATTCACAACACAACCACCAGTCATCAAATATCCTCAACGGCACGCACTACTTAGAGAATTTTCTGAGTTCCAACTAAATTGTGTCTACCAATCTCAGTCAGGGTGGCAGAGTGACAGCTTCTCCAGCCCGTGAAATGAAGAATTTAACCTAGTGGACTAGTCAAAGAAACTCTTTGATCATACCCTATGATCATACCCTATGATCAAAGAGCTTGATCATATGAACTCCTCATTCTGTACCACATGAGCCCTTGAGTGTTACTAACAAATTAAACCAGCAAGATATTTTGATTGCTGCCCTTCGTTCTACCTTAATTGGGGAAAATATTATAAAAGTTGTTTTGTAGTTCAAACTCCACAGGGGCATCACAGATTACATGGGCTGCCAGGAAATAAGAATGTCGTGGCATAATACATTTTAGCAGAAATGAAAGAGTGTATTGTGCATTGCTTAACCTCTCTGTGCCTTATTTCCTTATCTGCAAATTGAGGACAATTAATGTACCTGCCTCATAGAATTATTGTGAAGATCGGATTAATTCATATAAAATGCTTCGCACTGTGTCTGGCATGTCTGTATTGGTGTTTGTTGTTGTTGCTGTGTCTTAGATAGTATTGAGTTACTATCTTCTAGAGGGGTTTGGCCCATGTGTGACATTTGCTCACCTTTTCCTTCCCTGTGCCCAGGCCTTGCTCAGTGCCCATGACACGATAGCTCAGAAAGATTTTGAACCCCTTCTCCCTCCACTGCCAGACAATATCCCTGAGAGTGAGGAAGCAATGAGGATTGTTTGTTTAGTGAAAAACCAACAGCCCCTGGTAAGGAAATCATTTTTTATCTTTCCATTTAGGGTAAGCTTAGGTTAATTGTGAACCAAATTATATCTAGTGGTTACTTGGGCAGTAGCCTTGCCTGCGATCACATATACAGTGATAATAACGGCTGTCAACTCTGCAAGTTTTGCCTGTGGTTTCAAACATATTACATGTCACGGTGTTTTCTCTAAGGAAAGATTTCAGCTTAGTGTTTTTCTTTTGTGAAAAGTAAGATGAGATTTATAAGACATTTTTGTGAGAAATAAGACATATGTTTTATTTTAATATTTGGCTTTCTGACCTATGCATGTATTTCCCTCAATTCCATTGCATTTGCCTATTTCCTTATATTAATGAGAAGCTAAGGAAGGCATTAATCTGATTTTCTAAGAACAGTCCCTCTAATTAGGTTTTAATTGTGGGAGGTTTCTGTATCTTTGGATGAATCTAAGTATTCTTTTATGTCTGTGTGGTTGAAATGAGACTCCAGGAAGCCAAAGCCGAATGGCCTTTCCTTTTTGATGGCATGCTATGACTGACAGGCCACAGGGCACTGTGTGGCCCCTCCGTCCCTGGTTGCCTGAATAGCCTTGTTTGAAAAACCAGAGCTGCATTGATTGAAAGACCAGAGCTGCATTGATTGAAAGACCAGAGCTGCATTGATTGAAAGACCAGAGCTGCATTGATTGAAAGACCAGAGCTGCATTGATTGAGGGAAGCCACCTGGAAAATGGTCATGTCAGGTAACAGAGGGATCTCGTCTATTCTCTCTTCAGGGAGCCACCATCAAGCGCCACGAGATGACAGGGGACATCTTGGTGGCCAGGATCATCCACGGTGGGCTGGCGGAGAGAAGTGGTAAGCTGGAGCAGCTGGGATTGAGAGTTACCAGAAAAACAGGAAACCCTTGACTGTTTAGGCTTCTTTCTAGAGAAATCCCTTTTTTTTCTTTTTTTTTTTCTTTTTTTTTTTTTGAGATGGAGTCTTGCTCTGTCGCCCAGGCTGGAGTGCAGTGGCGTGATCTCGGCTCACTGCAAGCTCCACCTCTGGGGTTTGCCATTCTCCTGCCTCAGCCTCCCAAGTAGCTGGGATTACAGGCGCCCGCCACCACGCCCGGCTAATTTTTTGTATTTTTAGTAGAGACGGGGTTTCACCGTGTTAGCCAGGATGGTCTCAATCTCCCGACCTCGTGATCCGCCCACCTCAGCCTCCCAAAGTGCTGGGACTATAGGCGTGAGCCACACACCCGTCCTGAGAAATCCCTCTTTCTTAACTTGGGTCAGGGCTTTAGTAAGTTCCATTTCTTGGATAAAGCAGTAAAGAAAGAAGAAACAAATATTCCAGAGAAATCTTACTCCTCTCCTTCACTGAGTCCTTCCCATTCTAGGTACCACATTAAAGTCTCTCAGTTTACATTCTCATGGCAACCTCAAAGGTAACTATTATCATGCCATTGTATAGATGAGGAAACTGAGGCTCAAAGAGATTATGAAACTAACTTGCTCAGAGTTACACCGTTTGAGTCAGGATTCAAGCTGCTTAGCTCTATATTCCCAACTTTTTCTCTGCACTTTGTCCTTCTACTTTCAGAAAGGCATAGCTCTTTCCCATCTTGAAATGCCTTTTGCTCACACTTTCAACCAGTTAACCAGATTTTCATCCTTTCACTGCTGTTCTTCTAAAAACTTTTTTTTTTTTTTTTTGAGACAGGGTCTTAATCTGTTGCTCAGGCTGGAGTGCAGGGGTATGATCATGACTCACTGTAGCCTCAACTTCCTGGGCTCAAGCAATCCTTCCACCTCAGCCCCCGAGTAGCTGGGTCCACTGGTGCACACTACCATGCCCAGCCAATTTTTCTATTTTATGTTTAGATAGGGTCTCACTATGTTGCCCAGGCTGGTGTCAACCTCCTGGGCTCAAGCAATCCTCCTGCCTTGGCCTCCCAGACTGTTGGGATTACAGGTATGAGCCACCACACCTGGCTACTGTTGTGCTTCTGAAATGAGTGGTTCTATACCTGTTATACATCTTCACTACCCCGAAGCCCTAAAACCTAGCACATGCTTTATACTTCAACATTCTCATTGTAAATACCAAGAATTTCCTAGTTGCTAAGTCCATTGGCCCTTCCTTCCTCCTCAGTTTTCTTTTCTTTTCTTTTTTTTTTTTTGAGACAGAGTCTCACTCTGTCACCTAGGCTGGAGTGCAGTAGGGCAATCACAGCTCATTGCAACCTCTGCCTCCCGAGTTCAAGCAATTCTCCTGCCTCAGCCTCCAAAGCAGCTGGGATTACAGGCATGTACCTCCACCCCCAGCTAATTTTTTTTGTATTTTTAGTACAGACAGAGTGTCATCAAGTTGGCAAGGCTGGTCTTGAACTTCTGGCCTCAAGTGGTCCACCTACCTTGGCCTCCCAAAGTGCTAGGATTATAGGCATTAGCCGCCATGCCTGGCCCTCCTCAGTTTTATTTTCACTTCTTGACCACATCTGATGCTGTTGACACCTTTCTTGAATTTTTTATCATGCTTCGTTTCTGTTCTATAACACCATTCCACTTCTTCTCTCAACTATCTGACAACTCCACTGTTTTACCTCACATTTCTCAAGTCTTCACTTAAACCCCAAGTTTCTCCACATTTTCTCTTTTGAATAATACCTACCCCATTTCCTTTTTGTTGTTGACTTATGACCCTGACATCTTTGGATTTAGTGCTATTTTCTTACCAGCGTTCTGGTTCCATTTTACAACATCAGACTAGCAAAAATAAAAATATGACCATAAGTCAATGCCAAGTATTTATGACGAGGTAGAAAAATGGACTGTTCACACATTTCTGGGGGTGATGTAAGTTGGAATAACCAGCTTTCTTTTCTATTATTATTTTATATTAAACATTTTTAGAGCATGCTTGGGTTAGTGAGTTAAATAGCTATCGAGGTAGCTACTGCTATTTTTATCCTACTTCTTTGTATCTTTCTTTGTTTTTTGTTACTGTCTGCCTAGGGTTGCTATATGCTGGAGACAAACTGGTAGAAGTGAATGGAGTTTCAGTTGAGGGACTGGACCCTGAACAAGTGATCCATATTCTGGTAAATCTTCTTTTTGCCTTTTTGTTAATGACTTGGAGAAATGCCAAGGCTGAACTGGGACCATCAAGCCCACGTGTGTGCACTGGGATGTACCGGGGACTCAAGTTCTCTTGGCAGCTTTCTCCCTCCAGGCTCCCAGACCTTGTCTGTCACCCATGTCACTTGCTGACCTCCCTCCTCTACCCCGAGAAGTTCTGGTCCTGGCTGGGAAACTTCCCGTCCCAAGCAGCTCCTTCCTCCTTCAGCCACGGGAAGACTGCCAGGGCCCCCAGCCCAGCTCCCTCATCACCTGGTTTGCTCCATTGGAAACTGAACCTGGGGTGGACAGAGTGAGACTTAGTAGGAGAGTCTGAACCCAAGCAAACCACTCCTTCCCCCACTAACACTTTTCTATGGCTGAAATGTTCAACATCTTCCTGGAGGGCAGCCTTTCTTATAGTGGATAGACCAGTGGTTCTCAAACTGGGTTCCTGCCAGGATTTCATAGCAGTGGCTTAGAGACTGAGGCGAGGAGTGGTGCTATGAGACAAGCACCTAAATCCTTTGTAAGCCACTGCTGCAAGATTCTGTGTGGTATAGAATGTGCTGCAAAGGAAGCTTGAAGTACTAGAAATCACAGATATGCATGGCTTCTACCCCCTGGTGCCAGCTGTGATGTTGCCGGGACAGTGGGATTTTGAAATTCCTGAGTACAAACGGGGTCTTAATCTCTAGATGTTTAATGCCCATCACAGTGTATGTAACAGGGGAATTCTTCCTTCCCCCGGTCTGAGAGCTCCCTATTTCCTCTATTAGTTTGGAAGGTTGTCAGTTCTCCCAGAAAACTTAGGAGCCCCTCTTCTTCCCCATCAGACTGGGGTATCTGGTGTAGAAACAGGCATTCAGGAAATGCTTACTGAGTAAGGGAATAAGGAGGGAAAGTCAGATGGAGATCCTGTCTCTCCCCAGGGCCTGTGTGAGGAAGACCTTGCTGGTGGGGTGTTTCTGTTTCAGTGTAGGGTGGGGGGGGGTCCCTGGAAGAGGCCACTTCAGTGTGGCTTTTAGCAGACCAGCGACCCCAGAACCACACAGCAGGGCAGATGCAGGGGTAAATTGCTTCCTGATTTCCATTTCTGGATGGTGACAGCTGCAGAGCCCTTGTGAAAGGCTCTTGGGGGATTTTACCATGAGACCTGGATACATTGCACTGTAACTCTGTCCACCGAGCCCCAGTAACCCTGCTAGCTCCATGATTGTCATCCTTTCTCCTCTCTTATTTTCCAGGCCATGTCTCGAGGCACAATCATGTTCAAGGTGGTTCCAGTCTCTGACCCTCCTGTGAATAGCCAGCAGATGGTAAGAATTTACTGAGCCTTCAATCTCACACACAGTAAATCCCCAAGTAACAGCAACTAAATATGATGCGTAATAATCCTATCCTTTGTACTGTGTTGGACCTGGATTCAAGACTGTGTTGGATATTTTTCAATACTGATGGCCCGAGAAGCAAAATAAGTAAATGAGTACAGTACAAGGAGATGGGATACTAAGAAGTCAAGAAGCAACATAAAAAATCATGAACATTTGAGCCTAAACTTCTCTAAGCTAAGAGATTCTGTTCCCAAAGATGCTTTTTATCATGGTACTTAGGCTCAGGAGGCGAGTTCTCCTTTTTGGTGAGGGTGGAGAGGAAAGATAGGAGTAGCAGGTGGAGGAGTGGGAGAAATGGTTTTAAGTCATGATGGCCCATGGGCAAGGGTTCTTCGGATGGCACCATTAGGCACCTTCTGATAGCGTCATTATGCACCTGCCATCAGGTGTACGTCCGTGCCATGACTGAGTACTGGCCCCAGGAGGATCCCGACATCCCCTGCATGGACGCTGGATTGCCTTTCCAGAAGGGGGACATCCTCCAGATTGTGGACCAGAATGATGCCCTCTGGTGGCAGGCCCGAAAAATCTCAGACCCTGCTACCTGCGCTGGGCTTGTCCCTTCTAACCACCTTCTGAAGAGGTAAGGAACGTCACCACTCCTGGACTCAGGGCTGAACCATCAGGAAACAAAATGTTTTTCTTGGGTTTCTGTTACCTCAAGATGAGATAAAGAGGGACAAGCAGATGAATGAACACACACACACTGGTTTATAAATCCAAATGTCAACTTATCGATAAACCCTAAGCATCTTAAATACCAAGGAGACGAGAATAATCATATCAGCTAGAAAACAGGGAAAAGTCTTGGGAAACTAAATTAAACTTAAAAAGTGCTATGGCCTGAATGTTTGTGTCCTCTCCAAAATTCATAT
This sequence comes from Homo sapiens, assembly GCF_000001405.40. Classification (NCBI taxonomy): domain Eukaryota; kingdom Metazoa; phylum Chordata; class Mammalia; order Primates; family Hominidae; genus Homo; species Homo sapiens. The sequence continues at coordinate 201,680,545 of NC_000002.12, read as the reverse complement.
GTTGAGACCTAATCCCCAATGCAATAGTATTAAGAGGCGGGGCCTTTAGCAGGTGGTTAGGTCATGAGCACTCTGCCCTCATGAATGGGATTAGTGCCCTTATAAAAGAGGCCTGAGGGAGCTTATTTTCCCCTTCCACCATGGGAGGACCCAGCTAAAAGGTGCCATTTATGAGTCACGGAGTGGCCCTCGCCAGACACTGCATCCACTGGCTCCTTGATCTTGGACTTCCCAGCTTCCAGAACTATGAGCAAATACATCTCTGTTGTTTGTAAGTGACCCAGTTTACGGTACTTTGTTATAGCAGCCTGCACAGACTAAGACAAAAAAGGATTCATCTTTCAAGGCTGAGTTGAGACCTCAATTTCAACCCACCACCCTCACCTTATGCTACTGAGTTTTGACAAGCTACCAAGGGAGGGCGTGCAAATAGAAAGAAGCAGCAGTCCCAGGCTCAGCCACTGTTAAGAGATCAAGAAGAAAAAATGGAACCAGTAAAAGATATTGAGAAGGAATGACCAACGAGGCAGAATGAAAATCAAGACTGTATGGGGTCCTCATCAGCTATATCACCTTCTGCTGGGAAGGCTGAGAATTGACCACTGGATTTAGCAGTATGACAGTCATTAGTGATCTTAATAAGAGCAATTTCAGTGGAGAAGTGGGGCCGAAATCCTCATTAGAGTGGGATTTGAAGAAATGGATGACAGTGAGCATAGGAAACTCTTTGAGACATTTTGGGAAAAAGCAGAGCAGAATGATGGAGAAATAGCCAGAGGGGAGAGTGGAGTGGTGTGAGCGAAATTTTTAGATGGCATAAGTAATGGGAGTCATCCACCAGAGGGAACATTTTGATGATAAGGGAGAAACAGAAGAGAATTGCTGTTGTTGATGTCTTTGAGCAGGCGGTAGGAGATATGCTTTAGTATTCAAGAAGAGAGCTTGGCCTGACCTAGGACCATAAACAGCTCATCCATAGAAATGGTACCACGAGGGAAGATGGAGTATGGGGCACAGCTGAGGGTGGAGCATATGGCAGGCACTTGTGGAAGTTCTCTCCTAACTGTTATTTTCTCAGTGAAATGAGAAATCATAAGCAGAGAGCAGGGTGGGGAAGGGGGCATTGGGAAGGAGAGAGTAGAAAGCTTGAAAAGTTTCCATGAGAGTTGGAGAGCAAACAGATTAGGTAAACATAGTGTGATCAGCATTAAAGGCCCTCTTAAGTTAAAGGTCATATATTTGAAGTGCTTCTGGGGTGCGGGTCCAGATTAGACAGAGGGTTGGATTTAACAGCAAATCAAGAGGGGGCCAAGGGACAGATTATAAGGATGGAGTGTGACATGTAAGCTGTTTAGGAGGGAGATGAGGAAATGAAGCAGGTGAGGATTGGTGAGAAGGAAGTAAGATCAATGGATTGCAGGTCTTTATGAGGTCAACGGTGTATTGGGGCTGGGAAGATGGGAAGTGTTAGTAGGAGAAAGGGATGCTGGAAGTTAAAATTAAGGAGAGATTGCTGTTGTCAGTACTGATGAGGTCTTGGGTATGACAATGGGAGGCAGTGGCTGAGGTTGAATGAGGGAAAGGTTATTGGAAAAGAGGAGATCAAGCACCCAATAGGCCAGGGTGCTGAAAGGGACATTTGTATGTGTGATAAAATCATTGAGAACTGTGACAGAACAGTGTTGAGACCTAGGAGTGAGCAGGAGTGAGCTGGCGATGGCTACCAGAAAAGTAGTGGGATGATGTTCAAAGCTGGGGGCTCCTAGGGAAGAGGAAGAATAATCTGGAAATGGCAGTGAGAAGCAAGGACACACCCCCCACCTCCAGGCCCAGTGGAAGGAAAGCTATACACAAGGATGTGCTGGAGCCATGTGACGCGAGCCATCTCTTCACACACCCACGTTCAGTGAAGACAGGATGGTAGCTTGAAATCAGCCACCGTGAGAGCATCAACACTGTAGAAATCAGCAGAGCCTCCGAGTCAGGGCTTCCATCCCCCAGAGCTATTTCACCAGCACCCCACTGGGCGTGGGAGAGGAAACATCCCCCTCTTGAAGGCTGCAGGAGAAGCAGACCACAGGGAGAGTTGGGCTGCAGTTAAAGCAAGAAGAAAGGGCTCAAAGAAGAGGCTGAGGTCTAAGAGAGTTTGCTGAAGATTTGCTGTGGGTTCCAGAGGGCGTGGGTGGGTGGAAGGGGTCTTATAGGGATTAAAGCACAGGGGATAAGGGGTGACCTGAGCTTGGGGGCTGAAGGACATGAACAGGGATAAAGGCCTAATGAGATTAGTCCTCATGGTTTCAGGTCAGAAAGTGGTGAGGAGGGTCTGGCAGGGGCCTTGCAAGGAGCACACAAAACCCAATTATGGGTTTCTTGGGGGGGCACACAAACAAAGAATGATAGGAAGTTCTCATGCTGCTTTTAGTCATTGCCACGTGAAAACCTAATATGAAAATAAGAAATTAAGCAATTTCATTTAGAAGCAATATGTCAATAGCAGAGTCTACACAAATGTCTTGTTGGGGACAGAATAATGGAAGGCACCTCGGACTCTCCTGAATCTCATTCAGAAAACCAGGAGGCACATTGGAGGACTGGAGGAGGGTGTTGAGACTAAATCCGCTGCCATATCTGGGCAAGAGGCCTGCCCCGAGCGCGGGCTGATGTGGCTTTTGAGAAGTCAGTATCTCTGAGCCTCAATAAATGAGGTCTTTGATATCTACAAACAATTTTTCTCTCTTCCTACCTCTCCAACTTTGCTATGAGTAAAAATGAGCTGGGTATTTTGTAAAATACGGATTCCCCGGCTCTGCCCTCCCCTCTCTGAGGATCTGATTCAATAGATATGGACTGAGCCAGGAATCTGCATCTTCACCAAGCGCCTCAGGTGCTCAGGGTAAGTGGTATGAAGAGCAGCATTGTGCTTAGGAATAGTGAATGAGCGCATAAAATATTTTTTAAACTCTTTATAAGAGTGACAGATTTGAATGCAAGTAGCTGGGGGGGTTTTGTTTTGGTTTTGCTTGTTTGTTTTTACTTTCAACAGGTAGAAAATTATATCTGATTTTAGAAAACTGTGAAAGAGTGAGGAGGAAGGCTTCTCCAAAAAGGGCATATTGGTGGAAAATAATACCCATCTAAAGGAGTTTGGAATGACTCTATTGCAAATTGGGGGAGTTAGATGTTGATGGTTTGTGCCAGAGTAGCAAATATTTTTGGCAAGTAGACGTGACTTTCCAGTGAGAGGCCCCATTCGCTGGAGTTTCCCCCAGAGGGAACATGTGAAGATGTACAGGATAGCATTTTGTAAGAATGAAAAACCAGGAGCTCCCAGAGGAGAAAGGCCAGGGTGAAGCCTAGAGAGGAAGCTGATAGAGAATGAGAGACACAGAGACAGAGATAGAGAGAGATCAGACTACCAGGTAATTAACCATGGAGTAACCAAGGAAAGGTACAGAAGGTTAAAAAACAGGAAACACAGATATTTACAGAGCTCATCACCTAACTAGGAATCAAGAATCTTGGCTCTGGCCTGCATGTGCTGTGAATTAAAGTACCTTAATTATGCAGAGAATATTTCTGGAAGAATGCACAAGAAACTGAGCAGAAGGAAGGGAAGAAGCCTTACTTTTTAAATGTTTTTATTTTTTGAGATGGAGTCTTGCTCTGTCACCAGGCTGGAGTGCAGTGGCATGATCTCAGCTCACTGCAGCCCTGGCCTCTTGGGTTCAAGCCATTTCCCTGCCTCAGCCTCCAGAGTAGCTGGGACTCCAGGTGCGCACCACCACGTCCAACTAATTTTTGTATTTTTAGTAGAGATGGGGTTTCACTGTGTTGGCCAAGCTGGTCTCGAACTCCTGACCTCAGGTGATCTGCCTGCCTCGGCCTCCCAAAGTGCTGGGATTACAGGCGTGAGCCACCACACCCAGCCTACTTTTTTATACTGTTAAGATTTTTACTCTGTGTATATGTTATCTCTTCAAATAATTAATGAATCTGAATGCCCTGCATGTCCATGCTAATTGAGTTTACAGTAAGGTCTCATGTATTATTTAGTCCTCACGATGCCAAATGCGCTGAGCCCCATTTCAAAAGTGGGGAACTAAGTTTCAGACATTAGGAGATTTGTCCAAGATCCTAAGGAGGGGAAGCATGCCTGGAACCCAGGTCTGTTGAATCCCAGTCCATCACTTTGTAGATTATAGCATAGATGCCTCCTGCTGCTAACTGTTCAACCTCCACCACATTGCTTGACTTCCCTGGATCAGTTTCCTCATTTCTAAAGTGAGGAAGGTGGACTAAATTGGCCCTTCTTCAACTCTCTTGTGAATTAGAATCACATGGAGAGTTTGATTTAAACATGTAGATGCCCTGGCCTTATCTCCAGGGAATTGGAGGCAGGAGCTCTGGGAGGCCCAGATTATTTGCATTTTAACAAACACCTCAGATGTATTCCAAAGTTTGAGAGATTAAATTAGAGCTTGTTGCCTTTAACATACATATGACTTACCTGGGCTCTTATTAAAATGGAGATTCTAATTTGGAAGGCTTGGGGTGGAGACTGAGATTCTGCAGTCCTCACAAGCTCCCAGGTAAAGGTGATGCTGCAGTTCTGGGAATACAAAGAACAGAGTGTCTTCGAAATCTTCTCTTGCTCCAAACTTCACAGTGTTGAATAAAGAAGGAAGAGCAACTTTGCTTAGAAAGTTGCTTTGAAGTAGGCAAGGCAAGGAAAACCTGCCCAAAGAAATTGCTGGGGGACTCAAGGGAAGAGGAACAAGTCAACAGAGGTTTCAGGTGCCAAGAAAAGGTGAAGCCTTGCCCTGGAGCCCAGGGGTGATGCTAGAGATCAAGAAAGGAGCAGAGTCATCTATAGAAACTGTAGAGAGCCTCTAATAGCCTGAGAGGGAAACCTGAACATGTCATGAGAATTCGAAGGAGACTGCAAAGACAGGCTAACATGCCTGAGAGGCAGCTTACCACGGGTCATTTACTGAAACTCCATGTGCAAACTTGTGATCATGTGCGAGATTGTCACTGTAAGTCTTTGTTGTTCTGAAAAGATCCCGTGAGGCAGAAGAAGACATGAGAGAGCCTATATGTTTGGAAAATTTATTTGACAATGTATTTGGAGAAGCAATCACCCTTTTCACTTGAGTGAAGGCAGCAGAATTCTAAGAAACATTCTGTTTGTCGTTGCTCTGGGTCTGTTTCATCTAGGTTAACAAAGAGTGGTTTTTGTTTGTTTTTTGTCGCATGGTTTTTTCCCCCCCATAGGAAGCAACGGGAATTCTGGTGGTCTCAGCCGTACCAGCCTCACACCTGCCTCAAGTCAACCCTATGTGAGTATTGCAACTGCCCGACAGGTTCTTCCTGTTTGCAATAAAGACCATGGCATTGCAGTAAATAAAGAGTCTAATTGATGTGAGGCTGGCCATGCCACATGGGAGATGGAGTTGTTATTTAAATCAATCTCCTTGAAGGGCCCTAGATTAGGGGTTTTTCAAAGGTAGTTTGGGGAGGGCGTGGGGGTGGTGGCTATTCAGTGGGCACTTGCTACTGATTGGTTGGATCAGAGACGAAATCATAGGGAGTTGAAGCTGTCCTCTTGTACTGAGTTGCTTCTGGGTGGAGCCACAGGAGCCATTGGTTGGTGGGTCCAGATGGAGCCACAGGTGTCAGACATGCAAAAAACCTAAAAAGATGTCACAAAAGGCCAATCTTAGGTTCTACAATAGTAATGTTATTTGCAGGAATTATTGGGGAAATTGCATATCTTATGACAGTCTACACCTTAGCAGAATTCAGGCTCCTCTCCTTCCACTAACTTGATGGTCTCTCATTAGCTTTATAAAGGCGGCTGAGTTTTAGGGGAAGGACTGTTATCATTTAAACTATAAATAAAATGTCTCTCAAAGCGAACCCTGGAATGAAGGCAGCTTGAAAGCTAAAAGCAAGAGGAGCTTGGGCTAGATCAGATCTCCCCCACTACCATAATTTTCTCACTGATGTAATTTTTACAAAGGCAATTTCAGTATGTGTCTACCTCAGACCCAGCATGTGCATCCTGGGAGAGCCTGCTTCCTCCCTCCAGGGCTGGCTTCCTGCCTAGGAGATCTCTAAATGTCCCCACTGCCCCCAAATAATCTCCCTGGCAGCCAGCCATCTGAAGTCCTACCGTTGACATTCCTTCTTTGGATTTAGAAGGGTTTTCAGTTTATGAAAATGCATATGTTCTTATCTTGGTGACACCTGAAGACATCCCTCCCCAAGTTGAGGCCTTCCAAGATCTCTGCAGCTCATATGTGCATTATACCTGACTGGCAAGCAAGGCTGCATAACTACACATATACCTTCATTTGGGTTCTATCAACTTAGAGGACTTAACCTTCACACTGTTCAGAAGCACTGATTAACAATTGTGTATGCCTTTGGTGAATAAATATGGGATGGAATTGTTACTTAATGAATGCAGTTTGATTGCTAGACAATATTATTCAAGCAGCTGGGGAGTGGTGAGTAAAGGCTCCATGGTGGCAAATGCTTGATTAAAGGTGCTGTGGCTTGGCAGAGGCCAGCTGAGCCTACTGAGCGAGGCCCTTCTGAAATGGCCCTCAGGTGGGCCCTGGAAAGGGGGTAAGGGAGGGAACTGGGCACCAGAAGGACGGAGGGGAGGCAAAGAGAGGAGACTGGAAGGACACAAAAAGTATCAACATCACAGATCTGCCCGGGGCAAGCCTCACCCACTTTATTATGTCTCCCTTCTCCAAGCCAAAAATTACTTTTCCTTTTATTTTCTTATTGAAAAGATGTGAGGACAACTATAAAGGCAGTTTTTGACAAAAGAAAACATGCCTTCTCAATGACAATATTTTCATATTAACTTCCAGTGGTGAACACATATTTTAGATGGTTATAGTAATAGCTGCAATACCACTTTTTATTTTTTTAAACTTAACATCTTTTTTTTTCTTTTTTAATTATACTGTAAGTTCTGGGATACATGTGCAGAACGTGCAGGTTTGTTACATAGGTATACATGTGCCATGGTGGTTTGCTGCACCTATTAACCCATTATCTACATTAGGTATTTGTCCTAATGCTATCCCTCCCCTTAGCCCCCACCGGCCAACAGGCCCCCAGTGTGTGATGTTCCCCTCCCTGTGTCGACGTGTTCTCATAGTTCAACTCCCATTTATGAGTGAGAAAATGCGGTGTTTGGTTTTCTGTTCCTGTCTTAGTTTGCTGGGAATGATGGTTTCCAGCTTCATCCATTCCCATTCAGTATGATTCTGGCTGTGCGTTTGTCATAAATAGCTCTTATTATTTTGAGATACGTTCCATCAGTACCTAGTTTATTGAGAGTTTTTAGCATGAGGGGGTGTTGAATTTTATCAAAGGCCTTTTCTGCATGTATTGAGGTAATCATGTGGTTTTTGTCATTGGTTCTGTTTATGTGATGGATTACATTTATTGATTTGCATATGTTGAACCAGCCTTGCATCCCAGGGATGAAGCCAACTTGATTGTGGTGGATAAGCTTTTTGCTGTGCTGCTGGATTTGGTTTGCCAGTATTTTATTGAGGATTTTCCCATCGATGTTCATCACGGATATTGGCCTGAAATTTTTTTTGTGTGTGTGTCTCTGCCAGGTTGATGGTATCAGGATGATGCTGGCCTCATAAAATGAGTGAGGGAGGAGTCCCTCTTTTTCCATTGTTTGGAATAGTTTCAGAAGGAATGGTACCAGCTCCATTTGGTCCTGGGCTTTTTTTTGGTTGGTAGGCTATTAATTACTGCCTCAATTTCAGAACTTGTTATTGGTCTATTCAGGGATTCAACTACTTCCTGGTTTAGTCATGGGAGGGTGCATGTGTCCAGGAATTTATCCATTTCTCTAGATTTTCTAGTTTATTTGCATAGAGGTGTTTATAGTATTCCTTGATGGTAGTTTGTATTTCTGTGGGATCAGTGGTGATGTTGTCCCCTTTATCATTTTTTATTGTGTCTATTTGATTCTTCTCTCTTTTCTTCTTTATTAATCTGGCTAGTGGTCTATCTATTTTCTTAATCTTTTCAAAAATCCAGCTCCTGAATTCATTGATTTTTTTGAAGGTTTTTTTGTGTCTCTGTCTCCTTCAGTTCTGCTCTGATCTTAGTTATTTCTTGTCTTCTGCTAGATTTTTGAATTTGTTTGCTCTTGCTTCTCTAGTTCTTTTAATTGTGATGTTAGGGTTTCGATTTTGGATCTTTCTTGCTTTCTCCTGTGGGCATTTAGTGCTCTAAATTTCCTTCTAAACACTGCTTTAGCTGTTTTCCAGAGATTCTGGTACATTGTGTCTTTGTTCTCATTGCTTTCAAATAACTTATTTATTTCTGCCTTAATTTCATTATTTACCCAGTAGTCATTCTGGAGCAGGTTGTTCTGTTTCCATGTAGTTGTACGGTTTTGAGTGAGTTTCTTAATCCTGAGTTCTAATTTGATTGCACTGTGGTCTGAGAGACTGTTATGATTTCCGTTCTTTTGCATTTGCTGAGGAATGTTTTACTTCCGGTTGGTGGTCAATTTTAGAATAAGTGTGATGTGGTGCTGAGAAGAATGTATATTCTGTTGATTTGGGGTATAGAGTTCTGTAGATGTCTATTAGGTCCACTTGGTCCAGAGCTGAGTTCAAGTCCTGAATATCCTTGTTAATTTTCTGTCTCGTTGATCTGTCTAATATTGACAGTGGGTTGTTAAAGGCTTCCCCTATTATTGTGTGGGAGTCTAAGTCTCTTTGTAGGTCTCTAAGAACTTGCTTTATGAATCTGGGTGCTTCTCTATTCGGTGCATATATATTTAGAATAGTTAGCTCTTCTTGTTGTGTTGATCCCTTTACCACTTTGCAATGCCCTTCTTTGTCTTTTTTGATCTTTGTTAGTTTAAAGTCTGTTTTATTAGAGACTAGGATTGGAACCCCTGCTTTTTTTTGCTTTCCATTTGCTTGGTAAATATTCCTCCATCCCTTTATTTTGAGGCTATGTGTGTCTTTGCATGTGAGATGGGTCTCCTGAATACAGCACACCGATGGGTCCTGACTCTTTATCCAATTTGCAGTCTGTGTCTTTTAATTGGGGTATTTAGCCCATTTACATTTAAGGTTAATATTGTTATGTGTGAATTTTATCCTGTCAAAGCTGGAGTGTCCCAGGTCAACTTCAGACTGCTGTGCTGGCAGCGAGAATTTCAAGCCAGTGGATCTTAGCTTGCTAGGCTCCGTGGGGGTGGGATCTGCTGAGCAAAACCACTTGGCTCCCTGGCTTCAGCCCCTTTTCCAGGGGAGCAAACGGTTCTGTCTTGCTGGTATTCCAGGCGCCACTGGGGTATGAAAAAAAACAAACAAACTCCTCCAGCTAGCTCAGTGTCTGCCCAAACGGCCGCCCAGTTTTGTGCTTGAAACCCACGGCCCTGGTGGTGTAGGCACCCAAGGGAATCTCCTGGTCTGTGGGTTGCGAAGAACATGGGAAAAGGGTAATATCTGGGCTGGAGTGCACCCTTCCTCACTGCAAAGTCCCTCACAGCTTTCCTTGGCTAGGGGAGGGAGTTCCCCGACCCCTTTCACTTCCCAGGTGAGGCAACACCCCACCCTGCTTTGGTTTACCCTTTGTGGGCTGCACCCACTATCTAGCCAGTCCCAGTGAGATGAGCTGGGTACCTTAGTTGGAAATGCAGAAATCACCTGCCTTCTGCATTGATCTTGCTGGGAGCTGCAGACCAGAGCTATTCCTATTCAGCCATCTTGCCAGCCACTTAACATCTTATCAGAAACATTTTTCATGACACAATCTTTGTAGTGATATTTTAGTTACTTCTTCCACGTTTTGAAAATTTTTTTTTTAAAACAAACTTTCATTTATCAAAGGCACATGAAAATGCTAATTACAGTTTCTAATCAGCATCTGATAATTACCTGTAGTATAACTTCTGGTTTTCATTTAATTTGCTTATGTGGCCTGTGTGATTTATATTAGACTTTCTAGAAGTCCATGCTGAAAATAGTTTTCAATATTCTATTATTATCCTCACAAATATCTAAGTCCACGAGCCTCAGGTTTGGAGCCACTGACTTAAAGGGTCCCCTCTCTTAGGGAATGTTTCCGGTAGACATGATTATTTTTTAAACTACTAGAAAGATCATTTATTTTCAACTATTATAGATGATCCTTCAATTAATATTATTTTGTATGTTTCTGCTCTGCTTAAGTCTTATCATACCCTCCTCCCCCCAAAAAAATTAGGGGCAGGCTACTGAGTCCAAAGATATAGGGCAATTTTATTAATGAAATGTTATTGATGTTAGTTTGCAGATGATTATTAAAATGTTATTTACTGAAGGTGCACTTATAGTTGTCTTCCCTCTTTCTTTCCCTTCCTCCCTCCCTCTCTCCATCTCTCTGTCTTCTTCCCTTCCTTTCATTGAAAATTTGGGTTCCTAAAATATGCTGAAGTAAGCATGTTAATTCAGAAATTCATAGAATGCTACCCTTGTAGAACTAGCTGGGATGGAAGAAGGCGGGATTTACCAGAAGCAAGTAGATTTCCATTTCCAACAAGGCTCACAAATGTATCAGTTTTATAAAGTATTCATTTATCATTTTCTTACTAAATCTTCCCTGAATTTCTAGAGAATAAACCCAGAATACTAATTACAATAATTTTTGCACATTACATTTCTTATTGTAAATTAATCTGAGAAAATATAGTACAGATACTGTGTTCTTTTTATCCCCCCTGCTTCAATCATTTGCTTGTACTCAGCAATTTCTATGGAAGAAGGTAAGAAATAGTATTTAGGAAAAAACTCTTATCTCCAAAGTCTTTTAGAAATTTCTTGTAGTTTAAAGAATTCACTTTAATTCAGTTCAGCTATTTATTAAGCTCTTCCTATATACCTAGTAGTGTGATAGTCATTATTAAGCTCTTCCTATATACCTAGTAGTGTGATAGTCATTGATTTATAAAAATATGTCATTCAAAGATATGCATGCAAAGTATAATTGTCCTAACACTGAGAGGAATAAAGAAAAGAGAAGCAACATTTATATGCAGCTCCAGAGTTTAACATAGCGTATGGCAAGAACTCAATAAAAGCTGTGAAACTGATGAGATGTTTTGTTTCAACTGCTTTATACATATTACCTAACAATAAAACTATAGTGAAAATTATTATTATTATTCCCATGTTATGGATGAAAAGATTGACACTGAGAGAAGGTAAGAACAGTTGTCAGCAGTTGAAAACAGTGTAATCTGGATTCAAGATTCCCTCTGTCTAAAAGGCCCTGCATTAGGGAACAAATGGGACCTTCAGTTACTATCCTTTCCCCTTCTCCATGCCCAACCATCTGGATGACTCATTATGATGGTGCTCTCTCTCTCTCTCTCTCACACACACACACACACACACACACACACACACAAAGCAAGATGCTTTCTGCTTCCAGAAAGAGGAAAAAAGAGGTGTCCCCTTAGCCACCAACCACAGTTCATCCTTGAATTTGGAAAGGGAAAACAGAGAACTGCAAGATGACTTTTGAAGGCTGATCTATGGGAACAAGGCTCCAATCTGTGTCCCCCCAAAACAAAAAAGGTGTATGACACAGGAGGGCAAGAGAAGAAGGTGAGGGAGAGAGGGGCAAGTCCAGGGTGCCTGCTTCTGGTTTGTCTACTCAGGGTCATGTTACAGGCTGCACTGTTAAGAGTTGTGAAGGGCAACCTGGGCATAGCCCTTGGTGGGAGGGAGGAGCTGGGAACTGTACGGTAGTGGTGGGTGATAAGGCCATGGTCTTAGCTTGAGCTTCCGTAACAAGATACCACAGACTAAGTGGCTTAAACAACAGATATTTATTTTCTCACAGTTCTGGAGGCTGGAAGTCTAAGATTAAGGTTCCAGCAGGGTTGGTTTCTGGTAAGGCCTCTTCCTGGCTTGCAGACAGCCACCTTCTTTGCTGTGTGCTTATGTGGTGTTGCCTCTGTGCATCCTTAGAGGGAGAGGGAGAGGGAGAGAGAAAGAAGAGAGAGAGAGAGAGAGGAAGAGAAGAGAAGAGAAGAGAAGAGAAAGAGAGAGAGATCGATTGATCTGATGTGTTTTTTCTTCTTATAAGGCCACCAGTTCTATCAAATTAAGGCCCCAGCAGTATGACCTCATTTAACCTTAATTACCTCCTTAAAGGCCCTCTCTCTAAATACAGCCATACTGAGGGCAAGGGCTTCAACATATGAATACTGGGGGGAACACAATTCAGTACATTATCCTAGCTGATAATGTGGAATCATTGATTTGGGGAGAACAAAATCAGTGGCCCTATCTTAGATCCCAGAGTCAAGCGTCAGAAAAGTCAGAGCTTCTCATGCTGTTACTAGATAATCATGCCTGGTTTTTTGTACCTTCCTCTGTAAAATAAAAATGAAAATTGTAGTCTTTGTTTGCCCTAAAGAAAAACAACTTTGTTATGTACTGGGAACTAATGAACTCACTGTTGTTATGGATGGCTAATAACAATCTAATTATTTAACTAGGAAATTAAATTAATCTAATTAATTAGGAAAATAATCTCTAAATGAATATAAGTAAACAAATGACAGTGCAGAAAATCTCAACCATGCCACTCGTTTATCTGTGTCCCTACCTGTATGAGACAGTGTTATTTCATAAAATTTTTCATATTTCACTTAAAAACATTAATGAGTGATGTGGTTTTTAAGGGGTGGCGATAACACCTTATAGTGTTATAAAGGTTACCTTATAGTGTAGCTTATTCTACAGACTATACTTTGGACTACACTTTTACAGACTATGTACTTTTGGAACATGTATAAGCTTCATTTATTAAATCCGTATTTGTTGAGCACCTGGGATGTGCTGGGCACTGCTAGAAACAAGATGTAAAGTGCTGAAAGAAAAAATTCAGAACCTTTATTCAAATCAACAATTTTGATATTTAAAAGAAAACTCAATTTAAGAAATAATTTATCATTTGCCCACTATGTGCAAAATACTGTACTAAGAGTCTGTAAAAACTAGTGAGGCAGTCCCTGTCTTCAAGAAGCTGTCTAGGAGAACAAAGAAGGCAAACCCCCGAATGGTTATAGATGTAGAATAGATGTGCAGTAGCAGACAGTTCAAGGTAGTAGGAAGAAAATGCTCTGCAAGGGGGTATTCATTCTGATCAGTGTTTGGGATGGACCTAGAAGCATGACAGGCACAGGGAACAGTGTAAGCAAAGGCTGTGATGTCCACTCTAATGGTAGCGTAAGATGCGTGAAGGAGAGAAGCAGATGACAACCTTCCAAGCTGGGTTTAGATCATGCTGTAGAGAGTTTTGAGAATTAGGATAAGTAGTTTTTAAAGTTATGTTCCTTTATTCTCTTATATATACTTCAGCTAAAGGTAAAGATAATTCACATTTATTGAGTACTTACCATATGCCTGAGCTTTTCGTGCATTTTCTCAATCCTAGCCTATATGGTAGGTACTGTTACTCTCCCCATTTTCACATGGAGAACAGAGGCTTAGAGGTCAACTAATTTGTGCAGCATTCAAAAGCCTATGGTTTTTAATTTTTAACCATTTTATGTTATATAGCCTCCCACATCATACATTTTCATTTAATATAGGAGAGCCCTTTTTATCTCTCCAAGTAAGCAATAGTTGTAAATTTATCATAAGGTGGACTGAGTTTTATTGACATACCTAATTTTATTTGTATTTTGTGAGTTTTATTGACATACATAGGGAATTTTTTTTATTTTTATTTATTTTTATTTATTTTTATTTTTATTTTTAGATGGAGTTTCGCTCTTGTTGCCCAGGCTGGAGTGCAATGGCACTATCTCGACTCACTGCAACCTCTGCCTCCCGGGTTCAAACGATTCTCCTGCCTCAGCCTCCCACGTAGCTGGGATTATATAGGCATGTGCTACCACACCCGACTAATTTTTGTTTTTTTTGGTAGAGACATGGTTTCACCATGTCGGTCAAGTTGGTCTCGAACTCTTGATCTCAGGTGATCCGCCCGCCTCGGCCTCCCAGAGTGCTGGGATCACAGGCATGAGCCACCATGCCTGGCCGGGAATTTTCTTTTTAATGCAGACACATTTTAAATTCTGTTTCTCCCTTTCTATACTCTTTTATAGAAGATGACATGAAGATTGATGAGAAATGTGTGGAAGCAGGTAACATTTTCTCTTGATTGCTTTGCTGTTAGAAGAAATATGAAGCATGTCAATTATAGATTATCTGAAGCAGAGGTGTCCAAAGGGGCCATGGGCCTTTCCTCTAGAAATGTGTAAAATGACCCTCCACCCCCATCTATCTTCTGTAGTTCTGGCACTTGGAAGGAGAAGCTGTGGTAATGTCTCCAGGTTCCCACTGATCTACTAGAAAATGTTCTAGAAAGCAGTGCTTTGTAAATGATCTCAAGAACACTTAGTAACTCTCAGCATATCCGATGGTAGAACACTTGGAAACCTCTGCTCTTTGTGAAATACCATAAAATATTGCAGTATCAAATTTTTAAAGAGCAATATATATATTTTATTATTAAGTTTGATGCCATCTTCTGGTGGATTCTAGTATAGATAAATAGTAGTAGGTTCCAAAATGATGAGACATGCATGAAAGTTTTTTACATTTCTACTCTTTAATTTTTTTGTAAATTGGGAAAAGATTTTTCAAATTTAGTGGCAGAACTAAGATTGGCTTAAGAATCACTAGGATTTTGTTAGGAGACCAGTTGGAGAACCTTAGTCTGACAGGTGAATCTGTCTTTGCTTTACAGGCTAGTCTAGTTTTTAGAAGTGAGAGAACAATGTAAAATTTTAAAACAGTGGGCATTTCAATGATTCACATATATTTTCCAGAGCAACAGCAGAATACTGCTGACATTATGTTTATTTTACCAAGTATACATTTTTTTAAACTTGCAGTAATATTCATTTCTTTTCTACAATTTCCATTATATTTTTATTAGGTAACAATTCACATAGTTCAAAATTTAATAACTACAAAGGTATATTCAGTAAGAAGTTCCTCTCTTTCCATGTTCTCCTACTCATTTTTCTTTCTTGGGGCAATAAATTTTAATAGTTTCTTCAGTATCACCCCAGACATATTCTGTGCACATAAAAGCAATGATGTGGCCGGGCGTGGTGGCTCATGCCTGTAATCCCAGCACTTTGGGAGGCCGAGGTGGGCGGATCACGAGGTCAGCAGATGCAGACCATCCTGCCTAACACAGTGAAACCCTGCCTCTACTAAAAAAATAGAAAAAAAAATTAGCCAGGCGTGGTGGCGGGCGCCTGTAATCCCAGCTACTCAGGAGGCTGAGGCAGGAGAATGGCGTGAACCCGGGAGGCAGAGCTTGCAGTGAGCCGAGATTGCGCCACTGCACTCCAGCCTGGGCGACAGAGCGAGACTCCGTCTCAAAAAAAAAAAAAAAAAAAAGCAATGATGTATGTATTTCTCCTTCCCCCTTCATCACCCCCATCTTTTTTTCCAAATCCAAATGCACATACTCTTTGATAGCAAGATATGCACACTGTTCTGTTCCTGGCTTTTCCAACTTAACATTCTGTATCTTGGAGGTGACTCTATCTTAGCACATAAAGAGCCTTGTTTTATTTTTTTAACAGCTTATTGGTTATTGTATACTTATACAATCATTTATTTGTAGGCATTGTGTTATGTCCATTTGTTTCTATTATAAACAGTGCTACAATGAATTGCCTTATAACTATATCATTTTACATGCATGAGAATACCTTAGATGCAGCATTGCCTGATCCAAGGACGCATGCATTGGTAATGTTGCCATGTATTTCAAATTACCCTCCATGTATGTTTCTTAATCCTTAATCTCTCTTTAAAATGCTAACAAGAGTTGTTTTAACTAATGCGGAAGTTGGTTTATCTCACATCCTTCTCAGCCACCTGATCAAGCCTACGTAATCAAGTCATTCATATGCTCACTCTCCTCGTCATCACCCCCGTTTGTGGGTCCGCAACTCTTCAGGCAGGGTGCACCCCTCCTACATCGGCAAGCCCTCTGCAGCAAAGCCGAGCAGTATCCAACAGTCTCTAGGGATTTCCCTGACATTCCACTTTCCCCTTCCCTCTGAGCTGCTTTTTACATTTTATTTTATTCACCTTCTATTATTTTATTTATTTTGAGCTCCTGCTGCACCCCTGACTGTCATCATGGCTCAACTGCCGAATACCATGTGTTTCATGTAAAGCTGATATATGCCATAGAGACACCATCGATTCGACCTTGATTTAGGAAAAAAACTTTACAAAGGTGGTGTATGGGCAGAAGTAGGGGCCAGAGAATTAGACTTAAAATATAGACTCAGTGTAGATGGTCATGTAATAACATTTTTGATTTTTGCCTCCATGAAAAATCATAGATGAAGAAACATTTGAATCTGGTAAGTAAAAAATGAGTATTTGGTACTGATTTTTAAATGTATATTCTAAATTTTGATGCAATTTATACACATATTTATAATAACTGTTTAAATATATCAACATTAAAAAATTAAAAAGTAACTGCGTGTATCCCACATCATGTTGTCAACCTCAAATATACATTATAAAATTTATTTTTAATTTTAATTTTTAATTTTTTTGAGACAAGGTCTCTCTGTCACTCAGGCTGGAGTGCAGTGGTGTGATCATGGCTCATTGCAGCCTCGAATTCCTGAGCTCAAGTGATCCTCCCACCTCAGCCTTCCAAACAGCTGGAACTACAGGCATATGCCATTACACCTGGCTAATTTATTTATTTATTTTGAGACAAGGTCTCAGTCTGTTGCCCAAGGTGAGGTGCAAGTGGTATGATCATAGCTCACTGCAGCCTTGACTTCCTTGGCTCAGGTGATCCTCCCACTTTAGCCTCCCAAGTAGCTGGGACTACAGTCCCATGCCACCATGCGTGGCTAATTTTTCAATTTTTTGTAGATACAGGGTCTCACTGTGTTGCTCAGGCTTGTCTCCAACTCCAGGCCTCGAGTGGTTCTCCCACCTTGACCTCCCAAAGTGAGCCACCACACCTGGTCCCAGTAAAATGTATTTTAAAAAATACAGCAACAGTGCAGTTGTGAGATGTAGATTTTACCTTAGCCAGTACTTCTCACAGGGCTAGTACTGTCCCTGATGTAGCATTTTGGAACTTTTTGGGAGCATTTTTTTATTGTCACATTGATTGCGGATACTCCTGGCCTTTAACTGGTGTCTCTTGACCCACGTATCTTCTGAATGTCCTGCTGGACAAAACTCGTTACAAATATAAAAGCGTCATTTTTCAACACACAAAAAGTTTTCATAAGATTTAGCATGAGAAGCACAGTGGTTTAGAAGACAGTCATTACAGAGAGAGACATTCAAACAGAATGCAGGCATTGCCTTGCAATTATTGAATGATTTATTCCACGTATCCTGTTTATTCGATATTGCTAGTAAATAAACTGGAAAGTATATCTATACTGAATTAATTTTCTTTTTCTTTAATATATTATTTGTTATTATTGATGACATATGGTATCAAGTGTCTGTCCCTCAAAATAATGTTGACATCATTAAAAACAAAATAGGCCCCACAGAATTTTATTTTTAAACTGCAAACCTGCTGGGGCATGTTAACATGACTTATCCAATTCCAAGTATATTATTTTTCCTCATTTTCTCCCATTTCATTGGTCTCTAATTGCTTTGGCATATTATCTTTACCCCAATTAAGGCAATTTTCTTCTTTCTCTTATCACATACAAATAAATCTAGCCTTTTATTACTTACCAAAACACTTTTTATTCTAGTGTCCACCTGTTTCTTTTCTATTTTTCTGTACTTCATATAAGGAATATTTTCTGATTTTCTTACTTCTCTTGAATCCATGCTTCGTTATAAGTAAATATTAATATAAGCATCTAGTAGTTTCTTAGGTCTTCCAAATATGTTATGCCCAAGGATTTATATTTTGATATATATACTTTTTTTTTTTTTTTTTTTTGAGACAGAGTCTCACTCTGTCACCCAGGCTGGAGTGCAGTGGTGTGATCTGGGCTCACTGCAATCTCCATCCCCCAGGCTCAAGTGATTCTTGTGCCTCAGCCTCCTGAGTAGCTGGGATTACAGGTGTGCACCACAACACCCAGCTAATTTTTGTATTTTTAGTAGAGACGGGTTTCCATGTTGCTCAGGCTAGTCTCGAACTCCTGATCTCAAGTGATCCGTCTGCCTTGTATATATATACTTTTAAAATATATATATATTTTAAAATATAAATTACTTCTTTTAAAATGTTTTTTAATGTTACAGCTGGAGCATTGTATTGATTTTTAAAATTACATGTGTGGTAGATTATGCCATCTATTAATTTCCTTTCATAAAAGTAGAGAGATGGCTACAAATATTAGTTATAAAAAAAGAAAGCATTGAGACAGATGAGTTGTGAACCACTTTTCTAAATTATTTACATTTATGTTGTTTCAAAATTTCCTATTTTCCGTTAGATGGTTGGCCTGTTAGAAATAATTTAATTGATTATTTATACTTGCCCATTTGGCTTAGTTTTTAATTCCCCTAGCTTATTCTCATCCTTCTTTGTTCTGTCCCACTGGAAAACACTCCACATGTGAAGGCTGAGGTTGAGGCCGGGGAGTGTTTGCGGGTCTGTGGAAGGAGAAGCAGTGGGTGAGACCACCGACTCCAGCCAGATTGGCCAGTTTGAACCCTGGGTTCATTACTCACTAACTGCGGGTTCTCTGGCTCTTAACCTCTCTGCCCTTCAGGTTCCTCACCTCTAAAATGGCAACAATAATTTATATGAATAAAGTGCTTAGAACAGTGCCTGGTACACAGGAAGTGCTACACAAGTGTTAGCGGGCATTATTATTGTGAAATCTTGTTCCTTGGGGGAGTCAGCAGCCAGTTCTTTTGAGAACAGCACTGCAGAGGGAGGTGCCTACTGTAAAACGCCCCTTGTGGACTCCTCTCAGCTGGAAAAGTGAGAACTCTCAAGCATCGATACGTTCTGAACCCAGCTCTCTGAGGAGCTCAATTAAGGAACAGTTAGCACCCAGCTGGCATATTTTCTAAGCATAGAACCCTTGGCATTCATTCCATGATGCTTAATTCTGTTACTTAGACTGCTTAGTGAGCAGTTAAGGTTCTTCAGTTTCGGTCTGTAGTCTGAATAAAGTATAGTATGACTTCCTTGAATTTCCCCAGGAGGTGACGAGGTGATTGTATGGTTTATTTAATCAGAAGCGTCATTAAAAAAAAAAAAAAGGCTGGATATGGTGGCTCACGCCTCTAATCCCAGCACTTTGGGAGGCCGAGGCAGGCAGATCACTTGAGGTCAGGAGTTCGAGACCAGCCTGGCCAACATGATGAAACCCCGTCTCTACTAAAAATACAAAAATTAGCCAGGCGTGGTGGCTCATGCCTATAATCCCAGCTACTCAGGAGGTTGAGGCAAGAGAATTGCTTGAACTTGGGAGACAGAGATTGCAGTGAGCCAAGATAGCACCATTGCACTCCAGCCTGGGTGACAGAGGGGACTGCATCTCAAAACAAACCAAAAAACAGAATATGGCTATTTTGTGATATCTAGAAAACAAAGAAAACAGTTTGCTTTGTATTTGGTTTCCTCTGTCTTCATGGGGCAGCTGGGGATGGAAGTGTGTGAGACCCAGGAAGGGGAAGGAATGAGGACCCTCGCTTGGGCCAGAGGCTGCTGCAGCACCCAGCAGCAGCACCATTTCTACCACTTCCTCCCCTTCACAGAGCTGCTGCAATACTGCCTCGGGGAGAGAGGAGGGAGAAGGCTCAAACCTGTTGCTTTCCTTTAACTTCTCCCTTTGAAGCCCTATTTTGTGCCAACCAAGTAGAGTCTTCCTGAGTTAAAAAGCCTTCAGGGAGAGTCTTGATAGGCAACTTTCAGAAAAAGTTACTGTCCCAAGCAGCAGAGTCAGGGCAAACCAGTTTCTCAGTCCCAATCATGTGGTGATCATTTGCCTTGCCAGGCCTTACCCGAGTTACCTTTTGCTAGTGGTGACGTGCACGTCTTGCTTATGTCATTTGCCTTGATTTGATGGCTAACATGATCTTCTTAAAGGCTTAACTTTTTCATGTCTGTTTCTGCACTTACCCAAATATCCAGAGGAACTTTCAGAAGGTAATTGTTTTTATTTCCTAGATATACCAAATAGAACTATGTTTAAGATCTTTCAGTGCCTCAAAAATGAATACTTGACTGGATAATGTTTAAGATGAAGATACGGAATTTGTTGTTGTTTATGGTTTTCCCCTCATATTTACATTTTTTCCCGAGGAAACACACTTCCAAACTAAGTTTGTGAGGTTCTCCAAGGATATGACATTTTGTGGGTGAAATCAATGATTAAATATTCAGTTTCATAGACAACATTTAAAAGAACAATAAAAATAATTAAGCTTTATGAATGTATCCCCAAGAAAACATTTCCTTTTAAACTTACTGACATATCTAAGTGAGAAAATATACTTACTTACCAGAAGATGGAATTGATATTGGTGTGTTTTCTTTCTATGTATTTTAAAACACTTAAAAAAAAAAGGTTAAGAAAAAAGGTTGCATATGTCAGTTCATTCTATTAACAAATGCTCTTTATATTTTATATATATGTTTATATTTGAGACGAAGTCTCTCTCTGTTGCCCAGACTGGAGTGCAGTGGTATGATCTCAGCTTACTGCAACCTCCATCTCCCAAGTTCAAGTGATTCTCCTGCCTCAGCCTCCCAAGTAGCTGGGACTACAGGCACAAGCCACCACACCTGGCTAATTTTTTGTATTTTTAGTAAAGGCGGGGTTTCACCATGTTGGGTAGGCTGGTCTCGAACTCCTGACCTCAAGTGATCTGCCACCCTCGGCCTCCCAAAGTGCTAGGATTACAGGCATGAGCCACTGCACCTGGCTATATATTATTTCAATGATCAGAGCAGAGCTGTATATTTGAGAAGGAACTTAAGTAAAAAGTAATTTGAAAATAATTTTCTTAATAACTTTTTTTCTGGAGTTTTTTCCTGAGATCTCAATGAAAGGAGAAACAGGAGTTTGAACTATCTCTAGATGCTTCAGAGGCAGTGGGCACAGTTTTCCTCATTTTGTCTCTCAGAGTCCTGGCCAGTCAGAAACATTTGGCAGCCACAGAGCAAATCTTATCTTATATAGAATGAACCCTTTTAAGAGGGAGAAAATAAAAACCCATATCTAGCAAAGAGATTAATTACAGGACTTGCAGAAAAAAAAAATTATAAACACAGTATGGTCAAGAACAAGGCCGGGCGTAATCCCTGTAATCCCAGCAGTTTGGGAGGCTGAGGTGGGTGGATCACCTGAGGTCAGGAGTTCAAGACCAGCCTGACCAACATGGTGAAACTCCATCTCTACTAAAAATACAAAAATTAGCCGGGCATGGTGGTGCGTGCCTGGAATCCCAGCAACTCGGGAGGCTGAGGCAGGAGAATCACTTGAACCCAGGAGGTGGAGGTTGCAGTGGCCGAGATCGTGCCATTGCACTCCAGAGTGAGCAACAACAGCAGGGGGGTAGGCAGGGAGGGAGAAGAACAAAAAGCTACTTTATGCTTATTTAAAGTTATATGATACTGAATCATAGTAAAAACATAAGAACTGGGTATGTATTTTTAAACATATCCTAAGGAAACTTATCTTAAAAAATTAATAAACTCGTTTTGGCTTTAACCATACTAGACAGAATACATTCAGTGTAACGCTCAAATTCTGTGAAGTGCGTCCCTATAGTTTGTTGTGTGTGAATAATAGGATGAAAAATGCTTAGAACATTCGGTGAGCCACTCAAGGATAAATTCAACTCTGCTGCCGTCTACTAAGGTGGTCACTTGAAAAGTTGAAAATGATTTCATGAATTTATTCTGAATAAACTTCTCGCTCTCACATATTCTGCTCCATCTGTTCTTTGTGTTTCAGACAAGGAGGAGTTTGTTGGCTACGGTCAGAAGTTCTTTATAGGTAGGTGATAAATTAACAAGAGGTGGGTCTCTGTCACTTGTTAAATTATGTTTCCAAACCTGACACTGTTTTGAAAGTTTCTTTTGCTAATGAACATTTCCAGACCTGTTCCTCATTCTAGTTTCCTTTTCTTTCTGTCCTTTTTTCTTGTCAATATTCTGATCCATTAATTATTCATTGTTATTCATCTAATTTCCACTGGGTTATCTATTAATTACTCATCAAACACAAATCTTTTTGTTTTCTTCCAGACTGTTTCGTAACCTATTTATCTTATGCTAAAGAGACAAAGTCTCTGACTTTTAAACTTACTTCTTATGGCCACATTTCTATCATCTGTCACCTGGGCAGAGCTTTGTGAAGGACCAGGTACCACTCATGTAAAACCGCTCTGGGCTTCCTTCTATAGGGAGGCAGGGGAAAACTAGCAGAGCCGCAGGGTCTAGAAGGTTGGTTCCCAAGCTGGATGCATTTTGGAATCATCAGGGGAGCGTGAAAAAAAAAAAACAAAAAAAAAAAAAACAAGGGGCCACCTTTCTGTATTGCTTTCAGAATCATTCAGCCTAAAAGCTATTAGGTAGAGCTGAGCAGAGTAGGCAGCTACACAAAGGTGGAGAGTAAGGAGCATGAGCAGGGTGAAGAAGGCATCTGTGCAGGGGACAATGGTAGCCTGGTGCCAATTGTCAGAGGCAGAGTAAAATCAAGAGGGCAGCTGCCATCACTTGGCCTCTGATACCCAACAGGCTTTACAAAGATGCCCGCCTCATCTAGCTTGGGCTCTGACACTTTGTGCGAGGCTATCAACACTGTCTGTCCCCTATCTTGCACATTTAAGTGCTCTTGATTGATACAATAAGCAAAAAAAAACAAAAAAACAAAAAAAAAACAAGGGCCAGGGTTCTCACTGTTAGAGAAGGGAGTTACAAACATGGAAAGGGGAAGTCTAGAATGAATCCTGTAGTGTTGGATTGACATTGTATGTACTGGTGTGAACTCATGGTTTTCAATATATAGACATACAAATATAGATCGAAATGTGCATGTGTATTTATATGTACACATAGAGTTGCTAACTCTGTCTACTGAGAGCACCTGGAAACAGCTCTGAAGATACCAGAAAGCCCTATGATTCGAAAGGCAGATTAAGCAGGAATCTAGGAGCTTAGAAATCATGACCCATGTGTCCAACTTTGCACTGATCACACAGTCCTAAGCAACCACCTAACCTGTCTGTGTCTTAGTGAAACCACCTGAAAAATGTGAAAAATGAGCCTGCTCCACTCTTTCTACCCTGGCCCAAGCCACCCTCATCTCCCACCCAGACCACTGCAGTAGCTTCCTAACTGCTCTCTCCTGAGGCCACACTTGCTCTCCCTACGGTTTACACCAACCAGAGGAGTCTTTCAGAAACATGAATCAAATCATGTCACTACCAACAGCTTCCCATCACACTTCCACAACAATCCAACACTTTCAGAGGCCCTGTGTGATCTGGCTCCAGCCACTTCCCTGACCCTATTTCCATACTCCCTGTTGCTTACCGCCCTGCAGCTATACAGGCTTCCTTGCTGTTCCTCAAATGCTCCAAGCACAGTTCGTTTCTCTGCACCACTGCACTTGCTGTTCCCTTGGCCTGGCTTGCCCGTCTCTGCAGAGGCTTCCTGATGTGGCTCCCTGCCTTCCTCCAGATGTCTGCTCAACGCCAACCTTTCAGAGATACTCCAACCTTACTGCCTATCTAAAAAAGCACCCCCATCACTCTCTATCTACCTCATCTTCTTATGAGTACTTATTTTTTGTTGTTTTTTATGTTTGTCTCTCTTCTTCTACAAAATGTAGATTTCATGAGAAAGTGGCCTTGGATTAGTTGAGCCATCTATCGCCAGCACCCAAGACAATGCCTGGCCCAGAGCAGGTGCTAGATGGGCTAGCACAGGGGGCATTTTCATATTTTTCCCTCATATTACTTCCCATCTTCTAACTTCAGACAGACCTGACTATATTAATGAACACTTTAGGATCATGGTTGCTACATATTTCATCAGGTGTGAAGCTACAAGTGATCTCTCCTGCCTGGTTCTTACGTTCTGTGCACTTCCCCTCCCTAGCTGGCTTCCGCCGCAGCATGCGCCTTTGTCGCAGGAAGTCTCACCTCAGCCCGCTGCATGCCAGTGTGTGCTGCACCGGCAGCTGCTACAGTGCAGTGGGTGCCCCTTACGAGGAGGTGGTGAGGTACCAGCGACGCCCTTCAGACAAGTACCGCCTCATAGTGCTCATGGGTATGTCCCAGCATGCACTGTCTCTCCTCCTCCTTGAGAAGTCTTCCTTCTAGATTCAGGTGTCTTGCATTGGGAATAATGGTGAAAGTAGAACTCTTTATGGACCCCCATACAAATACCTTTTTTAAAAAACAAAGCCATTGTACATGTGTGTTTATAAGTAACATTTTATTGTATCAAGCTTTTTAAAAAATCTACAAGTGAATGTGTTATGACATGGTGTCCATGAACTATATAACCAGTATTACGATGTCATTATGACTGAGATTTTTTTTTTGCCTGCTTAGAATTGTTCTGTAAACATAGATGAGTGTTTCCCCAGACAGATCATTAACCTGTATCCTGAAAATAAATTCTTAAGGTCCATTTCCCTGAGAAATATGTTAAATTCTTAAAGTCCATTCCCCTAAGAAATTTGTAACTACTTCCTTTAGAAAAGTATCTAACATCTTCTGGACTGTATCTTTGGTGCTTTATAAAGATCATGGCAAAGATAGTGCAGGAGTGACCTGCTTTTGTGACCATGACTTTTGCAAAGTTGGTCCCTGTAGCAGTAGCAACTTGTATCCTACTGCCTTCGTGTCTGCCTGTTTAGCTTCATGAGCAAGGCAGGTCCCTGTAGAGCAGAACGATGTGCCTTACAGCTGGGACCAGCAATATCATTTGCAGGCCCCATTGTAAAATGCAAATGCAAGGGCCCCTTGTTAAAAAATTATCAAAGATTTCAAGATGCAATAGTAGAGAATTCATCCAAGCACAGTATCCTTCTAAGCATGTGCCCTGTGTAACTGCACAGGTTCTATACCCATGAAGTCGGCCCTGCCTCCGGCCGGACATGGGGGTGCTGATCGATCATCTGTCAGGAATGTGCCCCTGAATTCTGTAAGTCACAGAACCTATAATTGTTGATGCTGGTTTCTGGCTGTCACTTGATAAAAACCTCATTTGAAGAAGAAAGGCAGAGCTCTCTGATTCTCTAAAATGAGACCAGCTAATTCTCATGGCATTCAACATTAGATGAAGTTTGCTGGGGGTCAGGTTCCTGTGATTCCTTACCTCATTCCTGAATGTTGAAACAATGTGGATTACTCCATGGGTCACTAGAAAAATTCCCAAGAGTTTTCTGGGGTTCTTCCAATTTATGAGAAAGGAAGTTACATAATTTCCCTAAAAATATTTGCTCTCAAGTTTCTTCAGTAGAAGGACTAAAATGATAATTCCATCACATAATTATATTTATCCACATCTGATGATTTCTGTGTGTGACTTTTTGTGTTTAGGACCCTCTGGTGTTGGAGTAAATGAGCTCAGAAGACAACTTATTGAATTTAATCCCAGCCATTTTCAAAGTGCTGTGCCACGTATGTTTAGTTCTGCTTTCATAATGGTTTGTGTTTTGGTAAAACTTTCTTTGCTGATCTCATTTAACTATGTCATTCCATCTTTGTTGTAAAAGTATACAACACCAGGGATAGTTCTTAAGTATTTCTAACCATATTTATTTTAATAAGGAAAACTGACTTATTGGAATGTAGGCAGCTGGCTTTTAAAAGGGCTTTTTTCTTTTTTTAATTATTATTATATTTTAAGTTTTAGGGTACATGTGCACAACGTGCAGGTTTGTTACATATGTATACATATGCCATGTTGGTGTGCTGCACCGATTAACTCGTCATTTAGCATTAGGTATATCTCCTAATGCTATCCCTCCCCACTCCCCCTACCCCACAACAGTCTAAAATGGCTTTTTTCTATTTCTTAACATTATAGGGATGGCCTTTCAGGCAAACTAATAGTTAGCAATAATAGTTAACATACACCCAGTGCTTACTATCTAAAAATTGATATATGCCTATACAACTTTATATAAATTTATGAGTATGATTATAAAATACACAGCTTTTTAAAAAATGGTGTTTTCTGGCTGGGCACGGTGGCTCACTCCTGTAATCCCAGCATTTTGGGAGGCTGAAGTGGGTGGATCATCTGAGGTCAGGAGTTCAAGACCAGCTTGGCCAACATGGTGAAACCCCGTCTCTACTTAAAATACAAAAATTAGCTGGGTGTGGTGCTGCATGCCTGTAATCCCAGCTACTCAGGAGGCTGAGACAGATAATCGCTTAAACCTGGGAGGCGGAGGTTGCAGTGAGCCGAGATTGCACCATTGCACTCCAGTCTGGGCGAGAAAGTGAGATTCTGACTCGAAAAAAAAAAAAGTGTTTTCTTATTTCCTTTTACTCGTAACTCCTTTATTTCTCCTAAGCTCCCCCTTTACTACTACCAGCTCCAAAGCAACTCCTAAAACGTAATCTTCCAGACTTTTCTCTATATAGAGTTGTGTGAGTTTTTTACCCATTTAGAGTTGTTATATGAAGTTTTTTTTTAAGCTTTAACATTTGAGAGCTACAATTCTAAAAATAGAAGGAATTATTTGTTTCATACTGAGATTCATCGTTCAAAAAAAACCTTTAAAATCACTCTAAGACAACCTGTTTTATTGTAAAAATAGAAAAGATCAAGACTTGAGATAGAATTCCTGATTTCAACAAAATAGAAAGTTCATAATAATGCATGTTTATAATAATGTATAATAATGCATCGTTTCTAATATGTGTAAAAGAAAGTTAAAATTTTGACTGAGGCACTAAGATGCACATCTGTAACGAGGAATGTGAAAACAAGTTAAACTCTTCACACACCTCGAGGGTATAAAAGGCTTGGGGAGGGAGATTCATGGGGCTTTTTGGGGAGGCTTTTATTGGAGAGAGCGGTGCTGGGTGTTCCCGACCCACTGAGTGTGGGAAGAGTGTGTGGGTGTGCTTGCTTCCCCCTCCCCTCAAGGCAAGACAGAGGAACCTAGGGGAACCACTTGGAGAGCTTCCTATGTGTCTTCTGCACTTTGGGGGACACAGAAGAATGGTGTCCGAATTACACCTGAAAAATCCAAAGGAGAAGAGCTTACAGGAAGTGGCCAATGGCTATAATTTGGGAAGTAGCTGTCCTTGTAGGGTCCATCACAGCTAGACTTGTGATGTTCCCCAAGGACCAGATCTGGGCAGGTAATGTATAAGACAGTCAGCCCAGGGTTATATGATTCCTGCCCAGGAGGAAGCCTGAGGAGAAAAAGGCCAAAAGTGGATTCCCAAATATATCAGGCTTTGGAAGGAATCACAGATGACAAACTGGAATAGGAATGGACTTGAGAGGCCTTGTGTTGGTGAGATAGGGTTTGCAAAATAACCCAATATATCATTTAGGAGAGAAAGAGCCGGATTTAAGGATCTGCCAAATCTAAAGAAAGCCAATAGCAGCCAGAATCAGTATTTGCCAAACCAGAACCTTCCTTCCTGCTTTCCTCTCCCTCCCTGCACTCTAGCCTTAGAGAGTTCTAAACCAGTGGAAGTGAGATCTATCGGGGGCAGAGAGAAGCAGGAGCAGTAGAAATATGGTGAAAGGAAAGAGAAGTGACTCATACTCTCGTCTGGCTCTCGTCTGGCTTCTCTGAGCGCAGGCTTCCCTGGTGCAGCAAATTTGAGCCAGATGTGTGGAGAAGCAGCCTAAAATCTAAGTGAAGTTTATAATTTTGATGATTATGTGAGAATGGAATTTTAATTAGTCAGTTGAGACTGGATGATGAAAATGAAATTGTGGCATGAGTGATGATAGACTTTTAAAATTAAACCTGAGTGAAAGAGTCATGGAAACCGCTAGTGTTTTTTGTTTTGTTTTGTTTTGTTTTAAGACGGAGTCTTGCTCTGTCGCCCAGGCTGGAGTGCAGTGGTGTGATCTTGGCTCACTGGAACCTCTGCCCCATGAGTTCAAGTGATTCTCCTGCCTCAGCCTCCCGAGTAGCTGAGATTACAGGCACCCACCACCATGCCCAGCTAATTTTTGTAGTTTTAGTAGAGATGGGGTTTCACCATGTTGGTCTGTCTGTTCTCCAACTCCTGAACTCAAGTGATCTGCCCACCTCAGCCTCCCAAAGTGCTGGAATTATAGGCATGAGCCACCACACCCGGCCAGGAAACTGCTAGAATTTTGTGCAGGGGCTGGGGAAGATCTTGCCTCACATAAGGGCTGTGGGAGACCAAGAAGTTGCTTTATGATCGCATGCTATAGGCTGTGCTTTCTGAAGTACTGCTTTCATGTACAGGAATGTGCATTAATCTGAAAAGCAAAAACTACCAAAGAAATCAACATTTTCCTTTTCTTTCTTTTTTTTTTTCTGTTTGTTTTGTTTTGTTTGAGATGGAGTCTCACTGCATTGCCCAGGCTGGAGTGCCGTGGTGTTATCTCGGCTCACTACAACCTCACCTCCTGGGTTCAAGCAATTCTCCTGCCTCAGCCTCCTGAGTAGTTGGGATTACAGGTGTACGTCACCATGCCTAGCTAATTTTTGTATTTTTAGTAGAGATGGGGTTTCACCATGTTGGCTAGGCTGGTCTTGTACTCCTGACCCCAGGTGATCCACCCGCCTTGGCCTCCCAAAGTGCTGGGATTACAGGCGTGAGCCACTGTGCCCGGCCAAAATCACCATTTTTCGATAGTCTGAATAAAAATAAAATGCCCACAGAATATAGAAGAATTTTAAGAATATCAACGTAGATTTTTAATCATTCAAAGTGAGAAAATACTGCTCATATTTTGCTTTTTAAATTGAGGTTTTAAGCTTAAAATGGATACCTCGAGTTATACATCAATTCACAGACTTTAACCTACCATATAAATATTAGTCCAGTGGAAGCAAAGGAGGAGTCATCTTGGGTTTAGATTGACATAATTCACTATCACCTGAGAGCTATAAGGTTTTACTAGAATTTTGTTTTAAGTAGGAAGCTATGGGAGATGTGATGTAACTGTAGGAACTCTAAGGATCTGATGAGAGGCTTGAATAAGGAAAAAACAAAAATGACCCCAAGATGACATTTGCTTTTAGACCCCCTTGAAGGTTGGTAACTCCTTTGATAATTTAAGGCCGGTTTCTAGCTTCTACTTGATCATTTCCATGTATTGATATCATCAGATGTTGATCTATTTCATCCTTAAACTTTGTCAGATGCAAATACACAAATTCTGTATGAATAAGGGGAACTAATGGTAATATAGATTAAGGGACTAGCTTTACAGTATATAGGATGCAGAGTTGAAACTGTCTTACTCATCTTTGTGTTTTCAGAACCTAACATGATACCTGGAACATAGTAGGCACTCAGTACACACTAGTTGAATAAATGAATGAGCAGACAACAAATAACTTTTAGATATTTGATGAACTCCTATATTCTATACAACCTGGCACTATTTAAGTTGAAGAGTCTGTAATCAAAGTGGCCATATCAAAGAATCAGACTGAATCTAGACTCAGCTAATCTTTCCCTCCTAGAGATCCCTAAAACGAATCACCACTCGGTTGGGTATTAATGCATCTGGTCAAGATTGCAGAATGTCATGGGCTTTCTCCATTTCAAATTTGAGAATCTATTGTTGTAAAAAACACTCATCTAGAGGAGTCAGAACACGTAGGTTCTAATTTCAACTTCGCTTTTCATCAGTCTTATGAATGTGAGCAAGTTTCTCCAAAAGCTTTTCTTATGAGTAAAATATAGATATTAACAGTTTACCTAAGGTAAGAGTGTGGAAGATGAAATGAGATCATGGGAAATGCACTATCCAAATGTAAGATATTATTGGTATTGCTACCTGGGAGCTTTCAGGCATCTAAAGGTTCACACATAATTCACTAGCACTTATTTTGAAGTAATAACAGGTGTTCCCTTAGGTCTTTCTTATGCTGGCTTAATACCTAGTGCATTCTTTTTCATACCATAAGCACTCAGTAAAGGTTTATAGACTAACTGATTTTGATACGAGAACTTATCACCAATTCAGGCTTCTTCTTTTTAGTTCTAGCATTTTATCTCCTTGATTATATATTCATTTATTTATTTTGATTAGATATCTTTATTCAAATGCATATTGGTAATCAAAGAATTCTGAAGACACTGAAACCTTTCATTCCCTTTTTCTGATAGACACTACTCGTACTAAAAAGAGTTACGAAATGAATGGGCGTGAGTATCACTATGTGTCCAAGGAAACATTTGAAAACCTCATATATAGTCACAGGTAAAGTAGAGGTTCAGAAGCTGATTCTTACCTCTTGTTGTTTTACATTTGAAATAGATTCCCTATTTTTATGTATTTTCCAAATCTCCTGGGTAATTCCTTTTGTTTCTGAGGAGTTAAGCAAGAAATGTACATCGATATACAGCACACCAACTCACTGGGTTTAGAAAGGGAGCAGAATGGAGTCTGCAAACCTTGGAGAACTTGAGGAAATACATAAACTCTAGATATGCTCATTTTGTTCACCTCTTGAATATCTATTCATTCTTTCTGTGTTAATAAAGTCCACATATTTATATTCAACTCTAGTGCAGTTTATCCTCATGTTACTACTAATAATATTTTCCTTGTAGAAAGTGTTCTGTTTTGTTTGGCCTGCTCTTGCAGGATGCTGGAGTATGGTGAGTACAAAGGCCACCTGTATGGCACTAGTGTGGATGCTGTTCAAACAGTCCTTGTCGAAGGAAAGATCTGTGTCATGGACCTAGAGCCTCAGGTGGGTCCATGGTGGAATATTTATGTCCCCAAACAATGAATGCGTATCATCCATTTTTTGTGCACATGCTGTAGGTTATAGTTGAGACATTTATTCTGTTAGCCTTTTAAGAATAAGGCCATTTCCCATATATAAGATCTTACTTAACGTGTCAATTGACAACATTTTACTTTTAGTTGGGAAAGAAGTCTTGCTTCTCAGACAGAAAAGCAGAACTGATTGAGTGGTCACAAAGAGAAGCAAGAATCTTTCTTGCTTTAACCTTGATCACAAAGGCATCAGAGTAACTTCTTGTGGAGTGAATAAGATGTTGCTTTGTACAAGGAGGTGAGGTTTCTATGTTGTCATATCTGTGGCTACCTTCCTGAGACCACATGTAGAATGGAGCAGGGGTGAGCAAGTTAAGGTAAGATAAACAGCATGCAATCCGTAGGCCCAATTTTTATGAACTTTGTATTTTCTTCGTGTGTGTGTGTGTGTCTGTGTGTGTGTCTGTGTTTGTTTTGTTTTTTGAGACAAGGCCCTGCTCTGTCATCCAGACTAGAGCGCAGTGGCATGATCTCCGCTCACTGCAACCTCCGCTTCCCGGGTTCAAGCAATTCTCGTGCCTCAGCCTCCCGAGTAGCTAGGACTACAAGCACAAGCCACCATGCCTGGTTAATTTTTGTATTTTTAGTAGAGACAGGGTTTCGCCATGTTTGCCAGGCTGGTCTGGCAATGGAACTCCTGGGCTCAAGTGATCCACCTGCCTCAGCCTCCCAAAGTGCTGGGATTATAGGCATGAGCTACTGCGCCCAGCCATGTTTTCTTAGTCATTTAGAAATATACTTTGTGTGCTAGAGAATCAGAGGAAAACAGATGGTAGTAGTATCCAATGTGAGATAATAGCAAGAGGAAAGGGAAGTGAAGGTGAAACAGAGCTGATCCACCTTGAGAGTCTGTCTTTGTCTTTGTCATATGAGATCATGTATAGAATCCTACTCTCAGTAAATGAGATTCTCTCATGTATAGACTCTTACTCTGCTAGTAAGATTTCAATTGCTAGTCATAGCTAATAAGAGTCAGGATCTGACCTTAATTTTGATTCTAAAACTACATCTTCAAATTTTTAAAATGTTCATTTGTTTTTTAGAATTGAGGAGTTGAGGGTACATGAGACTATACTCTAAAAATAATTGCTAATTTCTGGTCTTAGAAATTTTGAGAAGCTTCATGTTCACTCTAGAAAGCTAGGACTTCTGTTTTTAAATGTGCATTTAGATCAGGTGCAGTGGCTCATGCCTATAATCCCTTGGAAAGCCGAGATGGGAGGATTTCTTGAGGCCAGGTGTTTGAGACCAGTCTGGGCAACATAGTGAAACCCCATCTCTACTAAAAATACAAAAATTAGCTGGGTGTGGTGGCACACGCCTATAATCCCAGCTACTAGAGAGGCTGAGGCACAAGAATTGCTTGAACTGGGAAGGCGGTAGTTGCAGTGAGCAGAGATCCCACCCCTGCGCTCCAGCCTGGGCAACAGAATGAGACTCAAAAACAAAATAAAACAAAACAAAATAGCTGGGCATGGTGGCACATGCCTGTGGTCCCAGCTACTTGGGAGGCTGAGATGGGTGGATCGTTTGAGCCTGGGAAGCTGAGGCTACAGTGAACTGTGATTGCACCACAGCACTCCAGCCTGGGTGACAGAGCAAGACCATGTCTCAAAACAAAACAAACAAAAAATAAATGTGCATTTAAATTTTCTGTGTAGGATATTCAAGGGGTTCGAACCCATGAACTGAAGCCCTATGTCATATTTATAAAGCCATCGAATATGAGGTGTATGAAACAATCTCGGAAAAATGCCAAGGTTATTACTGACTACTATGTGGACATGAAGTTCAAGGTAAGAGCAAGTCAAAAACTACTGTATTGCTTTCAGTGGCTTCTGCGTGGGAGAGATCTGGGTTGGGCTGGGCCAAGGATCTCTGATCTCATTGTCCTCCTCCTCCTTTTTGACCCCCTCTCCAAAAGGCCCTCAATAAAATGGTTTACTATGGTTTTATTTAAAAAAAAAATTAAAACTGTATTGTTTCTACAGGATCTGTGTTAGAGAATGTAATTTTTGTTTCTAATGGATAATGCCCTTACGATTTATCCTTTTGGATGGACATCACTTACAGATATAAAGTTTAATAAATGTTATGATGCTACCCTTATTTTTTACTTTCTTATTTTTTTGGGTCTAGCTTAAAAAAAAATCCTTGAGCCGTAGTTTGCAAAGCCAAACAGAAATTGGGCATGTATGAGCCTGGTGTTTGTATTTTAAACAGAATATCTTTTACTTAAAAGCTTACTTTAAAAATGCTCAGTGAGTATATCTCATCTGTAAAATGATGATGGTAATAATAGAGGGGGCAAGCCAAGTGAAATTAATCAGTGATCTCATCCTAGAACAGGTGATTTTTTTTCCGGTTGCGTACATATATTTTACATTAAATATGCTTTAAATATTGTGTCATAACATACATTCAGTAAGGTGTACAGAGTGTACAGTTTAATGAATTTTTATGTGTGTATGCACCCAGATAACCATCACCCACATCAAGATATTACAGCCACTTGTGTGTGTGTGTATATGTGTGGTAAAAATACATAAAACTCACCATATTAACCGTTTTAAGTGTACAGTTCAGTGTTAGTATTTAGTGTTAAGTATATTCACATTGTGTGAAACAGAGCTCTAGAATTTATTTACCTGGCAAAATTGAAACTAAAAATATGAATGATTCACTAAATATTTGTATGTCATGCTTGTACAAGGGCCATGCTAATCTCTGCATTGTTTCAGTTTTAGTCTGTGTGCTACCAAAGCAAGCACAGGTATCTTTAAATTATCCTTTCTCTTATTATTTTTATTTTCATATTTTTTGCAATGACTATGGAGGTCTGATTTTCCAGTTTGCCTTGTGAACAGTGGAGTCCATGAATGTATTTGCTGAGTCTTATGGGCATTTAAAATTGTTCTCATTTTTATGGCAGTCTAAACAAATTAACAAAATTGTTTCTGGATCATATGTATGGTCACTTTGTAAAGCCACAAGATTTTGGTGCCTGCATTTGTGTTTCAGATTGTATTGGTGACAAGTTGTACTATTTTCATGAACTAATAAGAAAATAACAGCAATGAATTTAATGCATTAGTGCCAAGTGAATGCCAAATTACCTTCATTAAATGAACATTTCACAATAGTAGAAACATAATATAACTGGCTTATACCATCCTCATGTTGAAAGTGGCCATTTTGTATCTTTAATGTTATCCCTATCAGATTAATGTTCACTTGAAATTTATGTTTAAATTTTATTTAAACTGGTACATTTTCTTTGGTTTTATGTTGTATATGGTTAAAAAGTTTCAAGTGTTTAGGTAAGAGTAAGATAAGTTCACACGGGAAGTTGAGGGGAGTAATCTGTCTGCAAACTATGACTAAATTTTGCAAAACATGACGAGACATTAAGACTAAAGATTAAAACATAAGTTTTGTAGTTTAGAAGACATTTATTGGACCTCATTTTTTAAAATAAAAACTTCAGTCTTTTATTATTTAAAAAAACTTCCAAATTAAAATTTCTTTATCTCAGTAATACATTTCTAAGAAATAAAGGATGACATACTGTGGATAGTGATATACTTTTCCCAGCTTTGCTTATGCTTCACATTAATTTAGAAGGATATGTTTATACCTGTTATAATAATTATATTTTCTCTACAAAAATTAGCTGGGCATGATGGCATGTGCCTATAGTCCCAGCTACTTGGGAGGCCTAGGTGGGAGGATCACTTGAGCCTGGGAGGCAGAGGCTGCAGTGAGCTGAGATGATCCTACTGCATGCCAGCCTGGGACAGAGTGGGACCCTGTCTAAAAAAAAAAAAAATTATTTTATCTATACTTAGCCACATTATTTCAATAACAGAGGGCAAAAAAATTACTATTTTCTAGTTTGCTGGTTTTGTAGAATTTTGAAAAAATATTTTTGAAACTTTATTGAAAATCATCTGTGCAAAATTTTCGGACCTTACTGTTTTTATACATAGTTTCACAACTGAATGTGACAGCATAACAAACTGTATTTTTTCCATTTGTCCAATTAAGTCTGTACTATCCATATTTTTCTATTTCTCCTAAAGGATGAAGACCTACAAGAGATGGAAAATTTAGCCCAAAGAATGGAAACTCAGTTTGGCCAATTTTTTGATCATGTGATTGTGAATGACAGCTTGCACGATGCATGTGCCCAGTTGTTGTCTGCCATACAGAAGGCTCAGGAGGAGCCTCAGTGGGTACCAGCAACATGGATTTCCTCAGATACTGAGTCTCAATGAGACTTCTTGTTTAATGCTGGAGTTTTAACACTGTACCCTTGATACAGCGATCCATAGTTGCAATCTAAAACAACAGTATTTGACCCATTTTAATGTGTACAACTTTAAAAGTGCAGCAATTTATTAATTAATCTTATTTGAAAAAAATTTTTATTGTATGGTTATGTGGTTACCTATTTTAACTTAATTTTTTTTCCTTTACCTCATATGCAGCTGTGGTAGAAATATGAATAATGTTAAGTCACTGAGTATGAGAACCTTTCGCAGATTTCACATGATCTTTTTAAGATTTAAATAAAGAGCTTTCCTAAATAAAATAAGCAATAGTTAACTTTAGAAACTGTACTCTATGAAACGTGTTTTATGAAAACATCTTTTACAAAAAGTGCTTACTTGACTAACTCAGCAAGAAAGGTTTAATGTACACATTTCACATCTAAAATCAAAACCTACAAGAAACTGCACTGCCTTCACTATTTACAAATCGGCCTACAAGGAAAAAATTATTCTCATGAGAGGTGTGACAAACACTAATTTTCCTTAACAGCCAATATCTACATGCAGGCCTAAATTAGAAAAAGGCAATGGATTAATCCCAGAGACCTATATATAGAAAATCACAAGAGTGAAACCGTGTCTCAGAGTTAAAGAAACCAGGGACTAACAGAAATTCTTGAGCATGCAGGACGGCAGATAAAAAACAACTTGCTAAATAAAACGCCTAAACTTCTTCCATTGTGAGATTAAAAAACAAAACAAAACAAAACAAAGCAAACTGGCTGAAAGTGGTTAGTACTAACACGGATGGCTACCTGGAGTCTGTACAAAATGAGCTTGCTGGCGTCACAGCTTGAATCTTTCCCCATGTTTCACACTGACTCCCTCCAAAATTTGCACATGCGACCCATGAAGGGACATGAAGAGGTAACTGCGAACGCCAGAGGATTTTCCAGATGGCTTCTTTCCTTCCACCAATCACCTACTAATCCCAGAATCCACCCCCTAAACGTTTTCTAATAAAAATACTGTCTTAAAGCCAACACAGGGAGACAGATTAGAGCTATACTCCTGTCTCCTTGTTAGCTGACTCACAATGAAAACTTTTCTCAAAAAATCAGCGCCATAATATTGGCTTCTGTGCGTATAGGGCAACAAGCCCCGTTTGTTTGGTAACAAGATTAGGATGCCATTACAAAGTGCTGTTTCTCTTTCTTTCCCCAGATTTGAGATTTCCAGGCGCTTTCCCTGTCCCTGTATCTGTTCATCTTCTGCATCATTCTCTTCTCCATATCCACACCATTCTTCCATCTTTCCCATTTCTTTCTTAACTGTAAAACAGAATGCATGATTCAAAATATTTGTAGTTCTCTGTTACTTAAAGTGAAAGTTATCTTTAAAAAAAAACAAACCCAACCAAACCAAACGATGCAAATCAGGTAGTTTGTAGTGATATTTATGTGAGGTTGGATTTGATTTTAAGGTTGAGAAAAAGTTTTTCCAAATTTGATTTACACAGTTGTGGGATGAAGGGTAAGCAATCGGAGAAAATGTGAGAATTGCCTATATTAATACACATCCACACACCCAGGCCTGCACAGACTCGTTGGTCCTGGAGAGTAAACGCATTCCTCCCAAACCCAGCAGCGCCTGGCAGGACAGAGGCGGGCGGGGACCTGGCTCAGGGGGCGGCTGCCTCGCCAGGCGCCACGAAGCCCCGGCGTCCCACAGGTCCCGGAGGCCGCTGCGTCGCGGGGAGCTGGGCTCGGGCCGCCGGCGGTTGCGCCGGGGCAGCCCCGCGGGGAGAGCACCATGAGGACTGACTCGGGGGCTCGGCTGGAGGAGGGCCACCTGGTGAGCGGCGAGGGGCGCGTCGGCCTCGAGAGGTGGCGGGTAAACAGCTACACTTGGCAGTGGGGGTGGGTGTGTGTGGGGGGGCGCCAACGAGCTGGGAATCACTAAGGGAGGGCCTTGCTCGTGGGGTGCGCGCATCCGCCCCTCCAGTGTTCACAGGAATGGGACGGAGACGCAGGCGAGGCCGGGACCGAACTCCCGGAGTGGGAGAGAGAGGCCTGGCATGAAGTTTGCGGGGACCTGAGCCCGCGTTGCCACGACGACGCCTCACTCATCTGAGGCCCGGGGCCCGGCGGGTGCCGGGGCTTCCAGCCAGGCCTCTCCTAGACTCCTCCGAGGAGAGGTCTGTAGCTGCCCAGAAGAGATCTGTTCGCCTGCGGAGTCCTTTAATTAAGGTCTTCCGTCACGCCCCGCTTCCCGCAAACAAATCACCGCCACCACTTAGGAAACCACGGGAAAGCTGTGATTGCAGCGCCACGGTCGCCAGATTTCTGCTCCTGGGCACATTACCCCCAACTCCGAGGCCCCCTTTTTGGCAGGGCTAGTCTGGACTGGCCAATCCAGGTCCCTGCACGCCTCTCACCGCAACATCCCCGCAGGGCGCTGCGCGCGGGGTACTAGCCAGGCGGCGCGGCCCGATGACGCATTGCGCCTGCGCGCGCGACCGAGCCGGGAGGGGTGGGGCGCCAGGTGCTTGGGGGCCGGCGGCCGCCGAGGCCGGCTAAACGCAGAATGGGGAAGAATCCTGTGGTAAGCGAGCCTTAGCTACTTTTAATTGTTAGGATTTTTGTCTTCAGTTGAGCCGTCCTACTTTTGAGGATTAGAGGTTGGGTCTCTGGGTGGGTGGAACGTCATTTTTGCGGGACTTTTGAAATCAGTTACGTGAACAGAGCCCTGGGATCGATCGCGCGCGCTTCGTAGCATCTTTAGAACAATAGCGCGTTCCTGTGACTGTCATTCTTCTCCAATTGTAATTTTGACTACTGGATGGTATTACGGCAGCTTGCCTCGTCCTAATCTTGTAGTACTTGCATTAATCTACTGTTCGAACGAATGGATTGCTAAATGGGACAAACTACAAGAGTGTCTAAAATTTAACCCTTTTGAATAAATGTCTTATGCAAGCAGCATGAGATACTTGGAACATTAAATTGGCTTCTAGGCATTTCTGTTACTATATGATTCTAAAATACTTCTCAACTGTAATGCTGTCTGAACTACAAACACTTTTCTTATTCATGTAAATGAGGGTTTAGAAGGGTTCCCCCCACCTTTCTTTCTGCCCTAAAACGCATTCTTCCCAGTGTATGCAACTGGCCTTTTTAAAAATTGTGTTAGTATGTGGTTTAAAACCTCCATTTGTTTCCCATTGAATTAAAACAAAATCCAAACTTCCCTTGGTCTGCAAGGCCCTAACTAATCTGGCTCCTGCCTACCTCTCCTTGGTAATTGTGCGGCAGCCTTGCTGTCCTTTTACCTGAAACATTCCAAGCCCAATTTAACCTAAAAATATTTGCATTTGTTCCGGTTGCTGCTTTCTCATTCAGGTCTCAGCTCAAACTCAGAGAAACTTTCCCTAACAAAAGTAGCACTCAGTCTCCTTCATTCATTACGTTTTGTGTGTGTGTATCTTGTGTATATATATATATATGCACACACGATATGTATACAAGATATGTCTTAAATATAGCATATAAATATATTTTATCGTACATGCTGCATATAATATATAGTATATATTATCATATATATATTTTTAACATTGTTTCTAATACTCAACCACTAGAATGTAAGTTTCATAAGAGCAGAGTTCTCTCCATTGTGTTCATTAGTGTATTCCTAATGCTTAGAAAAGGGCCTGGCCTAGAGATGGAAAGGAATGTAGGAAGGAAGGAATTTTATATGAAATTTAGGATGGGAGAACAAATTTTAAATTGCCCATGTTTCTCATCAGTACCTCCCAGGTTTCACTGATGAACAAGATTATCAAGAGATTTGAAGATCCTAGTCTGATCCATTATATTTTTCTGTCATGTCTGAACAACAGACTTTTGAAAGAATTGCTTTGGCCGGGCGTAGTGGCTCACTCCTATAATCCCACCACTTTCAGAGGCCAAGGTGGGCGGATTTCCTGAGGTCAGGAGTTCAAGACCAGCCTGGCCAACATGGTGAAACCCCGTCTCTACTAAAAATACAAAAATTAGCCGGGCATGGTGGTGGGTGCCTGTAATCCCAGCTACTTGGGAGGCTGAGGCAGGGGAATTGCTTGAACCCAGGAGATGGAAGCTGCAGTGAGCCAAGATCGTGCCGTTGCACTCCAGCCTGGGCCACACAGCAATACACCATCTCAAAAAAAAAAAAATAGCGTGATGGTATTTGAAGTAAAGATGCTCTAGGCTTTTACTTACAAGCAAATTTATTTTTTCCGCCACAGCGTCCTCCACGAGCTCTTCCACCTGTGCCAAGGTAAAAATAATTTACAGTAATTTCATTATTGAGCTTTAAAAATGGAAAATGAAGACAGTGGAAAAATTGACTAGTATCATTGCAAAATTACAATGATTCAGGAAACTCTTCTGAAAAATTTAGGGATTTTCTGAAATTTTAAAGGTGAAAAATCCTTGAATTTTAAGAATAACAGTTATAATGGAATGTTATATTTAAAAGCCTGAATATCAACATGGTAGGATAATGGATCCATTCCCTTTCTAACTGTTTTGGTGTCTTTTTTTTTTTAAATCAGAATTCTGGTCTTTTGTGAGAATAGTTTCCTCAGAGTTTAAGCTGATTTTAATCAGTCACAAGTAAGAGTTCTTAATCTGCTTAATCCATTTTATTAATAGACAGTAGGGAATATGTATATGTAGGTTCAGAAAATATTGACATTATTTTATTAGCAGTGTTATTAAACCACTTAATTATAAACAGTAAACTAGTTTGTAAACTAGCTATTATGTGAAAGCTAATTTTATTTTAAATTTGTAATGATTTAAGTCAATTTTCACTGTGAATATTAACAGGTTTCTAATTAATTGTTTCTTTTTTGTCTTTGTCCTGCTGATTAAATTTGTTTGGTGTTATATGACGTGTTAGTCAAGGTGAGTTAGTTTAATGTAAATATAATATTTGGTGTTCAAAAATTAGTTTGATTCCTTGGTTTGTTTCTCTTAAAACTGAGTCTGAATGGTGTAATTTGTAATTCTACAATATGTTTTTGTGAAATAATCTCCCATGACTACCATTTAAAAATTGTCATTGATACATAGCACTAGATGACCTTTCCATTATAAAAGCACTTCATCCCTGAATGGGGTCACCCAGCACATAACTGTTGGCTAATTTGTAGCTCTATAATGAG
Source organism: Homo sapiens (assembly GCF_000001405.40). Classification (NCBI taxonomy): domain Eukaryota; kingdom Metazoa; phylum Chordata; class Mammalia; order Primates; family Hominidae; genus Homo; species Homo sapiens. The sequence goes on along the minus strand of NC_000002.12, from coordinate 201,640,000 downwards.
GACTGCACCTTCCTTTGTCTCATTTAGTCAGGGTAGACAAGGTTATACTATACTAAAACCCCCAAATCTCAGTGACTTAGTGTCACACAGGGTTATTTCTAATTAATACAAAGTCTGCTATGGCAAAAATGGGGGACCATTACCTTTCACTACCTTTTTACTATTGATATAGCAATCTAGGCTACTTTTTTTTTTCTTTTGTTTTGAGACAGAGTCTCACTCTGTTGCCCAGGCTGGAGTGCAGTGGTGTGATCTCGGCTCACTGCAATCTCTGCCTCCTGGGTTCAAGTCATTCTCCTGCCTCAGCCTCCTGAGTAGTTGGGATTACAGGCGTGTGCCACCATGCCCAGCTACTTTTTGTATTTTCAGTAGAGACAGGGTTTTGCCATGTTGGCCAGGCTGGTGTCGAACTCCTGAGCTCAAGTGATCTGCCTGTCTTGGCCTCCCAAAGTGTTGGGATTACAGGTGTGAGCCACTGCGCCTGGTCTGCAATCTAGGCTACTTCTGTGCTGTGGTCCCACCATCTTAACATGAGGCTTCCTCAGTCACCACAACAAGGGAAGAGAAAGCTGGAAGATTACTCACTGGCTCTTTCAACGTTTGGCTCTGAAATGACACAGATCACTTCTGCTCACAGCCTATAGGCCAGAACCAGTCATAGACTACACCTATGTGCAAGGAGGCTGGGAAATATAGGGGATCAGATGAATATTTGTTGAACCCACTTTCTGTGTCATGGTTTCTAACATTACTGACATGCAGTGTGCTACTGGTACCACACTGTGGGCTCTCTCTGATCTTCTCAATTTCTTGCCTTCTTCCCCTAATCTATAAACGTTTGCCAGGCCCAGGGAAGAGAGGGAGAATTCTTCCCTGTTTAAAAGTTCTCTTCTGACTGTTCTCTGCATTGAATTTTAGGCACCCTTTTCTGTTGACGTTTTTTCTTGCTTTATAGATGATATTCCACTTAGTCGTCCTAAGAAAAAGAAGCCCAGAACAAAAAACACACCAGGTAAGACGTTATTCTTTGTTGTGTGGGATCACAAGTTTTCCCAGGACCTCAGGCGTAGTAAACATCACAGATAAGGGAGAATTAAGGCCCCAGCAGCCCCGAATCTCCACTTCATTGAGGATAGAATTAAGGCCAGTTTGAAGCAGTGGAATTCCTGGTGGTGGTGAGGTACAGGGCAGTGGGCAGCCTGAGGAGTATCTGGACGCATTCATGGAATAGAAGGTGGTGCCATCTAAGCTCCTATTTCCATGATATTCCTGGACTCTTTAAGGTCTTTTATCCCCAGACAACATACATGGTTTTAAGCTATGATTGATTCCAGACCCTTGAACAAGATACTGAATTTAGAAACACAGAGTTCTTAAATCTCACTTCAATCAGAATATCTCTACATTACAGCATGAGTCTGAAGGCATGGCCACATCATCATTTAAATAGTAAAGCTTCAGTCATGAGCAGAACTCGTTTTTGTCTTAGTCATCCACTGATAATCCTGGAAGTTGCATCCGTAACTCTAAACTCAGCACATCTAGAATCCATCGTTGCCTTTAAGAATAAATAATTTTTTTACGTCTCATGATTTTCTGTTAATGGAACCTACCATTTTCCCAGCCCTCAGGCCTGAAACCTCAAGATTATCTTTACCTGATCCTTTAACTTCACTCTTTACTTGAGACCTCTCACACTCCTAAAAGGTTTCTGTGGTTGCTGCTCCTTTTTTAAAACAAACAAACAACAACAAAAACATAAAAGGAATCATACATACTATCTTTGTTTCTTAATACATAGAGTTCTATGTATTCTTAAACAGTGACTTCATTGTATTACATGATAAGAATGTACCATAATCACTGCTCTGTTATTTATTTAGGTTATTTCCAATTTTTCACTCCAACAATGTTGCAGTTCTGCATAAAATAGTGGGTGGTAGGGAAGAAGTACTTCTGTAGGATGGATTGCTAGCAGTGGAATTGCTAGGTGCAGGATGTGTGCATTATTAGTATGACTGACTCTGCTAAATTACCTTAAGGAAGCTTTAGTTATTATCTTGCTACCTGTAGAGTCTGAGAGTGTCTCATTCTCTAAATCCTTAACAACATTGGACAATAATCAATCTTTAAAATTTTTTTGTTAATTTAGTGGGGGAAAAGTAGCTTATTTTAGTTTACATTTCTCTATGTACTACTGAGGTTAAACATTTTCATTTGTTTATTGATACATTTCTATTTTTTTTTTTTTTTTTTGAGACGGAGTCTTGCTCTGTTGCCCAGGCTGGAGTGCAATGGTGTGATCTTGGCTCCCTGCAACCTCCACCTCCTGGGTTCAAGCGATTCTCCTGCCTCGGCCTCCTTGAGTAGCTGGGACTACAGGCGCATGCCACTACACCCGGCTAATTTTTGTATTTTTAGTAGAGAGGGAGTTTTGCCATGTTGGTCAGGCTGGTTTCGAACTCTTGACCTCATGTGATCCGCCTGCTTTGGCCTCCCAAAGTGCTGGGATTCCAGGCATGAGCCACTGCACCCAGTGCAATTTCTATTTCTTTTGTGAAGAAGACAAGCAAGGAAGGGAATGCAGTCAGGTATGTGTTAAAATTCTTTTAAAAGATTTCATGAGGGAAGAAGTTGAAGTGAATGACCAAATGAAGAGACTTATAAATTACCTGCTAACTCCAATTATCCATGATGACTTTATTATTCTTTAACTTATTAATGAAGGACTTTACTATATAGAGGCTGATGAAAATTCTTAAGGCAAGAGGCAAGTAAGAGAATTCTCTATGGTATCAGTTTTTATTATGTTTTCCACCTTTTTCAAAGTTCTAAATGTTCTGAAGCAATTTCTCCTCCTCCTGTCTTTTGCTCTTCTTTTTAGCCCCCTCGTTTTTTCTTCCTCAGCCTTTCTTATTCCTTCATTTATTTCTTTTCCTAACTTAAAGCCCAAAGTTACAGGTGAGGAGGAAGGAAAGATTTGGGGGATAATTAGTTCTGAAAGAGATGGGGTTATTCTATAGGAAACATTCTAGTTACCTTTTCCTCCATCTTTTTAAGATTCAGTGATCTTTGCTCAAGTAATCTCATTTTTTTCTACTCTGTTTTTCTATAGCAAGTGCTTCTTTGGAAGGCCTTGCTCAGACTGCTGGTCGAAGGCCCTCTGAGGGCAATGAGCCATCAACTAAAGAACTCAAAGAGCACCCAGAGGCTCCTGTTCAAAGAAGACAGAAAAAGACAAGGCTACCTCTTGGTATGTGAAGAAACCAAGGTTAAGTTGTGATAGCACTTGTGATTTTGATGACATGATAAAAACCTCTCTGCTTTCATTTCTTTCCCCCTATCCATATCCCACAGGTGGTTTCTTGCTTTTATGTTTAAAATATTTACCACTAGAATAACTCCAATGGCTTAAGCCAAGAATACTTTACAGGTCTCTTTTGATCATATATGTATAGATTATGAGAGGAGGGCAACAAATACAGGACTAAACAGAAAGTTCAGATCTCAGTGCATAGAAAAATCTAGTAAATGATGAAATGGACATTTCAGATTAGTGGGGAAATGGTAGATTCTGTACTAACAATAATATAGTGAAACAACAGCTAACATTTGTTTAGTCTTTCTATGTCCCAGGCAGTTCACAAGGTAAATAAAATACTATACCATTTTTTGGCCTATCAAATTGGCAATGCTTTTTTCAAATTATAAAATCCAATATTGATGGGAAATGGGTGCACTCATGCTTTGCTCATAGGAGCATAGATACAGCCTGTCTGGATTTCTGGGAATAGTAGTAAATTCAATAGCTGCAGTAATTAAAGGATGTTAACTGCAGCGTTATTTATAAGAGTAGAAATTGGTAATGACCCAGATATTTAACGGTGTGATACTGGCTAAATAAATCATACTTCATCCATAAATAGGAACCAGGTACCCATTAAAAGGATTGTTAGGGTGACACAGATAATCATCAGTTGTGTATTATTAAATCAAAGAACAAAGGTTATAAAATAGTATGTATTGGAGGATCCCATTTTTGTAAAATATACTATGTTAATTTCTTAGGGTTGCCATAACAAATTACCACAAACTGTGTGACTTCAAACAACAGTTTATTTTTTCATAGTTCTTAGGTGAGAAGTCCAAAATCAAGTTGTCTGCAGGACTATGCTCCCTCTGAAGTCTCTAGAAAAGAATCCTTCCTTGTTTCTTCGAGCCTCTTTTTTTTTTTTTTTAAGATGGAGTTTCACTCTTATAGCCCAGGCTGGAGTGCAATGGTGCGATCTCAGCTCACTGGAACTTCTGCCTCCCGGGTACAAGCGATTCTCCTGCCTCGGCCTCCTGAGTAGCTGGGATTACAGGCATTTGCCATGATGCTCGGCTAATTTTGTATTTTTTAGTAGAGACAGGGTTTTGCCATGTTGGCCAGGCTTGTCTTGAACTCCTGACCTCAGGTGATCCGCCCACCTCGGCCTCCCAAAGTGCTGGGATTACAGGTGTGAGCCACCGCGCCTGGCCATTTCTTCTAGCTTCTTATGGTTGTTGACAGTCCTTGGCATTGTTTGACTTGTGGTGGCATAATGCCAATCTCTGCTTCCATCTTCACATTTTTCCTTGTGTGTCTGTGTCCACATTTCCCTCTTATAAGGATATCAGTTGTTGGATTTAGGGCCCATTCCAATCTAGCATGACCTCATCTTAACTTGATTTCATCTGCAAAGACTCTTGTTTCCAAATAAGGTTACACTCACAGGTATTATGAGTTAGGACTTGAACATATCTCTTTTTGGAGCACAGTTCAACCCAGAACGTAAATATGTACATACATCTACATAGTAAAAAGAATGGAAGAATATAGCAGTGTTACAGTGGTAGAAGTTTTAGAAGGAGGAAGTATGATTTTTAAAATTTTCTTCCTTCATTTATTTTACTAATTTTTTATATTTTGAGCATTATGACTTTTATAATAATTAGAAAAATGACAAAGAGTTGTATTGGAGCAAAACTCAGGGAAGGAACAAAGATGGGGAGATTAGTGCTCTCCTATTAACATCAGCCCTTATTAATAATTTATTATAATTTTCCTAATTACTTGTCCTTCTAGAAAACGGCGTGTCTTGATTGGATGGAAGAATTATAGGAGTAGAAGGGCAGGAACTAGAAAAGTCAGGAGAATGGAGCATAATTTTGGAAGGCAAGTTGAAGTGGGATGCCACAGTGCCTGGGGGCACTGAGGGTCTATGAGAACGAAGGGGCGGATGATGGCAGAAGAAGGAAAAGAGACAGAAATGGTGCTCAGACTAGCTTTAACTACTCTACAGTTTATTTCATTAGTGGCAGTAAATGTAGTTTCATTAAAAGTGCCCTTTTAGTAATTTAGTTAAGATACAAGTTTAAAAATCAAGATGGATACCAATACCTAGTTTTATAATTTGTGAAAAGTGTGTTTACAGAAATGACTTTTTTAGAAAATTCAGGACCCAACTAAGTTTTGAATCAAAAAGGACCTGTCATTGCCATTCCAAAGTACACCAAGCCTGGCAGGTTCACCTTTCTAAGTTTCTGGATTTAAAAATTGTGTTTTTATTTATTTTGTTCAGGATGACCAATGGTAGGCTCTACTGCTTGCATTATATTTCCAGTCGAGGCTGTAAGTATTTTATTACAATAGAATTGTAAGGTCTTGAAGGTATTCCAGGGAGCTAGTATTTCCAGGTAGGAAGAGTAGCTAGTGGATTAGAAGAAGGCTTCACTGACTCATTTAAACTTAATACCTACCCTGTGTGCAGAAAAGAGTTAATATAGCAGACCTGAGACTGCTATCCTTGGAAAAGCCTGCTGATAAGATTGGCCGTTAGCTGGCATCTGGGAACTTGGATGATAAACAGCTCCCTACACTGATAGAAAACTTTCCCTAAATTATAAGGTGACTCACGGTGCATTTGTGCACACATAGTGATTTTTGCTGAACATCTGTTTCCCTTCCGGGCATCCAGAATTTTGGTATGTGCTAGGCTTATGTGACTAGCCCCTAACCTTGGGCACTGTCTCTGATGAGCTTCTTTTGTACAACATGTGTCACATGTGTTGTCACAACTCATTACTCTCCAGTAATGTTAGTACATCCTATTTGACTCCACTGATAGAGGACTCTTGGAAGCTTGTACTTGGTTTCCTCTGGACTTGGTCCATGTACTTTTTCCTTTTGCTGATTTTGCTTTATATCCATTTGCTGTAGTAAACCATAATTGTGAGTGTGATGATTTCCAAGTCCTGTGAGCCCTTCTAGAAAGTCAGCGAACCAGGAGATAATCTTGGGAATCTTCAGCACAGCCTGGGTATTGGGTTACTTAATTTTTTTCCATATTGTTTGGCATTACAATTTCAATTTTTACATTGAGAGTTTAGAAGTATAACATTTTTAAAAAATTAAAAATTTGTAAGATAGTGAAAACATTTTTGCCCAATTAAAATTCTTGAAGTTCTTTTCTCTTATACAAGTCTTGTACATTACTTTTCTTTTTATGTTTTAGTTATTTGAAAAGTTAAATTTATTTTGTTTTCAGAATTGGAGACTTCCTCCACCCAAAAGAAGTCATCTAGTTCATCTTTATTACGAAATGAAAATGGTATTGATGCGGAGCCAGCTGAGGAGGCAGTTATTCAAAAACCTCGGAGGAAGACAAAGTAGGAATTTATTTATTCTTCTAACTATTCTCCAGGATTACCCTGATGCTTTGTTTGGAGCTCCGAAGCAGTAGCTTCTCATTAAGTCTTATTACATACTTGTATTTGTGTACCTCTAGGATAAGTATTATTACAAAAAATCAGTTAAACCAATCGAATGATAAATTTCAGAAGAGTAAACCACTGAGAAAATAAAAAAAATTAAGATTGTACTTAAATAAAAAAACTTAAGAGCCATCTCTAAAAAAGAAGAACACAAATAGAATATATAAGTAGCAAAATTAAACATTAAGGATATTTAAAAATTAAAGATAATGAAATAGGCTATTGTGATTTATTTTCTTATGTTAACAGAATTCAAATTATGATTATTTTAGGAATAAGTAAAACTGGGTTTTAGCATTAAGATAAAATGAGTAGTGTACTTTAAAGAAATAACACTGGAAGTCATATATATAGCACTATTATTTGTATTTGAAAATGAACCTACAAATAGTGATCAATGTCTGTGTTAGTCCGTTCTCACACTACTAATAAAGACATACCCGAGACTGGATAATTTATAAAGGAAAGAGGTTTAATTGACTCACAGTTCAGCATGACTTGGGGGTGCCTCAGGAAACTTACTATCATGGTGGAAGGTGAAGCAAACACACCCTTCTTCACAGGGCAGCAGGAAGGAGAAGAATTAGAGCTGAGTGAAGGGGGAAGCCCCTTACAAAACGATCAGATCTCCTGAGAACTCACTATCACCAGAACAGTCCCTTGACAGGTGGGGATTATTACAATTCAAGATGAGATTTTGGGTGGGGACATAGCCAAACCTTATCAGTATCTATACAGAATCATACAGTTTTAAATTTGGAAAGAAGCTTACAGATCTAGTTCAGTCACTTCAATTTTCAAATGAGAAAACTGAAGCCCTCAGAAATGTAAGTAACTTGCTGCACATAATAGTTAATAACCGATTTATTTGAGTAAAAACCACATTTCTTAACTCCAAGTCCAGGGCCCTTTCCATTATATTTATAGCTAGTTCCTTATGTAAGTCTGTAAAAAATTCAATAATCATCTATTTTTCATACATACGTCCTTATTACAGGAAAACCCAGCCAGCAGAATTACAGTATGCCAATGAGCTAGGAGTAGAAGATGAAGACATAATCACTGATGAGCAAACTACTGTGGAACAGCAGTCTGTATTCACTGCACCCACTGGCATTAGCCAGCCTGTAGGCAAAGTATTTGTGGAAAAAAGCCGTAAGTAGATGCCTTGTTTTAGAATATGAACTCTTTAAAAATTGTCCAAGGATATCCTTTATACTTCTGGAAATCTGAATTAAGGAATTAAGCAAAACTGTGTACAACAATTTATACACAAAACTGGTCATCATGCTATGATTCATGAGAGTGAAAAACTGGAAACAACCTAAATGTGAAATAGGAGAGGAATAATGTCAGTAAGTTGTGGTGTATCTATATAATAATGTTCTTCACCATTAAACATAATGTTTAGGGAGAATTTTTCATTTTATGGAAAGATTCTGATAAAAAATGAGCATATACACATGTGCACACACACACACACAGTTTGATCTATGCATAGGACAAAAGACTTGAAGGAAATAGGCTCAAATATTAATGCTGGTTGTTTCTGGATTTATGGGGTTATGGGCAATGTAAAGATCTTCCCCACCCCTGCCTGATTCTTTATTCTTTCTTGTACTTTACCAGTTTGCTGCAATTGGTAGTAGTTGTGGTGGGACAGATAATAATATAAATTCTACAATTGACAATAAGAGAAAATACATGATGATACTACCATATTAAATAAGAAATACAACATTATAGCTGTATATTCTTTTGCAAGATAGTTGTGACATTGTATAATGTATACTAGGTTTGCAGTGTATTTTAGCTCAGGCTGCTATAACAAAATACCACCGACTAAGTGGCTTAAACCACGGACATTTATTTCTCATAGTTCCTAAAGCTAGGAAGTGCAAGACAAGGTTCCAGCAGATTAGGTTACTGGAGAAGGCCCCTTCCTGGCTTGCCGACAGCTGCCACTGTGTCGTCATGTGGCAGAGAGAGCTCTGGTGTGTCTTCTTCTTCTTAAAAGGATTATAATCTCATCATGGGAGCTTTATCCTCATGACTTCATCGAAATCTAATTACCTCCCAGTGACCTCGCACTCACTGGGGGGTTAGGGCTTCAACATATGAATTTTTGGGGGACGCATTCCGTCTATAACACAGTGTTTAAGAAAAACCTACTCAAAGCATGATCATGACTATATACTACCATGGATATGTTAAGCATATGCTGCCTAAAGAACTCATCTGAAACATAAAGGTTAGTCCTTAAAATTTACAATTTAGATTTTGTGTACCTTGTTTTAGAACCCTACTTCAGAAGATCCCATTTAAGGGATCTTGCAGTTCTTGGCCAATAAGAAACCTGTGGTCTAGAGAGGCTGACTTACCCAGTGTCTCACAGTTTGGTTAGGGTGGAACTGGGACTTGAACTGTGGTTTTATGACTTCTAGTCACATGGTTTTATTCATCTACCACGTGGTCATTTAAATTACCGCAGTTCTTTTTCAAGCAGTATCACTTAATCCTCATTTTTATTCTTGCTTCACTTAGCATAGAAATTTCCCTGCTAGAGTAACTGGCCATAAAAGGTACCAGTGGTTCTATTGTCTGCCCAGAAGTTGTCTTTTCTTAGGGAAAATTGTCACACCCCTGTCTTTCATCCTCCAAAACACCTGCGAACTGGGTTTGGTGAGGATAATTGAAATGGAACCTTTCCTGTTTCCTGAGGTCTATTTGTGGATTACTAGATATACAAGAAGGAGCCTCTGAATCAACAGTAAAAAGGCTAAAGCCCTGCTCATACAATATTGCAGTGCTGACTTTTGAACTGATGTTCTTCACAGGAATGTTCTAAAGAGAAATTTATGAAGCAGCCTATTTCTTTCCTGTCATCCCAGAAAGCCATGCTACACATCCTGACATCTTTTCCTAAGAAATTTAAAGTAGTTTTCAAATATTGACTTACCTTGATAGTATAGGCATATAAACTTTAATACTTCTAAAGTCTCTAAATTAGAATTTTGTAGACTAGGTCATGTTAAAGATTTCTAGACTTTATTCTGAGTTGAAAGTTCATTTTTTTTTATTAAATATAATTGATTTCTGAAATTGTTACTTCACTTTGGATTGAGAAGAAAATACACTGACATCGCTTATTTTTCTTCAAGATGAAAAATTATGTTTAAGGAACCCCAAGAAAAGATCCTTCTGAAATAGGTACTGAGTCAAGGAGAATTTTCAGATAGAACAGCAATATTTCAGTCTTAGTTTGCGGCTTCCTGAGTATGGAATTTAAAAAAAAAAATGGCTACCAGGGTTCTCTCTCGCTAGTTGTTAGTAATTACGTTATGTGTTCTTAGGGAGATTCCAGGCTGCTGATCGTTCAGAGTTGATAAAGACCACAGAAAACATAGATGTGTCAATGGACGTGAAGCCTTCCTGGACCACCAGAGATGTGGCACTTACAGTGCACCGGGCTTTCAGGTGGCTGCTTTTGTTGGACTTTTCTTAAAATAAATGTTAACTGAGTTCTGTAATTAAAGAAAAAAATAACCTCTTGGTTGTTCAGTATTATTAATGAAATCACAACTTAAAATGGTAGGTAGGTATATTTTTTAAACATCCTATTGGAATTGAGTGATCTACCTATCAGTGTAACTAAAAAGAAAGAGCTTGCTTTTACTTGTCATGAAATGTTGAATTTTATTCTTGTATATGAAGAGATTTTAAACATGTTTTAGCTTTTTACTTTAGTAATTCATGTATAATAATCAAACCCTTTTCCATTCAGGATGATTGGTCTCTTTTCTCATGGATTCTTGGCTGGCTGTGCTGTGTGGAATATTGTTGTGATATATGTTCTAGCAGGAGATCAGCTATCCAACCTCTCAAACCTTCTGCAACAATACAAGACCCTAGCGTATCCATTCCAGAGTCTTCTGTACTTGCTTTTGGCTCTGAGTACAATTTCAGCTTTTGACAGGTAATGCCTATGACTCCAGATCTGTCTAACTTCTTCAGGAGGAAATGCTGAGCAAAATGTGTCACTGACCATGATAGTTTTCAAAATAGAATTATAGAGTATCAATGTTACTTCAAAAAGTTTTAAGGCCAGTCTACTTCTGTTCTTTTTTGAGGGGATGAGACCATTGTAAACAAAATATTCCCAAAAGACTTCACCCATTCCAGCATCAATTCATAAGTCCAAAATTTCATCCAAATATAGTCAACTCAGAAGTTCCTAAATGTCATCTAAATCAGGTATAGGTGAAACTCAGAGCATTTGTATTTGTCTCCTAGCACTGCTGTAACAAAGTACCACACACTGGCTGGCTGAAAACAGCACATTTATTCTCTTATGGGTCTGGAGGCGAGCAGTCTGCAATCAGGATGTGGCCAGGGTTGATTCCTTTTTCCAGGGCTCTGAGGGAGAGTCTGTTTCATGACCTTCCCCTCACTTCAGTGGTTGCTGACAGTCCTTGGCATTCCTTGGCTGTAGATGCATCATTCCAATATTTGCCTCTATCGTCATGCAGCACTTTCCCCCTGTGTATCTCTGTATCTGTGTCTATTCTAATAAGGACAGCAGTCATACTGGATTAGGGTTCATCCTAATGACCTTATCTTATCTTTATTACATCTGCAAAGACCCTGCTTCCAAATAAGGTCACATTCATAAGTACTCCAGGTTAGGAGTTCAACATATCTTTTTGGGAACACAATTTAGCCCCTTTTAAAAAAAATCCACCGAGTTAGAGCCCAATGATATGGGTAATAGAAAGAGGTAGAAACTAATGAAATTTTATAGATCAAGTTTAATTTTCTTTAGGATGTTTTAACCCCAAAGGAATGTTGTCCAAAGTAGTCTAGTTAGATGTTTTATGTGGCCTTTGTAAATTAGATAATTTTGTCATGCGTGTTAAGTATACACTGTAGCTACTTAAAACCTAGTAATAGTATATGTGCTAGCATTAGACTAGAGAAGGAAAAAACTATAGTCAAGAAAGTAAAGTTTTGTTAAGTTTACAACTGCGCTGTGACAAGAAACTTTTATATTTTCTAGGATTGACTTTGCTAAAATATCAGTAGCAATCCGAAATTTTTTGGCCCTGGATCCTACAGCTTTAGCATCTTTCTGTGAGTAAGCAGTTTAACATGATAACTGTGTAATACTTCAGTTATACCATAATTTTGAACCAGGATAAATATAATTTTTTTTAAAAGTTGTATTACTGCTCCTTATAAACATTACCTATAGATGTTCAGTGAATTTGTAATTAGAAACATAAAAGGCATAATATTGATAGAATTATTTTTTCAATTGAGGTTCATCTAAATAACTTTGAAAAGCTTAATTTATTGTACTATATTACTTACTTTTTAACTTTTGTATTTTCTACTTGACATTAAACAGATTCAGCGGGTATGGCCTTTTAATAACAAACAATATTTTATATCTTTCTGATCATTTGGAATGCATTTTGTTCTAAGTTTTGAGAATATTAATAAAACTAGTTTTAGGACCTTGAGCAAGTCATTTAACTTTTAAAAAGATGTTCTAGGTTCTTGTCAGTTCTAATGATGAAATAGTGAACGTCTCAAAAGATCCTTCTGCACCTATTGTTCTCAAAAATTTATATAAGGATGTCTGGCCTATTGAAATATATTTATTTGGTCAAATAAATTTCTTTTATATCATCAGTCATGAAAGTATAGATTATTTTCGATATTAATCTATAAATTCAAAATAAACCAGGTTGTTAAAAATTATTAGTAATTTCATTTGTCTTTTTCTCAGTGTACTTTACTGCTCTTATACTATCTCTGAGTCAGCAAATGACAAGTGACAGAATCCACCTTTACACACCTTCTTCTGTTAATGGTAGCCTCTGGTAAGAATTCACAATGACATTAGCAATTGTTAATGGCAATAACAGCAACTTTTCTTATCCTTCCATTCTTTTTCAACTGCAAATAATGAAGGCTCTGTTTTTGTTTCCAAATATATGGCAAGAAAATACTTATTCCTTTGGTTAATGGGTAACTATTGTTATGTCCACCTGCATTTTTAATGAAATATCTTCCTTTTAAAAATCTGTTTTAGATCTTCAAGTTATAGTTTTTTTTTTTTTCGAGATAGAGTCTCGCTGTGTCACCCATGCTGGAGTGCAATGGCACTATCTCGGCTCACTGCAGCCACCGCCTCCTGGGTTCAAGCGATTCTGCAGTCTTAGCCTCCTGAGTAGCTGGGATTACAGGCACCCGCCATCATGCCTGGCTAATTTTTGTATTTTTGTAGAAATGGGCTTCACCATGTTGGCCAGGCTGGTCTTGAACTTCTGACCTCAGGTGATCCACCCGCCTTGGCCTCCCATATTGTTGGGATTATAGGCATGAGCCACTGCGCCCAGCCAAGTTATAGTTCTAAAATAAGTCATCATATGATGGACGGAAGGAGCCCTGCATTCTTACCCCCTGTCAGGGAGTTTCATATCCCAGAACAGTGATGGGAGTGAGTAGCTGGGATAGATTCAGAAAACCAAGCAATGCTAGAAAGAGCGGAACAGGGAGAGCCAACATCTGCAGATCAGCGGCCAGCCATGAAGCTGACAGGATGGCTGAGATTATAGTTCATAAAACTTAGAGAAGCAGTCTTTTTTTTTTTTTTTTTTTTTTTTCCCCAAATGCTGCACGTAGCATCCAAAAGTAGTCTTTTTTGAGAGAGTGGCTAGGGACATTAGGTAAAGAGAAAGCAAAGATACTTTATTGAGGATTAATGTCATGGTAGTTGGAAGGAAAACTTTTAGAGAATTTTCTTGGGAATACTAACTTTGCATTTATATGAATGTATACAGCAGATCTGTTCAGAGTTTAAATAACCTTTGAACCCTTGTTCTCATTATATATGTGGTATATTTTACAGGGAAATTATATTTTCTTTCACACTTTACTTGTTATTTCTCTAGGAGAGGACTGCTGTTTTTTCTTAAAGTTCATAAAATAGATATATTTGTGTATATGAACCAAACTGAAGGCACTTCTAATGAGTGTTTCTACATTTTTAGGGAAGCAGGAATTGAGGAACAGATTCTCCAGCCATGGATTGTGGTGAATCTCGTGGTGGCTCTTCTGGTTGGATTATCTTGGCTATTTTTGTCTTATAGGCCAGGCATGGATCTTAGTGAAGGTATTAAAGAAAAAAAATAGCATAAGAATATCCTGAAATCTTCTATAATGGTTTTATAAACCTCCTTTTAATAGGTATAGCTTATAATATTCCAATAACAAAGACACATTTAAATTAAAATGATACAAGAAGAGAGAAAATAAAGTGGTGTAACAGAATGCCAAGAGAAGCAGGGAGGAGTGTCTAGGAGGGCTTGAGTCTGGAACTACTTAATGAGGGGCTTCTGTGGCCCTTGTGCATTTTCAGGAGGTATTTCTTCTCTTGGAACCCTTCAAGTAATGTAGAAAAAGTCTTTGCTCTTCACTTCTCTTAGTCTCCTGCTGATGAATTTTGAAATAAATCATGCTTTGTCTACATAGCCTCTCTGTCGGACACATACTCAAGTCAATTATTCTTCCTTCTCTATTTGGTACAAATTCTTAACCGTTCATTGGCTAACAGTGTTTAGTACTCTTTTAACATGCTCAGTGTGCAGTGATTCACTCATCTCTAGTCCCCAGACCCCTTTTGGAACACCTGAAGAAGAATCATCATATTAGCAAACTGCTAACCTTTTATGCTGCTTGAGGAACTGTTTAGTATTTGTATTGTAAATTGTGTTTCCTTGGCCAATGTTCAACAGTTTTACCCTTGAATATCTTTTTTTTTTTATTTTTTATTTTTGGAGATGGAGTCTCGCTGTGTCGCCCAGGTCAGAGTACAGTGGCTCGATCTGGGCTCACTGCAAGCTCCGCCTCCCGGGTTCATGTCATTCTCCTGCCTCAGCCTCCCGAGTAGCTGGAACTACAGGCGCCCGCCACCACGCCCGGCTAATTTTTTGTATTTTTAATAGAGACAGGGTTTCACCATGTTAGCCAGGACAGTCTCAATCTCCTGACCTCGTGATCCGCCCGCCTCGGCCTCCCAAAGTGCTGGGATTAAGGCGTGAGCCACCGCGCCTGGCCAAACATCTTTTATGGATATTTTCTGGGTCTTGGTTATTATTTTATTTTTTATTTGACCAACTATTTACAACCTATCTGCCTCAGAAGCCTTAGCATGCAGAATTTCGCCAACATCTATGCTAAGTAATAGTTTAAATGTAGAAAATGTCAGCTAATAACATTCTACATTGTGGCTGGGATCAAAACTGCATCTGGATTGTGCAGTATTCAGTCTAAATATTTCCAGAATCCTGTTCTTTTAAGGCCATGTTAGTCATACAACATGTGGATTTAAAAAGTAAGTATAAAATGAGATGATAATACCTGGCTTCTTGCGTTGTTTTGATGATTAAATGGGATGACCCATTTAAAATATCCTGGCACACATCTCTTGTTAGTTCCAAGTCCTTCCTCTGTATCTGTCCCCTATGTTTCAGATGATCTGATCACTGTAGAATTAGACATTTTAGCTGTTTAATGATCTTTGATTCTCTAAGTGACTTAAATTTCCAGGTAGGATTGTGTATATTGTCTCTATTACATTTTACTTTTAAGGGGTCTATAATTTAAAATTTAAATATTTTAAAATGTAAAACTTGTACATTTGTTATCAGCTTACCTTTTAAATCATATTTCACTGTCAAGAAATCTTACTTGAGGGCTTTCTATTAGTATATATTATGTCAATTTTTTAAAGGACTATTTATAAATAAGCTATACAACTCTGTTGGAGGTACTGGGAAACAATTTTAAGTATGATCTGTTCATTTTCTTCTCCAGAGTTAATGTTCTCCTCAGAGGTGGAAGAATATCCTGATAAAGAGAAAGAAATCAAAGCCTCTTCATAATACCAGCTCACCTTTGGAGGAATAATGACCCAGTATTTGTCCCATTTTTGTTTTTAAATGTATTTTTATAAGATGTATACATGTGTATTTGTAATAGATTTTTTGATTATATAATACTGAAACATCTCTCAATATTATGAAAAATGTTAAAATTGTGTTTGCTGTTTATGTCTAAACATTAATTTGTCTAGCATTATCATCTTAATGACAAAGGGAATAATGAACTAGAAACCAGCAAGTGAAAGTGTTTATTTCCTATTTTCTCAAAACAGTTGTATTTATAACTATTACCTTAAAAAGCACTGGTTTAGAAAAAGCCATAACTTAAATAGTGTTATAAAATATATATCAGGTTTAAACATAAATTTAGCGAATATGGTAGAAGGGAAAAAAGCCTTCATTTTTGACCTCCCCTTACTGAATAAATTGAAATATGAAGTTTGTCTTTTCTGAAACTGGCTTAGTGATTGAGTATCATGTAATAATTATAATATAATTTAGCTTGAAAGATGCTCTACATTATGACCAATAAAAAGGGAATGTATGTTTTGTTTGAAAAATTATATAACCTAAATTTTTTACCTAGAAGTAACTAAAAAGTTGCTTCTCATTATAATCTGTACTAGTGGTTCTCATATCTGGTTGTACATCAGGATCATAGAGGGAGATTTTAAAAATCTATGTAGCAAAAGAGGCTGAGCAGGGCAAGGCTCAGGGGAATAAAGGAGAGACCTGTGAGCTTGTGGGCTCCCAGTTGACATCTGCAGTACCCTTTCCTCTGTCCCTTTTTTCTGAGTGACAAGAAATAGGAGTAGAAATTCACCATCTCTGTTCTCCAGCTCTTTGTCAGAGAGGTTTCTGGTTTTCCAGGAAATCCCCCTCTTGAGATGGGTCCTGCACTGGGAAAGATCTCTTCAGAACTATATCCAATGGTACCTCAGCTGTTGTATATGAGACCCTAAAGCTCAAGTTGAGGAGAAGACTAGCTATGGGAAAAAATGTTTCAAAGGCTGTTGAGCACATCAATAAAACTATTGAGCCTGCCCTGATTAGCAAGCACCTGAATGTTATAGAACAGAAGAGGATTGACAAATTGATGATAGAGACAGTTGACCCTGACAATAGGTCTAAATTTGGAGTGAACATTATACTGGGAATCTCTTTTGCTGTTTGTAAGGCTGGAGCTGCCGAAAAGGGATTCTCCCTGCTGTCACAGAATTGTGAATTTGCTGGCAATTCTGAAGGCATCCTGCTAGTTCCAGCTTTCACTGTGACCAGCAATGGTTCTCAATCTGGCAATAAGCTGGCAGTATAGGAGTTCATAATCTTCCCCGTCAGCAAACTTCAGGGAAGCCATGCTCGTTAGAGCCAAGGCTTAGCACACTTGAGCCGTGTCATCAAAGAGAAATGTGAGAAAGCTGCTGCCAATGTGGGGGATTGTGGTAGGCTGCATAATGTCTCCTAAAGATGTCCATGTCCTAATCCCTGGAACTTGTGAATATACTACTTTACTTGGCCAAAGGGATTTGCAGATATGATTAAGGTTATGAACCTTAAAACGGGGACATTATCCTGTATTATCCAGAAGGGTCCAGTGTAATCTTATGAGTCCTTAAAAGCAGAGAAGAAAGCCTTTTATGTCTGTGGTCAGAGAGGTCAGAAGTTATGATATTGCTGGCTTTGAAGATGGAAGAGGGGGCCATGAGCCAAGGAGAGTGATGACCTTGCAGCTGAGTACGGCCCTTGGCCAACAATGAGCAAGGAAATGGATTTCAGTCACATAACCACAAGGAACTGAGTTCTATGAGTATCCCAAATGAGCAAGGAAACAAATCCTCCCCTAGAGCCAAGAAAGGAAGGCAGCTCTGTGGATACCTTGGTTTTGGCCTGGTGCTGCCCATGTCATACTTTTGACATACAGAACTGTAAGATAGCAAGTGTATGTTGACTAAGCTGCTAAATTGGTGGTGATTGCTTATGGCAGCAATAGAAAGCTATATATCCTAGAGAATAAAGAAGGCTAGAGCTGCTGTGGAATGCACTTGGGAAAGCTGGCTACATTGATAATATGTAACTGCCATGGGCATAGTTGCCTTTGTATTCTTCCAGGTCTGGGAAGTACAACTTAGACTTCAGATCTCGTAATGACCCAGGAGGCATATAAACCTGAGCAGCTAGTGGCCCTGTACAAGTCCTTCATCAGGGAAAAACATTGAGTATTCCCTGATTAAGGACTTGTACAGAGGACTCTGTTTTCCCTGGTGTTTCTGGTGTGTCTCAAAAATTGTTTGACTGTGATGACAGGGAAGTTTGGAAGAAGTTCACTGCTAATGCATGTCTCCAGGAAGCAGGGAATGATCTCACAGTGACACTTGAGGCACATTGCTGAGGCCGTCGATGAGAATTCATGTAACTTTCTCCAGCTTACAGTGGACTAGATTGACATGCAAGCTGATCCAGTCCAATTGGTAGGGCATCATGGTTTCTCATTACTCACTGACTTAAAATACTTTTATTGCCATCCTGGTGAAGCACTGCACTGGGTAGATAACACAGGGGCACCTTGCTGATCAGAGCCCTTGGCCAGGTACAAAGAGCTCAGTTTCTAAAACTCTGTCATTTCAATAATGTTATAAATTGAATCATACAGTATGTAATTTTATGGGATTCGCTTTTTTTCTGTTGATCTCTTTTTTTCTGAGTCATCTCAGCTGTTGTGTGTATCAATAGTTCATTTCCTTTTACTGTTTTGTTTGGTTTAACTCATTGACCTATTGAAGGATATCTGGGCTCATTCCAGTCTGTGAATAATGCTGCTGTGGACATTCATGTGCAAGTTTTTGTGTGAACATTAAGTTTTCATTTCTTTAAGATAAATGCCCAGGAGTGAAACTGATGGGTTGTATGTAGTTACAAACTGCCAAGCTGTTTTCCAGAGTTGGCGGTACCATTCTAATTTCCCATGACAATTTTTTGAAGAGTCCAAGCTAGTTGCTTTAGAGTGCCTCACCTACATTTTTTAATTGTCTGACTTTTTCCTAATGACATCACTTAATTTGTTCCTCAATCTCCTGAATTTCCTATAGACTGGAGGTTAGGTCTGGTGGTTTGATTAGATTTTTTAAAAAAATATGACTTCATCTGTGATGCTGTGTACTTTATGTTGCATAACATGAACCCTAAGAACAGAGTGAGCTGCTGGACAGCAAGTTTCATGGGGTGCAGTAATTAACACACCACATAGTATAAATCTGAAATAATGACAAATGTGTTAAGGGCCTTGGGATATTGGGCCATGTACTCTGAGGAGCACAAGGTGAGGTGCAGGTTCCTGCCCCTAAAGAACTCTATCTTTTGAGATTAGCAACTAACAGTGTGAGCCCACTAATAGGATGTGAAAGTTGTCAAAATCAAGTTCTGGTCATTGTGTTAAAAATCCTAACAAATAGAGCTGGGGAAGGCCGTGAAAGGACGATTTTCATGCACAGATGTCTGATAATGAGGACTATCATTAAAAGACTGCACAAAACCACACCTTGCACAAAGGCCATCACAACCTGACACACACAAAAAATACTTCTATGAGGACATTTGCCCAGCAACTCCCTGTCCAATGTCCAACTGGCAACATCCTTGTTATTGATCCTTGTAGCCAAGGATAATTCTCTCAAAACAATCATTTTTGCTTTAAAAACCGTTGTCTTCCTTGACCTCCCTGTATATGCACATAGTTTACTGTGGCACTTGTATTCTTATTGCAATGCCTACTCCTGAATAAACATCATTTTCTTTCAGAGAGTCTCCCTCTCTGTTATTTAGGCTGACAAGGATATGCCAAGAAGTAGCTTGGATATAGCAGTTAACTCTGCCTTTAGGATATGTGTATGGGGATATAAGAGTTAACTAAAAGCTGACCTTTGAGTTGGTCCTTGAATAAAAGAAGAATAGATTCCAAAAATAAGAGGAATAAATAATGATCCTGAGCTAGGAGAGTACATTTTGCAGACCTTTGGTTTCCATATTAAGAAATTCAGATTTTTATGTACAATAAAGAAGTTCTGGAATTCTCTGGTTTTGTTCTGTTTGCATTTATTTATATTTTTAACTTTTAGGTTCAAGGGTACATGTGCAGGTTTGTTATATAGGTAAATTTTGTGTCATGGGGGTGTACAGATTATTTCATCACCCAGGTAATAAGCCTAGTGCCCAAAAGGTAGTTTTTGATCCTCTCCCGCCTCCCACCCTTCGCCGTCAAGTAGGCCCCAGTGTCTGTTGCTCCCCTCTTTGTGTCCATGTGTTCTCATTGTTTAGCTCGCATTTATAAGTGAGAACGTGGTATTTGGTTTTCTGTTCCTGTGTTAGTCTGCTTAGGATAATGGCCTTCAGCTCCATTCGTTACTGCAAAGGACTAATACGGGGGCAGTGAAAGGGATGGATGACAGCAGGTTGGCAGACCCATGAGTAAATCATTGCAATTGTCTCGTGTGTGTGTTGTCCCAAATTAGGTGCCATAAAGGGAAAAGGTAAGTAAGATTCAGATATTTAGGGTCAGAATTTTAAAATGTGTCTGAATGTTTAAGATTTTGTGGATATGACATTGCTGCACCAAATGAGTTTGGAACCTACTAGAGGTTTAAGAGGGAAGATGAATATTAACGTGTTATGTGTCTGTGGAACAATTGGGTAAAGATGTCAAAGTAGACTGTTGGATATTTAACGTCTGGAGCTCACGGGACAGTGTAGAGGAAGTAATGACTGACACTGTAAATCTTCTAGAAAGAAATGGTGCAGGGAGAAAAGGACTCGTGAGGGCTACAGGGCGGACAAGACAGTGAACTAAAGTGGTTGGGCCCCATGAGGGGCCTTGCTCTCCACCAGCGTGCTCTGATTTCCTTCTAAAGGAGACTGAAATGGCCTGGCAAGTGCTTGCAGCAGACCCTCCAGGCTCGCTAAGCACGCATGCTTCCAAAGCTGCCTCCAGCCACTCCCAGCATGGGCCCGGCCTGAGTGGGTCACTAGGCGGCACGCACGCGCTGGGAAAATGTGAGAAAGGCTGCGGGAGGGCCGCGCCTGCGCAGTAGCGGGCCGTCGGTTGGGCGCAGACAGGCCGCAGAAGATGGAGAGATGGAGCCACCCCAAGAGACAAATAGGCCTTTCAGCACACTTGATAACCGCAGCGGGCAGGTCCAAGTCCTGTCCGCCACCCCGCTATTGCAGAGGAATCCCTACAGCAGCCCGGATATCATGCACATTAAAGGGTCGGAGGCTTCTTCGGTCCCTTACGCCCTGAACCAGGGCACGACGGCCCTGCCTAAGAACAAGAACCAGGAGGGCACCGGGCACCGGCTGCTGAACGTGAGTGAGCGGGGGCCTGGCCGGCACCTGGAGGACCGGGGCCAGCAGGGCACCTGGAGGGTGGTGAAAGGATTAAAGGGTTCAATGTGTGCCAATTGCATCTCCCTTCAATTGGCACACATTGAACCCTTTAATCCTTTTTTTTTTCGTTTATAGCAATTCCTTTTTTTTATTTTTATTTTTTATTTTTTATTATACTTTAAGTTCTAGGGTACATGTGCACAACGTGCAGGTTTGTTACATAGGTATACATGTGCCATGTTGGTGTGCTGCACCCATTAACTCGTCATTTACATTAGGTATATCTCCTAATGCTATCCCTCCTCCCTCCCCCCAACCCACGACAGGCCGTGGTGTGTGATGTTCCCCCCCCGTGTCCAAGTATTCTCATTGTTCAATTCCCACCTATGAGTGAGAACATGCAGTGTTTGGTTTTCTGTCCTTGCGATAGTTTGCTGAGAATGATGGTTTCCAGCTTCATCCATGACCCCACAAAGGACATGAACTCATCCTTTTTATATGGCTGCATAGTATTCCATGGTGTATATGTGCCACATTTTCTTAATCCAGTCTGTCATTGATGGACATTTGGGTTGGTTCCTAGTCTTTGCCATTGTGAATAGTGCCATAATAAACATATGTGTGCACGTGACTTTATAGCAGCATGATTTATAATCCTTTGGGTATATGCCCAGTAATGGGATGGCTGGGTCAAATGGTATTTCTAGTTCTAGACCCTTGAGGAATCGCCACACTGTCTTCCACAATGGTTGAACTAGTTTACACTCCCACCAACAGTGTAAAAGCGTTCCTATTTCTCCACATCCTCTCCAGCACCTGTTGTTTCCTGACTTTTTAATGATTGCCATTCTAACTGGTGTGAGATGGTATCTCATTGTGGTTTTGATTTGCATTTCTCTGATGGCCAGTGATGATGAGCATTTTTTCATGTGTCTGTTGGCTGCATAAATGTCTTCTTTTGAGAAGTGTCTGTTCATATACTTTGCCCACTTTTTGATGGGGTTGTTTGTTTTTTTCTTGTAAATTTGTTTCAGTTCTTTGTAGATTCTGGATATTAGCCCTTTGTCAGATGGATAGATTGCAAAAATTTTCTCCCATTCTGTAGGCTGCCTGTTCACTCTGATGCTAGTTTCTTTTGCTGTGCAGAAGCTCTTTAGTTTAACTAGATCCCATTTGTCGATTTTGGCTTTGGTTGCCATTGCTTTTGGTGTTTTAGTCATGAAGTCCTTGGCCATGCCTATATCCTGAATGGTATTGGCTAGGTTTTCTTCTAGGGTTTTTATGGTTTTAGGTCTAACATTTAAGTCTTTAATCCATCTTGAATTAATTTTTGTATAAGGCGTAAGGAAGGGATCCAGTTTCAGCTTTCTACGTATGGCGAGCCAGTTTTCCCAACACCATTTATTAAATAGAGAATCCTTTCCCCATTTCTTGTTTATGTCAGGTTTGTCAAAGATCGGATGGTTGTAGATGTGTGGTATTATTTCCGGGGGCTCTATTCTGTTCCATTGGTCTATATCTCTGTTTTGGTACCAGTACCATGATGTTTTGGTTACTGTAGCCTTGTAGTATAGTTCGAAGTCAGAAAGCATGATGCCTCCAGCTTTGTTCTTTTGGCTTAGGATTGTCTTGGCAATGTGGGCTCTTTTTTGGTTCCATATGAACTTTAAAGTATTTTTTCCAATTCTGTGAAGAAAGTCATTGGTAGCTTGATGGGGATGGCATTGAATCTATAAATTACCTTGGGCAGTATGGTCATTTTCACAATATTGAGTCTTCCTATCCATGAGCATGTAATGTTTTTCCATTTGTTTGTGTCCTCTTTTATTTCATTGAGCAGTGGTTTGTAGTTCTCCTTGAAGAGAACCTTCACATCCCTTGTAAGTTGGATTCCTAGGTATTTTATTCTCTTTGAAGCAATTGTGAATGGGAGTTCCCTCATGATTTGGCTCTCTGTTTGTCTGTTATTGGTGTATAGGAATGCTTGTGATTTTTGCACATTGATTTTGTATCCTAAGACTTTGCTGAAGTTGCTTATCAGCTTAAGGAGATTTTGGGCTGAGGCGATGGAGTTTTCTGAATATACAAACATGTCATCTGCAAACAGGGACAATTTGACTTCCTCTTTTCCTAATTGAATACCCTTTATTTCTTTCCCTTGCCTGACTGCCCTGGCCAGAAATTCCAACACCATGTTGAATAGGAGTGGTGAGAGAGGGCATCCCTGTCTTGTGCCAGTTTTCAAAGGGAATGCTTCCAGTTTTTGCCCATTCAGTATGATATTGGCTATGGGTTTGTCATAAATAGCTCTTATTATTTTGAGATACGTCCCATCAATACGTAGTTTATTGAGAGTTTTTAGCATGAAGGGCTGTTGAATTTTGTCAAAGGCCTTTTCTGCATCTATTGAGATAATCATGTGGTTTTTGTCTTTGGTTCTGTTTATATGCTGGATTATGTTTATTGATTTGCATATGTTGGACCAGCCTTGCATCCCAGGGATGAAGCCCACTTGATCATGGTGGATAAGCTTTTTGATGTGCTGCTGGATTCGGTTTGCCAGTGTTTCATTGAGGATTTTTGCATCGATGTTCATCAGGGATATTGGTCTAAAATTCTCTGTTTTTGTTGTGTCTCTGCCAGGCTTTGGTATCAGAATGATGTTGGCCTCATAAAATAAATTTGGGATGATTCCCTGTTTTTCTATTGATTGGAATAGTTTCAGAAGGAATGGTACCACCTCCTCTTTGTACCTCTGGTAGAATTTGGCTGTGAATCCGTCTGGTCCTGGAGTTTTTTTGGTTGGTAGGCTAGTAATTATTGTCTCAATTTCAGAACCTGTTATTGGTCTATTCAGGGATTCAACTTCTTCCTGGTTTAGTCTTGGGAGGGTGTATGTGTCCAGGAATTTATCCATTTCTTCTAGATTTTCTACTTTATTTGCATAGAGGTGTTTATAGTATTCTCTGATGGTAGTTTGTATTTCTGTGGGATCGGTGGTGATATCCCCTTTATCATTTTTTACTGTGTCTATTTGATTCTTCTCTCTTTTCTTCTTTCTTAGTCTTGCTAGTGATCTATCAATTTTGTTGATCTTTTCAGAAAACCAGCTCCTGGATTCATTGATTTTTTGAAGGTTTTTTTGTGTCTCTATCTCCTTCCGTTCTGCTCTGATCTTAGTTATTTCTTGCCTTCTGCTAGCTTTTGAAAGCATTTGCTCTTGCTTCTCTAGTTCTTTTAATTATGATGTTAGGGTGTCAATTTTAGTTCTTTCCTGCTTTCTCTTGTGGGCATTTAGTGCTATAAATTTCCTTCTACACGCTGCTTTAAATGTGTCCCAGAGATTCTGGTATGTTGTGTCTTTGCTCTCATTGGTTTCAAAGAACATCTTTATTTCTGCCTTCATTTCGTTATGTACCCAGTAGTCATTCAGGAAGAGGTTGTTCAGTTTCCATGTAGTTGAGCAGTTTTGAGAGAGTTTCTTAATCCTGAGTTGTAGTTTGATTATGCTGTGGTCTGAGAGACAGTCTGTTATAATTTCTGTTCTTTTACATTTGCTGAGGAGTGCTTTACTTCCAACTATGTGGTCAATTTTGGAATAAGTGTGATGTGGTGCTGAGAAGAATGTATATTCTGTTGATTTGGGGTGGAGAGTTCTGTAGATGTCTATTAGGTCTGCTTGGTGCAGAGCTGAGTTCAATTCCTGGATATCCTTGTTAACTTTCTGTCTCATTGATCTGTCTAATGTTGACAGTGGTGTGTTAAAGGCTCCCATTATTATTGTGTGGGAGTCTAAGTCTCTTTGTAGGTCTCTAAGGACTTGCTTTATGAATCTGGGTGCTCCTATATTGGGTGCATACATATTTAGGATAGCTCTTCTTGTTGAATTGATCCCTTTACCATTATGTAATGTCCTTCTTTGTCTCTTTTGATCTTTGTTGGTTTGAAGTCTGTTTTATCAGAGACTAGCATTGCAACCCCTGCTTTTTCTTGTTTTCCATTGGCTTGGTAGATCCTCCTCTATCCCTTTATTTTGAGCCTGTGTGTATCTCTGTACGTGAGATAGGTCTCCTAAATACAGCACACTGATGGGTCTTGACTCTTTATCCAATTTGCCAGTCTGTGTCTTTTAATTGGACCATTTAGCCCATTTACATTTAAGGTTAATATTGTTATGTGTGAATTTGATCCTGTCATTATGATGTTAGCTGGTTATTTTGCTGGTTAGTTGATGTAGTTTCTTCCTAGCATCAATGGTCTTTACAATTTGGCATGTTTTTGCAGTGGCTGGTACCGATTGTTCCTTTCCACGTTTAGTGCTTCATTCAGGAGCTCTTCTAATGCAGGCCTGGTGGTGACAAAATCTCTCAGCATTTGTTTGTCTGTAAAGGATTTTATTTCTCCTTCACTTATGAAGTTTAGTTTGGCTGGATATGAAATTCTGGGTTGAAAATTCTTTTCTTTAAAAATGTTGAATATTGGCCCCCACTCTCTTCTGGCTTGTAGAGTTTCTGCCAAGAGATCTGCTGTTAGTCTGATGGGCTTCCCTTTGTGGGTAACCCGACCTTTCTCTCTGGCTGTCCTTAACATTTTTTCCTACTTTTCAACTTTGGTGAATCTGACAATTATGTATCTTGGAGTTCCTCTTCTCGAGGAGTATCTTTGTGGCATTCTCTGTATTTCCTGAATTTGAATGTTGGCCTGCCTCGCTAGGTTGGGGAAGTTCTCCTGGATAATATCCTGAAGAGTGTTTTCCAACTTGATTCCATTCTCTCTGTCACTTTCAGGTACACCAATCAGAGATAGATTTGGTCTTTTCACGTAGTCCCATATTTCTTGGAGGCTTTGTTCATTTCTTTTTATTCTTTTTTCTATCAACTTCTCTTCTCACTTCATTTCATTCATTTGATCTTCAATCACTGATACCCTTTCTTCCACTTGATCAAATCGGCTACTGAAGCTTGTGCATGCGTCACATAGTTCTCGTGCCATGGTTTTCAGCTCCATCAGGTCATTTAAGGACTTCTCTACAGTGTTTATTCTAATTAGCCATTCATCTGATCTTTTTTCAAGGTTTTTAGCTTCTTTACAATGGGTTCGAACATCCTCCTTTAGCTCGGAGAAGTTTGTTATTACTGATAATCTGAAGCCTTCTTCTCTCAACTCGTCAAATTCATTCTCTGTCCAGCTTTGTTCCCTTGCTGGCGAGGAGCTGTGTTCCTTTGTAGGAGAAACGGCACTCTGATTTTTAGAATTTTCAGCTTTTCTGCTGTGGTTTCTCCCCATCTTTGTGGTTTTATCTACCTTTGGTCTTTGATGATGGTGATGTACAGATGAGATTTTGGTGTGGATGTCCTTTCTGTTTGTTAGTTTTCCTTCTAACAGTCAGGACCGTCAGCTGCAGGTCTGTTGGAGTTTGCTGGAGGTCCACTCTGACCCTGTTTGCCTGGGTATCACCAGTGGAGGCTGCAGAACAGCAAATATTGCAGAACAGCAAATGTTACTGTCTGATCCTTCTTCTGGAAGCGTTGTCTCAGAGGGGCACCCAGTTGTATGAGGTGTCAATTGGCCCCTACTGGGAGGTGTCTCCCAGTTAGGCTACTCGGGGGTCAGGGACCCACTTGAGGAGGCAGTCTGTCCATTCTCAGATCTCAAACTCCGTGCTAGGAGAAGCACTGCTCTCTTCAAAGCTGTCAGACAGGGATGTTTAAGTCTGTAGAAGTTTCTGCTGCCTTTTGTTCAGCTATGCCCTGCCCCCCAGAGGTGGAGTCTACAGAGGCAGGCAGGCCTCCTTGAGCTGAGGTGGGCTCCACCCAGTTTGAGCTTCCCAGCTGCTTTGTTTACCTACTCAAGCCTCAGCAATGGAGGATGCCCCTCCCCCAGCCTTGCTGCTGCCTTGCAGTTGGATCTCAGACTGCTGTGCTAGCAGGGAGCAAAGCTCCGTGGGCGTGGGACCTTCCAAGCCAGGCATGGGATATAATGTCCTGGTGTGCCGTTTGCTAAGGCCATTGGAAAAGTGCAGTATTAGGGTGGGAGTGTCCCGATTTTCCAGGTGCCGTCTGTCACAGCTTCCCTTTGCTAGGAAAGGGAATTCCCCAACCCTCTGTGCTTCCTGGGTGAGGCGATGCCCCACCCTGCTCCGTGGGCTGCACCCACTGTCTGACAAGCCCCAGTGAGATGAACCCAGTACCTCAGTTGGAAATGCAGGAATCACCTGTCTTCTGTGTCACTCACACTGGGAACTGCAGACGGGAGCTGCTCCTATTTGGCTATCTTGGCTTTTTTTTTTTTTTTTTTCCAAGATGGAGTCTCATTCTGTCGCCCTCCCCCAGGCTAGAGTGCAGTGGCATGATCTCAGCTCACAGCAACCTCCGCCTCCCGGGTTCAAGTGATTCTCCTGCCTCAACCTCCTGAGTAGCTGGGATTACAGGCACCCACCACCAGGCCAGGTGAATTTTTGTATTTTTAGTAGAGATGGGGTTTTGCCATGTTGATCATGCTGGACTTGAACTCCTGACCTCAGGTGATCCACCCACCTGGCCTCCCAAGGTGCTGGGATTACAGGTGTGAGCCACCGTGCCCGGCCCCCTTTAATCCTTTTGAAACCCTCTAAATTAGAGGGTGGTAATACCTGAGAAAGAGTTGACCTGTGGGACCTTGGGCAATTATTTAACTTGTTAGAGTCTCGTTTTATTCACTGTTCAATGAAGACAATTACTACCTGCCTTACTTAAAGGAGAGCAAAAGGAAATAATGATATAAAGTGCTTAGCACAGTACAAAGAACAAAGTACAGAGTCAAAAGTTAGCTGCTGTCACCATCATCATCATTACTGGGATTTTATTTATTTGGTTACAGGGCCAAACTTCAGAAACTTTAGTTACCCCTGTTTTCATTCCTGAGGTTATTACAGAGTGAATCTGCAGAAGCAAATCTGCATCCTGTCTGCAAAGTGAATTATTGGCCTCCTGAAACTCTTGAGTTTACCACTATACTTAGTAGTACCACTAGAGCATGGAGACCTAAACGGCAAAGGGGAATCAAATTGAATCTCACCTTTTCAAAGTTGTTGGAAGATATTAGGACATTTTCAAAAATCCTTTAATTGTTAGGGATACTAGCATTCATCTGTGATAAGTGTCACAAATATTTTCTCATAATTCAACAGTTGTTTTTTTTTTGACTGTTGATAGTGCTTTTTGCTGTGCAATCCTTAGTTTCATTAATGTTTAAAATGATTTTTCTGTTCTCTATTTTATTTCTGCTCCAATCTTTATTATTTTTTTCTTCTGCTAACTTTGGGCTTACTTTGTTTTTGCTACACAGTTATTAAAAGTGTAAAGTTAGGTTGTTTATTTGAGATCTTCTTTTTTGATGTAGATATTTATTGTTCTAACCTTTCCTCTTATAACTGCTTTCGCAGCATCCCATAAGTTTGAGTATATTGTGTTTCCATTTTTGTTGGTCTCAAAATATTTTTTGATTTCTATTTGATCTCCTTTGATCCCTTAGTTATTCAGAAGCCTGTTGTTAATTTCCACGTCTTTGTGAATTTTCCAAATTTCCTGTTACTGATTTCTAGTTTCATAACATTATGTTGATTTTGTATGCTGTAACTTTACTGAATTTATTTATCAGATAGAGGAGTTTTTTGTAGGAATCTATAGGTTTTTCTAGATAAAAGATCATATCATTAGCAAATAGGGACAATTTGACTTTCCCTTTTCCAATTTGGATGCCTTTTATTTTTTTTCTCTCGCCTGATTACTCTGGCTGGGACTTTCAGTACAGTGGTGAAAGTGGGCATTCTTGTCTTATTCTAGTTCTTAGAGGAAAGGCTTTTAGCTCTTCTCCATTCAGTATGATGTTAGCCAGGCATTTGTTATATATGGGCTTTATTATGTTGAAGTACATTCCTTCTATGCCAGTTTGTTGAATTTTTTTTTATCATGAAGGGATATTGAATTTTATCAAATGCTTTCTGTGTCTATTGAGATGATCATTTGGTTTTTGCCCTTAATTCTGTTGATGTGATGTTTGATGTTTATTGATTTGCATGTGTTGAACCATCCTTGCATTCACTGGGATAAATCCCATATGATCATGGTATATATATATATTATCTTTTTGATATGCTGTTTCATTCAGTTTGCTAGTATTTTGTTGAAGATTTTTGCATCTATGTTCATTAGGGATATTGACCTATAGATTTCTTTTTTGTTGTTGTATCCTTGTCTGGTTTTTGCATCAGGGTAATACTGGCCTCAAAGAATGTGTCAGGGAGAATTCTGTCTTCTTCATTTTTTGAAATAGTTTGAGGAGAATTCATGTTAGTTCTTCTTCGAGAGTTTGGTAGAATTCAGCAGTGAAGTCATGTGGTCTGTGACTTTTCTTTGTTGAGAGACTTTTTTTTTTTTTTTTGAGACGGAGTCTCGCACTGTCACCCAGGCTGGAGTGCAGTGGCATGATCTCGGCTCACTGCAAGCTCTGCCTCCCAGGTTCACGCCATTCTCCTGCCTCAGCCTCCTGAGTAGCTGAGACTACAGGCGCCCGCCACCACGCCCGGCTAATTTTTTTTCATATATTTTAGTAGAGACGGGGTTTCACTGTGTTAGCTAGGATGGTCTCGATCTCCTGACCTCATGATCTGCCTGCCTCAGCCTCCCGAAGTGCTGGGATTACAGGCATGAGCCACCGTGCCTAGCTGAGAGACATCTTATTACTGCTTCAATCTCATTACTTGTTATTGGTCTGTTCAGGCTTTCTATTTCTTCCTAAGTCAATATTGGTCACTTGTATTTGTCTAGGAATTTATCCATTTCTTCTGAGTTTTCCAATTTGTTAGTGTATAGTTGTTTCTAATAGTCTCTGGTAATCTTTTGTATGTCTGTGACATAGTTATATTTCCTTTTTCATTTCTGAGTTTGTTTATTTGAGGTTCTCTTTTTCTTGGTTACTTTAGTAAGGTCAAAAGCCAAATTTTTGTTTTGCTGATTCTTTGTACTTTTTAAAGGTTCTATTTCAATTACTTCTGCTCTGATCTTTGTTATTTCTTTTCTTCCACTAATTTTAGGTTTGGTTTATTCTTGCTTTTCTTCTTTCTTGATGTGTATTGTTAGATTGTTTATTTGAAACCTTTCTACTTCTTTGATATAGGTGCTTACTGCTATAATCTTCCCTCTTAGCACTGCTTTTGCTGTATCCCATAGTTTTGGTATGTTGTGTTTCAATTTGTATGAGTTTCAAGAAATTTTTTAATTTTCTGTTTAATTTCTTCCTTGACCCAATGATCATTGAAGAGCATGTTGTTAATTTACCTGTGTTTGTACAGTTTCCAAAGTTCCCCTTGTTACTGATTTCTAGTTTTATTCCATTGTGGTCTCAGAAGATACTTGATATGATTTTAATGTTTTAAAATTTGGTAAGACTTGTTTTGTGTCCTAAGATATAGTCTGTCATGGAGAATTTTCCATGTGGTGATGAGAAGAGTATGTATTCGGTAGCTGTTGGATGAAATATTCTGTAAATGTCTGTTAGGTCTATTTGGTTTAATGTGTAATTTAAATCCCATGTTTCTCTGTTAGTTTTCTGTCTAGATGATCTGTCTAATGCTGAGAGTAGTGTGTTAAAGTCCCCAGATATTATTGTATTGGAGTCTATCCTTCCCTTTGGATGTAATACTATTTATATATCTGAGTACTCTGGTGTTGGGTACATAATATATTTAGAATTGTTATATCCTCTTGCTGATTTGACACATTTATCATTATATAATGACCTAATGACCTTTTTTTAAATTGTCTCTTTACTGTTTTTTACTTTAAGTCTATTTTATCTGATATAACCATAGCTACTTCTGCTCCTGGCATAGCTATTCTTGGAATATTTTTTTCTATCCCTTTACTTTCATTCTGTATGTGCCTTTACAGATGAGATGAGTTTCTTATAGGCAGCATATAGTTGGGTCATGTTTTTTTTTTTAATCAACTTTTTTGCATTTTTCTTTCTTTCTCTTTTCTTTTTTCTTTCTTTCTTTGTTTGTTTCTTTCTTTTTTTTTTTTTGAGACAGGATCTTACTCTGTCACAGAGGCTGGAGTGTAGTGGCATAATCACTGTTCACTGCAGCCTCAACCTCCTGGGCTCAGGTGATCCTCCCAACTCAGCCTCCTGAGTAGCTAGGACTGTAGGAACTCGCCACCATGCCTGGCTAATTTTTATATATTTTGTAGAGACGTGGTTTTGCCACGTAGCCCAGGCTGGTCTGGAACTCCTGGGCTCAAATGATTTGCCCACCTTGGCCTCCCAAAGTGCTGGGATTATAGGCATAAGCCACTGTGTCCAGCGTATTTTCTTTGTAGTATTGGTGAAGTGCAGTAGTGAGAAGTGGGGAAAGCATTTTGATTTTTTTAAAAACATGCATTAAAATATTCCTCGAGGGTCACATGCCCAGAGAGAGCATGAGAGCTCCATGCCCCTTCCCCTCTACCAAAATTTTAAAAAAAAGTGTATACACATTATTATCATGGTGACTGAGTTTTTTGGCATTCAGTTAAGTTTTGTGCCTGAGGCTGGGTATGATGGCTCATGCCTCTAATCCTAGTACTTTGAGAGGCCAAGGTGAGAGGATCACTTGAGCCCAGGAGTTTGAGGCTACAACGAGCTATGATTGTACCACTGCATTCCATCCTGGGTGACAAAGCAAGACCCTGTCTGCCCCATGACCCAAAAAAATTATGCTGGAGGCAATTACCCTATATGAGTCCCAGCTCAGCCAGCAGGTAGTAGGTGCTAATAAATGCTTATAGAAGGAATGCTTACCATATGTAAAATCTAGCATTGCTGTCCCATAATGCAAGCAGCATTTGTTGCTAGAGCTACATGACAAAGCTCCACAGACTGGGTATTTTAAACCTCAGACATTTATTTTCTCACAGTTTTGGGGCTTGGAAGTCCAAAATTAAGGTGGTAGAGTTGGTTTCTTCTGAGACCTCTCTTCTCAGCATATGGGATTAGGGTCCACCCTGATGACCTCATTTTAATCTAATTACCTCTTTTAAAATCCTATCTCCAAATACAATGACATTCTGAGGCACAAGGAGTGAGGATTGCAACGTATGCATTTTTGGGAAAGGCAATTCGGTTTTTAACTAGAGTAAACTCTTAAGTATTGATTACCATATACCAGGTACTGTATATTAGTTGCTTTCTTTATATTAATTTTGTGTGTGTGTGGACAGAGTCTTGTGTGTGTGTGTGTCCCCCAGGCTGGAGTGCTGTGGCAAAATCATAGCTCACTACAGCCTTGAACTCCTGGGCTCAAGCAATGATCCTACCTCAGCCCACAGGCATGTGCCATCACACCAGGCTAATTTACTTTTATCTTTTGTAGAGATGGGGGCCGGTATCACTAGGTTTCCCAGGCTGGTCTCGAACTCCTAGGCTCAAGCAGTCCTCCTGCTTTGACCTCCCAAATTGCTGTGATTACAGGTGTCAGCCACCATGTCTGACCTATTTATATTAATTTCCTTAAGTCTCACAAGAGCCCCATAAAATAGGTTCTGTTATGATTCAGCAAATTGCATGCAGCATCTCTGGGTTAGAGAGGTTAAGTAACTTGCCCAGGGTAACACAGCCAGAGAGGGCAGAAGCAAAATGTAAACTCAGTAGGTCTGGCTTCTTTTACCCAAATCCGAAAGATCGGGTCATGTTTTTTTGATCCATTTAGCCAGTGTATATCTTTGAAGTGGAGAGCTTAATTCATTCACATTCAAGGTTATTATTGATAGGTGGGGGCTTATTCTCATCATTTTATTAATTAATTTCTTGTTTTGTGTGTACTTTGTTCCTTTCTTTCTCCCTTACTATTTATTATAGTTGTTTGGTGGTTTCTGTAGTAGTAACATTTGAATCTTTACTTTAATCTTAACTCTGCAGTTAAATATATTAACTGCTCTCCATAAGTCTTTTTTTTTTTTTTTTTGAGACAGAGTCTTACTCTATCGCCCAAGCTGGAGTGCGGTGGCGCGATCTTGGCTCACTGCAATCTCCACCTTCCGGGTTGAAGGGATTCTCCTGCCTCAGTCTCCCAAGTAGCTGGAATTACAGGTGTGCACCACCACGCCCAGCTAATTTTTGTATTTTTAGTAGAGGTGGGTTTTCGCCATGTTGGCCAAGCTGGTCTCAAACTCCTGGCCTCAAGTGATACACCCACCTCGGCCTCCCAAAGTGTTGGGATTACAGGTGTGAGCCACCGTGCCTGTCCTCTCCATAAGTCTTATCCTGAAGTTTTCCCCACTATCTTTTGGTTTGGTTGAAGCTCATCTTTTAGTAGGTTTCTTGGGAGGGGCTCAAGAGTAAAATGTTATCTGGAATGCCTGTTTCATGTATTTTTTAAAATAGCCTTGATACATGAATGCTGTTACTTTGTTGGATAAAAATAGACTTGGTTGGATAAAAATCCTTGGCTTGACCTTCCTTGCCTTGAACTTTATAAAAATACAGCTCTGCAGTTGCATTGCTTTGTATGTTGCCCTTGAGAAATATGATGCCAGTCTTATTTCTTATCTTCATAGATAATTTGGTCATTTGCCTGTAGGCAAGATGTCTTTATAAAGCCTAATAATCTTACTAGGACACATCTTGGAGTTGATCATTATGAGCCAGTTTTTCTAGACACATGGTGAGTCCTATCCACATACAGATTTTTCTCTTAATACTTAAATTTTTCTTGGATTATAACTTTAAACATTCGTTTTTCCTCCATTGTTTTGTTTTACTTCGAGGATTTTTCATTTGCCTGCCTTCCAATTCAACCATTTTTCTCTGACCCTTTATGCTTCTTTCTCTATCTCATTATCATTCTCTTCACTGGTTCTTATCTTCTTCAATGCCCCTTATAAAGTTTTTTTGAATCGATGCTACCTTTGGGCACTTTATAATTTAGCATTTATTTCTGGGATGGTTTGTCTTTTTTAAAAATTTCTTTTCTGAATTGATCAACACTCATTTCATTTTTTCTTTCTTCTCTTTGGTCAACTTCTGTTTTAATTGTTGAATAAATGAATGAATTGTTAATTGTAGGCTTAAAAACATCTCCAAATGCTTGTTTGAAGATACTTAATTCAGTTTGAAATCTTATGTTATAATTTACTTCTGTTTTGTGGTTATTTGGGAGGAAGAATTTTTGTCATCTGAAGATTTCTCCCCATTTTCTCCCTATAATAGCTTTTAATGGAGTTGGTCGGATTTTCCGTATTTCTTGGCCATGGTCATTTCTTTGCCATAGTTTAAGTGTACTCTCTTCTTTCAGTGTATTGAAGCAGTTTTTTTTTAAATGGATGAAGTTGTAATTGATGGGAGGTAAGGGGAAAGGAGGGGCATAACCTGTTGTTCTCTTCGGTTTTTCTGGTATGCTTAATTTTCCCCTCTTATATCCTTCTTTCTCTTCCCTGCCATGTATGCAGGGATACCTCTTCTTCTCTGATGCCTTCACCCCAGAAGCAGTGCGCATCATGATGAGCTACTTCTGGTCCTTCTCTTTCAGGTCCCTTCTCTATGGCCATTGCTGTGAACTACCAACTCCTAGACCTGTGGTCAGAATTTTTGTGCTCAATGTTGAACTTTCTCTTTCTCAGGATGATTTTGTCTGTGCTTCCTTTTGTGTTCCCTACTCCTCTCTGTTCTTTTCCAGCATCTCTTAAGATTTCTCTTTCCTTGCTTTCTGTCCCTATAGTGTGTGTGTGCATGTGCATGTATATGTGTGTATATGTGTGTGCATGTGTGCATATATATGTTTGTGTATGTGTGTGTGTGTGTGTGTATGTATATATATATTTGATTGAGTAGAGATTCAGACTCAAAGTATCTCCTATACTAGGGCCAACTGGAATTCTCTTTATAAGCTTTTCAAGATATCCTACTAAATATTCAATTTCTTAACAAACTGAAGAACTATGTACTTTTCTCTTCTTTCATGATTCTCTTAATTTTATATTTGTGTACATTTTTATTTCTCTACTAACTTCTTATTGAGGATAGGGATGAGTTTCTTAATCATATTAATACCCCAATACCGAGGAGACCTGACACTTACTAGAGATTCATACAATAATTATTGAATTGATGTTTCATCTAGTTATGTTTGTCTTTCTCTTCCCAAATCTTAATTTATTTACATTGTAGATGCTGAGAAAAACTCTTAAAGAGTCTGATAGTGAAGAACTGGAAATAACACAGGAGACGCCAAATTTGGTGCCATTTGGGGATGTGGTATGTATGAGTAACCCTCAAAAACCTGTATAAGTTATTTATTATTTGATAATCAAACAGTATATGCAGAAAATGGTTCTCTCTGATGGCGTATTTATGAATTTTTCATTTTTATGAGTCAGAAAAACATTGTAATAATCACTGAAATTATGGAAAACATCCTGATTCACAGAAATAATATCTTCTATATTAGGGATTCCCAAATCTAGTTATATCGGAATTACCTCAGATGCTTTTTATAAAACATTAACTTGAGGCTCCACCTAAGATCTGCTAACTTAGAATCTCTAGGA
The DNA here is from genome assembly GCF_000001405.40 of Homo sapiens. NCBI lineage: Eukaryota > Metazoa > Chordata > Mammalia > Primates > Hominidae > Homo > Homo sapiens. Next base: position 201,604,317 of record NC_000002.12, on the reverse strand, counting down.
GAGGAGCCTGGGAATCAGTAATTTTACTGAGCTCTTAAAGTGATTATATTTATTGCTAGATCATGCTAAAGTCTGAAAATTGATCCTGCGCCCCTCCCCGATCCAAAAAACCTCCTAGAAACAAAAGCAAACACCCCCCTCTCTCTTTCACACACACACACACACACACACATACACACACACACCACACAGAGGGAGGACGCAGTATCTAGGCTGAGAACCAGAAAAATCTGTTATTCTGTTTTCAAAGTACAGAACAAGACATGAGAATCTACATGCATATAGAACTGTCAAATATTATGACATTCATTTACAGTTATTTTTATTTTCTGAACACTATTAGAGTGGTAACTGGGTATGAAATAAGAATTTTTCTTGTCCCTCTACCTCCTATCATATACAATGTTTAATATAATATTTCTGTTGTTTTTACTTGGTTTTAAATACTAAACATGGCTAAATATATTTGGCTAATTCTCATATTAGGATTCAGATGTTCCTGCATTTATTTTGTATTTGATTTTTTGGTTAAGCACATGATGCAATTTTCTTTAACATTTAGAAAAACTTGGTGCAAGAGCATGAATATTTTACAGTCCTTGGCATGTTATAGCCAATGAATCATTGCTGAATGAATTAAGTGGTCTTAGGACACTGGATAAAAGAGTTTGTCTGAAATAAGGCACATTTCTTAATTTTATATGCAGGGTGCTATATTTTATCAGTTCTCACCTAATATCAAATAAAAACAATTTAAAGAGTGATGATCAGATTTATGTTAATAATGAATTATTATTCTTTGGCTTTGTATTCTTGTTCATTTTAGGTTTACTTTGAATGTGGCCTGCGCATTTTTCTTCTGTATTTCTGCTTTCCGATGATTTCTATTAACTAGATATTTTTCATGAGAAACAATATTTCAAATGAGAAAAACCAACAACGTGGAGTTTTACTTTTTAAAAATAGAGCTCAGTGTAAAGTGAAAGAACAGTTAACTTTTTAAATGCATTCACTGTCTGTGTTTTTGTTTTGATTGTTGTAGGTTGGCTGCCTGGGCATTCATATAAAGAACTGCAGACATTTTATGCCTAAGAGTATCCTTTCTTTTGATTTAAGAATCATAGTAATTATATCTCACTGTTTCAGTTATCCATTGCTGCATTACAAACCATTCCAAAACTTAGTGGCTTAACACATTGACCATTTTATCATCAATCACTACTGTTCATTCACTATTTGCTTCTTCTGCTTCATGATATAAAAGCTTGGGCTGTTGTCTGACAGTTCAAAAGGGCTAGAATATCTGAAGTGGCCCATTTACATGTCTAGTTGCTTTAGTGGGGATGCATGGAAGGCTAGACTTAGCAGGGATGCTGAAATGGTTGGATCTCTCTCTCTTTCCCTAAGTCCTATCATGTTTTATCCCCCTTTATTAATTTTAATTTAAAAATATATCACAGTAATATATTATTTATCTTGATTACTAGTTGTTGGTGTCCCCTTAAATTTTGTGCTCTAGTTGAGTGCCTTTTTGGCTTACTAGTCCCAACCCTAGTCACATTCCATTACATTTTATTGGTTAATGTAATCATAGAGCCAGCCCAGATTTAGTGGCAGGGGAAATAAAGTGGACTTTTTGATGTGAGAGTAACAAAAGCTTTTCAGCCATCTGTAATCACCTCAATCACCATATAAATGAAAGGAAAAATATATATCTTCTTGTATGATAATGCTAATTTATTTGTAAGTAATGTGTGCTTCCTTTAAACATTTTTAAAAGGATTTAATTTATATTGGTGCTTTTAAACAAGCTGAGTGCTTATTTTTAGATTTATCACAGCATAAAACCAGCCTCATTATGGAGATTTGATGTTTCTTTTTTATATAAAGAGAATTTTGGAAAATAATTCTGTATAATGAGATTTTTGAAGATAGTTAAATCTTGAAACAAAATTGTTTTACTCTGTAGCATTCTATGAAAGATACAATACAGACCAATATAGTATAAATGAACTATATTCTTAAGTGAATTAGAGTAGAACACTTTTTGTCTCAAAATTAAAAATAGGTTAATCTGATATATTTTTAAATATTTTGAATTTCTACATAATTTTCCTTAGGAAAAATTTCAACTATATATTGCATATACTTAGTCACCTTGAAATTAATACATAGCAAAACTTGCAAAGGAATTTTGTTGGAAATGTGAGGTTAAAAATATAAGGGATGTAAGGAAGAATCAACCTTCTTTTACTTATATTGTGTCCACCAGTGATGGGCAAAAATACTATTTTAGAATACTTTTTTTCTATTGTTTAATGCTACATGATTGATTCTTAGGTTTTGGTCTGAATCGTTTAATGTATTAATTTTATAATGTATTATTGTTCAATTACAACAAAATTTATTTCCTGAATATCATTCTATTTTCAGTCAGTTTACAACATTATGCTAATTTATTCATTCGCATCTCTATAAACAAAGCTGTGAAATGTACAAAAATGTGTAGCTTGCTATCCAAAAACGATGAGAAGAACACTGTAATTAAGTTCGATGAAGTGAAGTATTTTTCTGTACAGGTAATGTTAATATCTCTTCTAGATATTAGAATGGCTCCTTATAGTTCCAAATATTCTACCCTAATTCTGTCTTTTTATAAAAATGAGTAGAAAAGAAACAAAAGCAGTAAGTGCCTTTTTATTTGGTATCTTACAGTATTCTATTTCTATACCATGGGCTATAGTGGTGTTTTAAAAAAAGAAACAATTTTACTGCGAAATGCATAATCTTAGTAGATTTCTTTCCTGAGATGTTACTGTCTGTGGTTTCCAGTATTCATTCTGCATGTATTTATCTCTATCTTGCTCTTCTCTTCCCATCTACTGTCTTCCACCTTAGAGTTTTTCCCATCTCCTTTCCCATTCCTTTTCTTCTATCCTGTATTCCCCTTTGTCTCTAATTATTTTTTTAAGGATTAACTTAGTCAGTCTTTATTACAACCCACACACACACACACACACACACACACACACACACACACACACTATCATCCTTATTTTACGGATGAAGAAACTGAGGCACTCTGTGGTTAAGGACCTTTCTTAAGGTCATAGAGCTGGTAAGTGGTAAGTGGTTGAGCTGGGAATGTGGGCAGTCTGGTTTCAGACCACACTTCATTAAACTGCCTCACACACCGGCACTTACTATGTTTCTGTTTACAGTTAGGCTTATTAGAATCTTAAATGTATCTTAAAACTTTTTAAAAAATGGCTGGGCGCAGTGACTCACACCTGCAATCCCAGCACTTTGGGAGGCTGAAGTGGGCAGATTACTTGATGTCAGCAGTTTGAGACCAGCCTGACCAACATGGTGAAACACTCTCTACTAAAAATACAAAAATTAGCCAGGCATGGTGGTGCACACCAGTAATCCCAGCTACTCGGGAGGCTGAGGCAGGAGAATCCCTTGAACCCAGGAGGTGGAGGTTGCAGTGAGTTGAGATCATGCCATCGCACTCCAGCCTGGGCAACAAAGCTGGACTCTGTCTCAAAAAAAAAAAAAAGAATGACATTATTCCATACAGCTGCAGGATTCATCGATTTGTCCAATTATTTATTACATTAGTTGAATTTTAGGGAAATCCTAAAGCCTTTTCTCCTCTATGCTCCATATTATTTTTCAGACTTTATCTGTTTAAGTGTTGAGTAGTGAAGACAGTTTTTTATTTTTTTTATTATACTTTAAGTTCTAGGGTACATGTGCACAACATGTAGGTTTGTTACATAGGTATATATGTGCCATGTTGGCTTGCTGCACCTGTCAAGTCATCATTTACATTAGGTATTTCTCCTAATGCTATCCCTTCCCCAGCCCTCCAGCCCCCTACAGGCCCTGGTGTGTGATGTTCCCCACCCTGTGTCCATGTGTTCTCATTGTTCAATTCCCACCTATGAGTGAGAATATGCGGTGTTTGTTTTTCTGTCCTTGTGATAGTTTGCTAAGAATGATGGTTTCCAGCTTCATCCATGTCCCTGCAAAGGACATGAACTCATCCTTTTTTATGGCTGCATAGTATTCCATGGTGTATATGTGCCACATTTTCTTAATCCAGTCTGTCATTGATGGACATTTGGGTTGGTTCCAAGTCTTTGCTATTGTGAAAAGTGCCACAATAAACATACGTGTGTATGTGTCTTTATAGTAGCATGATTTATAATCCTTTGGGTATATGCCCAGTAATGGGATCGCTGGGTTAAATGGTATTTCTAGTTCTAGATCCTTGAGGAATCGCCACACTGTGAAGACAGTTTTTTAAGCATAGGTTTTTGTTGTTGTTGTTGTTTGTTTGTTTGTTTTAAGCAATGAAAAAACAAGGAATAGTTTTGCTGGAGGCAACACATACTGTTTGTTTTACTCTGCAAATAGTTTTTCCTAAGCTTCATTGGCAAATTCTCAAGAATTTGGGGGATATATGTCCATTTAAATAAAATTTGAAACATTAATACTTGAAAATAATGTAAAGTATATAGTAAGGTGTTTATCTTCATTAGCATAATCAAAATCTGTTTCCTGTATTTATTTAAATAGGTACTGTTAGTTTGAGCACATTAAAAGGACAGTTTTAATGGAACTCTAATAGAAAGTTTGAGAATGACTTAATAATTACACAGAAAATTGGACAAGCAAACAAAGAAACATAAAAAAGCAAGACACATGTTAACTACAGGGAAATTAAAAATGATACAGGAAAGGAAATATAATTATTGTAATATATTGTTAAACTCTGACAGTTACACATATAAACTAATATAAACACTAACAATCTAACAAAAATGTATGTTATAGAATATATTGGAGGAATGGCGAGAAGTATGAAAACTGTCAGGGGAGAATTGAGAGATAATATTTTTCTTCCACAATATGCAGTTAGTAGTTAGTATTTCAAACTAAAAAAAAATCAATGAATAATATAAACATGTTACTTAGAAACATGAAGGCAAAACTTAGAGAAATTTATTTAGAGGTCGAAAAGGCAGCTTCTGAGGAATGGAAATTAGGGGGTGAGTGGGGTGGAATTCTAAAATTGCACCCAGGATTTAACTTACAGAAGTATGACTGTATGAAAACGTGGAGAGGTACTGTCATTGAAAAAAGAATTTGTTATATTCTCTGAGAGTAGGGGACATGACACACCACTGAGGGCCACAGGGGAAGTATCAGAATGGTCAGGAGGCAGAGGACAGGAGTGAGGGGAGAGTCTAGGCCTTTTGGGGGTTGCTGAGGGAAAGGCAAGCCAGGAAACCAGTTTAGGATTGGCTAGTTTGAATAATTTCAGGGGTCTTTGGGTTATAGGAATGGTCTCTAGTTTTCTAATACCTGGCCCTGGGATAATTTAGGGCAAGGGAAATGTGTGTGAGAATTAGATTAGGAGGTGGTTGGCTGGGCACGGTAGCTCATGCCTGTAAGCCCAGCACTTTGGGAGGCCGAGGAGAGCAGATCACTTAAGGTCAGGAGTTCGAGACCAGCCTGATTAACATGGTGAAACCCGTCTCTACTAAGAATACAAAACTTAGCTGGGTGTGGTGACACATGCCTGTAATCTCAGCTACCTGGGAGGTTGAGGCAAGAGAATCGCTTGAACCCGAGAGACAGAGTTTGCAGTGAGCCAACATGGCACTACTGCACTCCAGCCTGGGCAACAAAGTGAGACCAAAAAAAAAAAGTGGTTGGAGCTATAGCCTTGGGATTGGTTAGTTTGCAAATAAAAGATGTGCTCTCTGCTAAGCCTTTGCTGTCTCTAGCAGTCTAACCCTGGGAGGGGACGTCTCTCCCTCAACAAGATTTTTAAGATGCCAGAACATCATAACTTACAGAAGCTTTTTTTTTTTCTTAAAAACAAAACAAAATGTGATTGACTGAGCATAGTGGCTCACGCCTATAATCCCAGGATTTTGGGAGGCCAAAGCAGGAGGAATGCTTGAGGCCTGGAGTTCAAAACTGGCCTGGTCAACATAGTGAGGCCCCATCTCTACAAAATAAATATTAAAAAATTAACTGGGTGTGGTGGCATGTACCTGTAGTGCCAGCTACTCTGGAGGCTGAGGCAGAGGATGGCTTGCACCCAGTAGTTTGAGGCTGCAGTGAGCCATGATCCTATCACTGCACTCCAGCTTGAGTGACAGAGTGAGACCCTGTCTCAAAAATATCAAACCAAAACAAACAACAAAAACAACAAAAAACCATGATTAATACAGGCGGGAGTAAGAAAAAAGTTGTTTCTTTGTTTTAACCATTGTAGAAATTCTTGACTTTATATAGTATATAATTAGGATAAAATAAAATTACATTGCATACGCTTTAGGACTTTAATTTGCTAAAATGTACAACATAGATCTAGGTTAAAATTTTTTAAATCCATGCAAACTAACAACTGAAAATACATAGGAAGTGGATTTAACTTAGTTTAATTGTTCCAGAAAGCTGCTGGGAAAGTGATATAAAAACTCAGACTGAAGAATGAGTAGTAGTGGATTTCTGGTTCTGGCCATGCTGGAATAGCTGGTATTGGACTCACTCGTCTGCTCTAAACAGCTATGAAACAGAAAACTACATGAAGGAACTATATCCTGGCATTGAACAATGGAAAGTGGAAGGAGGCACTTCTAAAGAGAAGGGAAGCACAAGCGGTGAGCTCCACATTTACAGCAGCTTTTTATCTGGCAGTGATTCCCGCACAGCGGAGTGAAACCCAAGCAGAGAGAAACCCAAGCAGAGAATGGCGGTCTTGGTGCGTGGAGGAAGCAGACGCTGAGCAGAGGGAGAAGAGAAAGCAGAGATGGCAATTTAGGGCTCCTACGGGGGCTGGAATTTGTTGAGCAGGTTTCTAAAGAAAAAGGAATAGCAGATAAAGAGCCCAGAAATCTATGTAGTTATTCTTCTCAGGTTCTTGGCTGAAAATAAGTTGGGTGTGTACAGGGTAAGCCTCCAGGAGAAACTACAGAGAACAGACGCTGGAGGGCTGAGAGCTGACTAGAAAGTTCAGAAGTCCGAATTCAGAGTTATTGGAGTCTGAGCAAAAGCAGAGAGTTCTCATTAAATAGTCCCAGAATTCTGTTGAGATCCCAGAAAGGCCAAGTTTTAAGAGCAAGGACCATGTTCTACAGAAACTGAAATAGACCCATCCTCTAACGAAGCCTCTATAGGACGAACATAATCTGCCAGGAATTGCCTTCCAAAAAAGAACTGAACACTTTTTAGAGGAAGATATTTAAAAAATCCAGAGTCTCTATCATTTATAATGTTCATTCATAGAATAAAAAATTACCACTTATGGAGGGATAAAAGCAGTCAATAGAAGTAAACCCACAGATGACCCAGATGTTCAAATTAGAGACAAGAACTTTAAAATAACTGTCATAAACGTATCAACGTGGAAACAGTGTACAAATGGTGGGCAAAATGGGAATTTTGAAGACAGTGAAAATGGAAGAGAACCAAGTAAAAATTCTAGATCTAAAAAATACAGTATTTGAAATGGATAATTCATTGAAGGACTTAAAAGCATTCTGGAAACAGTAAGAGAAAGGATCTGTGAACTGAAAGACTGGTCAATCAAAATCATTCAAATTGAAGCTCAGAGGAAAAAAAGAATGGAAAAATGTAAGAAACTGGTGGGATACTGTCACTCAATTTATAACATATAGTTGAGTCCCAGAGGAAGAGAGGAGGAAATATTTTTTTTTAACTTTTAAGTTCTGGGGTACATGTGCAGGCTTGGTACATAGGTAAACTTGTGTCATGGGGGTTTGTTGTACAGATTATTTCATCACCAGGTATTAAGCCTAGTACTCAGTTATTTTTCTGATCCTCTGCCTCTTCCTATCTTCTACCCTCTGATAGGCCCCACTGTGTATTGTTCCCCTCTATGTGTCCATGTGTTCTAATCATTTAGCTCCCACCTATAAGTGAGAACATGTAGCATTTGTTTTTCTGTTCCTGTGCTAGTTTGCTAAGGATAATGGCCTCCAGCTCCATCCATGCCCCTGGAAAGGATATGATCTCCATCTTTTTTATGGCTGCATAGTATTCCATGGTGTATATGTACTACATTTTCTTTATCCAGTCTATCATTGATGGGCTTTCAGGTTGATTCCATGTCTTTGTCCTTGTGAATGGTGCTGCAATGAGCATATACGTGCATGTATTTTTATAACAGAACAATTCATATTCTTTTGGGTATATACCCAGTAATGGGATTGCTGTGTCAAATGGTATTTTTGTTTTTAGGTCTTTGAGGAATCACCACACTGTCTTCCACCATGGTTGAACTTATTTATACTCCCACCAACAGTGTATAAGCATTCCTTTTTCTCTGCAACTTCGTCAGCATCTGTTTTTTTTTTTTTTTTTTTGAGTTTTTAGTAATAGCCATTCTGACTGGTGTGAGATGGTATCTCATTGTGGTTTTGATCTGCATTTCTCTAATGATCAGTGATGTTGAGCTTTTTTTCACATGATTGTTGGCCACATGTGTGTCTTCTTTTGAAAAGTATCCGTTTGTCTGTGCCCTGCCAAACAAAAAGACAGCAGTAACCTCTGCAGACTTAAATGTCCCTGTCTGACAGCTTTGAAGAGAGCAGTGGTTCTCCCAGCACGCAGCTGGAGATCTGAGAACGGGCAGACTGCATCCTCAAGTGGGTCCCTGACCCCTGACCCCCGAGCAGCCTAACTGGGAGGCACTCCCCAGCAGGGGCAGACTGACACCTCACACGGCCGAGTACTCCAACAGACCTGCAGCTGAGGGTCCTGTCTGTTAGAAGGAAAACTAACAGGCCGGGCGCGGTGGCTCACGCCTGTAATCCCAGCACTTTGGGAGGCCGAGGCGGGCGGATCACGAGGTCAGGAGATCGAGACCATCCTGGCTAACACGGTGAAACCCCGTCTCTACTAAAAATACAAAAAATTAGCCGGGCGAGGTGGCGGGCGCCTGTAGTCCCAGCTACTCGGGAGGCTGAGGCAGGAGAATGGCGTGAACCCGGGAGGCGGAGCTTGCAGTGAGCCGAGATCCCGCCACTGCACCCCAGCCTGGGCGACAGTGAGACTCCGTCTCAAAAAAAAAAAAAAAAAGAAGGAAAACTAACAAACAGAAAGGACATCCACACCAAAAACCCATCTGTACATCACCATCATCAAAGGCCGAAAGTAGATAAAACCACAAAGATGGGGAAAAAGCAGAGCAGAAAAACTGGAAACTCTAAAAAACAGAGCGCCTCTCCTCCTCCAAAGGAACGCAGTTCCTCACCAGCCACGGAACAAAGCTGGACGGAGAATGACTTTGACGAGCTGAGAGAAGAAGGCTTCAGACAATCAAATTACTCCGAGCTACGGGAGGACATTCAAACAAAGGCAAAGAAGTTGAAAACTTTGAAAAAAATTTAGAAGAATGTATAACTAGAATAAACAATACAGAGAAGTGCTTAAAGGAGCTGATGGAGCTGAAAACCAAGGCTCGAGAACTACGTGAAGAATGCAGAAGCCTCAGGAGCCGATGCGATCAACTAGAAGAAAAGGTATCAGCAATGGAAGATGAAATGAATGAAATGAAGTGAGAAGGGAAGTTTAGAGAAAAAAGAATAAAAAGAAACGAGCAAAGCCTCCAAGAAATATGGGACTATGTGAAAAGACCAAATCTACGTCTGATTGGTGTACCTGAAAGTGACGGGGAGAATGGAACCAAGTTGGAAAACACTCTGCAGCATATTATCCAGGAGAACTTCCCCAATCTAGCAAGGCAGGCCAACATTCAGATTCAGGAAATACAGAGAATGCCACAAAGATACTCCTTGAGAAGAGCAACTCCAAGACACATAATGGTCAGATTCACCAAAGTTGAAATGAAGGAAAAAATGTTAAGGGCAGCCAGAGAGAAAGGTCGGGTTACCCTCAAAGGGAAGCCCATCAGACTAACAGTGGATCTCTCGGCAGAAACTCTACAAGCCAGAAGAGAGTGGGGGCCAATATTCAACATTCTTAAAGAAAAGAATTTTCAACCCAGAATTTCATATCCAGCCAAACTAAGCTTCATAAGTGAAGAAGAAATAAAACACTTTACAGACAAGCAAATGCTGAGAGATTTTGTCACCACCAGGCCTGCCCTAAAAGAGCTCCTGAAGGAAGTGCTAAACATGGAAAGGAACAACCAGTACCAGCTGCTGCAAAATCATGCCAAAATGTAAAGACCATCGAGGCTAGGAAGAAACTGCATCAACTAACGAGCAAAATAACCAGCTAACATCATAATGACAGGATCAAATTCACACATAACAATATTAACCTTAAATGTAAATGGACTAAATGCTCCAATTAAAAGACACAGACTGGCAAATTGGATAAAGAGTCAAGACCCATCAGTGTGCTGTATTCAGGAAACCCATCTCATGTGCAGAGACACACATAGGCTCAAAATAAAAGGATGGAGGAAGATCTACCAAACAAATGGAAAACAAAAAAAGGCAGGGGTTGCAATCCTAGTCTCTGATAAAACAGACTTTAAACCAACAAAGATCAAAAGAGACAAAGAAGGCCATTACATAATGGTAAAGGGATCAATTCAACAAGAAGAGCTAACTATCCTAAATATATATGCACCCAATACAAGAGCACCCAGTTTCATAAAGCAAGTCCTGAGTGACCTACAAAGAGACTTAGACTCCCACACATTAATAATGGGAAACTTTAACACCCCACTGTCAACATTAGATCAATGAGACAGAAGGTCAACAAGGATACCCAGGAATTGAACTCAGCTCTGCACCAAGCGGACCTAATAGACATCTACAGAACTCTCCACCCCAAATCAACAGAATATACATTTTTTTCAGCACCGTAACACACCTATTCCAAAATTGACCACATAGTTGGAAGTAAAGCTCTCCTCAGCAAATGTAAAAGAACAGAAATTATAACAAACTATTTCTCAGACCACAGTGCAATCAAACTAGAACTCAGGATTAAGAATCTCACTCAAAACCGCTCAACTACATGGAAACTGAACAACCTGCTCCTGAATGACTACTGGGTACATAACAAAATGAAGGCAGAAATAAAGATGTTCTTTGAAACCAACGAGAACAAAGATACAACATACCAGAATCTCTGGGACACATTCAAAGCAGTGTGTAGAGGGAAATTTATAGCACTAAATGCCCACAAGAGAAAGCAGGAAAGATCTAAAATTGACACCCTAACATCACAATTAAAAGAACTAGAAAAGCAAGAGCAAACACATTCAAAAGCTAGCAGAAGGCAAGAAATAACTAAAATCAGAGCAGAACTGAAGGAAATAGAGACACAAAAAACCTTTCAAAAAGTTAATGAATCCAGCAGCTGGTTTTTTGAAAGGATCAACAAAATTGATAGACCGCTAGCAAGACTAATAAAGAAAAAAAGAGAGAAGAATCAAATAGATGCAATAAAAAATGATAAAGGGTATATCACCACCGATCCCACAGAAATACACACTACCATCAGAGAATACTACAAACACCTCTATGCAAATAAACTAGAAAATCTAGAAGAAATGGATAAATTCGTCGGCACATACACTCTCCCAAGACTAAACCAGGAAGAAGTTGAATCTCTGAATAGACCAATAACAGGCTCTGAAATTGTGGCAATAATCAATAGCTTACCAACCAAAAAGAGTCCAGGACCAGATGGATTCACAGCCGAATTCTACCAGAGGTACAAGGAGGAACTGGTACCATTCCTTCTGAAACTATTCCAATAAATAGAAAAAGAGGGAATCCTCCCTAACTCATTTTATGAGGCCAGCATCATCCTGATACCAAAGGCGGGCAGAGACACAACCAAAAAAGAGAATTTTAGACCAATATCCTTGATGAACATTGATGCAAAAATCCTCAATAAAATACTGGCAAACCGAATCCAGCAGCACATCAAAAAGCTTATCCACCATGATCAAGTGGGCTTCATCCCTGGGATGCAAGGCTGGTTCAATATATGCAAATCAATAAATGTAATCCAGCATATAAACAGAACCAAAGACAAAAACCACATGATTATCTCAATAGATGCAGAAAAGGCCTTTGACAAAATTCAACAACCTTTCATGCTAAAAACTCTCAATAAATTAGGTATTGACGTATTTCAAAATAATAAGAGCTATCTATGACAAACCCACAGCCAATATCATACTGAATGGGCAAAAACTGGAAGCATTCCCTTTGAAAACTGGCACAAGACAGGGTTGCCCTCTCTCACCACTCCTATTCAACATAGTGTTGGAAGTTCTGGCCAGGGCAATTAGTCAGGAGAAGGAAATAAAGGGTATTCAATTAGGAAAAGAGGAAGTCAAATTGTCCCTGTTTGCAGACGACATGATTGTATATCTAGAAAACCCCATTGTCTCAGCCCAAAATCTCCTTAAGCTGATAAGCAACTTCAGCAAAGTCTCAGGATACAAAATCAATGTACAAAAATCGCAAGCATTCTTATACACCAATAACAGACAAACAGAGAGCCAAATCATGAGTGAACTCCCATTCACAATTGCTTCAAAGAGAATAAAATACCTAGGAATCCAACTTACAAGGGATGTGAAGGACCTCTTCAAGGAGAACTACAAACTACTGAGCAAGGAAATAAAAGAGGATACAAACAAATGGAAGAATATTCCATGCTCATGGGTAGGAAGAATCAATATCGTGAAAATGGCCATACTGCCCAAGGTAATTTACAGATTCAATGCCATCCCCATCAAGCTACCAATGACTTTCTTCACAGAATTGGAAAAAGCTACTTTAAAGTTCATATGGAACCAAAAAAGAGCCCGCATTGCCAAGTCAATCCTAAGCCAAAAGAACAAAGCTGGAGGCATCACACTACCTGACTTCGAACTATACTACAAGACTACAGTAACCAAAACAGCATGGTACTGGTACCAAAAGAGAGATATAGATCAATGGAACAGAGCAGAGCCCTTAGAAATAACGCCACATATCTACAACTATCTGATCTTTGACAAACCTGAGAAAAACAAGCAATGGGGAAAGGATTCCCTATTTAATAAATGGTGCTGGGAAAACTGGCTAGCCATATGTAGAAAGCTGAAACTGGATCCCTTCCTTACACCTTATACAAAAATCAATTCAAGATGGATTAAAGACTTAAAACGTTAGACCTAAAATCATAAAAACCCTGGAAGAAAACCTAGGCATTACCATTCAGGACATAGGCATGGGCAAGGACTTCATGTCTAAAACACCAAAAGCAATGGCAACAAAAGCCTAAATTGACAAATGGGATCTAATTAAACTAAAGAGCTTCTTGCACAGCAAAAGAAACTACCATCAGAGTGAACAGGCAACCTACAAAATGGGAGAAAATTTTCGCAACCTACTCATCTGACAAAGGGCTAATATCCAGAATCTACAATGAACTCAAACAAATTTACAAGAAAAAAACAACCCCATCAAAAAGTGGGCAAAGGACATGAACAGACACTTCTCAAAAGAAGACATTTATGCAGCCAAAAAACACTTGAAAAAATGCTCTCCATCACTGGCCATCAGAGAAATGCAAATCAAAACCACAATGAGATACCATCTCACACCAGTTAGAATGGCAATCATTAAAAAGTCAGGAAACAACAAGTGCTGGAGAGGATGTGGAGAAATAGGAACACTTTTACACTGCTGGTGGGACTGTAAACTAGTTCAACCATTGTGGAAGTCAGTGTGGCCATTCCTCAGGGATCTAGAACTAGAAATACCATTTGACCCAGCCATCCCATTACTGGGTATATACCCAAAGGACTATAAATCATGCTGCTATAAAGACACATGCACACATATGTTTATTGCGGCATTATTCACAATAGCAAAGACTTGGAACCAACCCAAATGTCGAACAATGATAGACTGGATTAAGAAAATGTGGCACATATACACCATGGAATACTATGCAGCCATAAAAAATGATGAGTTCATGTCCTTTGTAGGGACATGGATGAAATTGGAAATCATCATTCTCAGTAAACTATCGCAAGAACAAAAAACCAAACGCCACATATTCTCACTCATAGGTGGGAATTGAACAATGAGAACACATGGACACAGGAAGGGGAACATCACACTCTGGGGACTGTTGTGGGGTGGGGGGAGGAGGGAGGGATAGCATTGGGAGATATACCTAATGCTAGAGGATGAGTTATTGGGTGCAGTGCACCAGCATGGCACATGTATACATATGTAACTAACCTGCACATTGTGCACATGTACCCCAAAACTTAAAGTATAATAATAATAAATAAATAAATAAATAAATAAAAAGAAAAGTATCCGTTTATGTCCTTTGTCTGCTTTTTAATGGGGTTGTTTGTTTTTTTCTTGTAAATTTGTTTAAGTTCCATATAGATGCTGGATATTAGACCTTTGTTAGATGCATAGTTTGCAAAAATTTTCCCCCATTCTTTAGGTTGTCTGTTTACTCTGTTGATTATTTTGCTGTGCAGAAGCTCTTTAGTTTAATTAGATCCCATTTGTCAATTTTTGCTTTTGTTGAGATTGCTTTTGGTGTCTTCATGATGAAATCTTTGTCCCTGCCTATGTCCTGAATGGTATTGCTTAGGTTGTCTTCCTGGGTTTTTATATTATAGTTTTGGGTTTTACATTTAAATATTTAATCAATCTTGAGTGAATTTTTGTATATGGTATAAGGTAGAGGTCCAGTTTCAATCTTCTGCATATGGCTCGCCAGTTATCCCAGCACCATTTATTGAATAGGGAATCCTTTCCCTATTGGTTGTTTTTGTCAGGTTTGTCAAAGATCAGATAGTTGTAGGTGTGTGGTCTTATTTCTGGGTTCTCTGTTCTGTTCCTTTGGTCTATGTGTCTGTTTTTGTACCAGTACCATGCTGTTTTGGTTACGTAGCCCTGTAGTATAGTTTGAAGTTGGGTAGTGTGATGCCTCTAGCTTTGTTATTTTTGCTTAGGATTGCTTTGGTTATTTGGGCTCTTTTTTGGTTCTATATGAATTTTAAAGTAGTTTTCTCTAGTTCTTTGAAGAATCTCAATGGGGGTTTAATAAGAATAGCATTGAATCTATAAATTTATTTGGGCAGTAATGGCCATTTTAATGATATTGATTCTTTCTATGCATGAGCATGGAATGTTCTACCATTTGTTGTGTCATCCCTGACTTCTTTGAGCAGTGGTTTGTAGTTCTCCTTGTAGAGATCTTTCACCTCTCTAGTTAGCTGTACTCCTAGGTATTTTATTCTTTTTATAGCAGTTGTGAATGGGAGTTCATTCCTGATTCAGTTCTTGGCTTGTTGTTGGTGTATAGGAATGCTAGTGATTTTTGCACATTGATTTTGTATCCTAGGACTTTGCTGAAGTTGTTTATCAGTTTTAGAAGCTTTTGGGGTGAGACTATGGGGTTTTGTAGATGTAGGATTATGTCATCTGCAAACGGATAGTTTGACTTCCTCTGTTCCTATTGGGATACCTTTTATTTCTTTTACTTGCCTGATTGCCCTGGCCAGGATTTCCAATGCTATGTTGACTAGGAGTGGTGAGAGAGGGCATCCTTGTCTTGTGCCAGTTTTTAAGGGGAATAGGGAATTGGTTTGGATTTACATCCATTGTTTTTGAAGCACATCAGCTGAATAAAGTTGAGGTTTGTTAAAAAAAAAAAAAGAGTAGGGAACCATTGCCCATTCAGTGTGATGTTGGCTGTGGGTTTCAACTAGGTATTGAAGGACCATACCTCAGAATAATAATATCTTTCTTATTATTCTGAGGTATGGTCCTTCAATACCTAGTTTATTGAGAGTGTTTGACATGAATGGTATTGAATTTTATTCAATAGCTGCATTATCTGCATCTATTGAGATAATCATGTGGGTTTTGTCTTTAGTTCTGTTTATGCGATTGATCACATTTATTGATTTGTATACGTCAAACCAACCTTGCATCCCAAGGATAAAGCCTACTTGACAGTGGTGGGCAAGCTTTTTGATCTGCTGCTAAATTCAGTTTGCCAGTATTTTGTTGAGGATTTTTGCATCAATGTTCATCAAGGATATTGGCCTAAAGTTTTCTTTTTTGTTGAATCTCTGCCAAGTTTTCATCAGGGTGATGCTGGCCTCATAGAATGAGTTAGGGAGGCGTCCCTTCTGCTCAATTTTGGGGAATAGTTTCAGTAGGAATGGTACTAGCTCTTCTTTGTACATCTGGTAGAATTCAGCTATGAATTCATCTGGTCTTGGGCTTTTTCTGGTTGGTAGGCTATTTATTATTGCTTCAATTTCAGAGCTTGTTATTGGTCTATTCAGGGATTCAGTTTCTTCCTGGTTCAGTCTTGGGAGGGTATATGTGACCATGAATTTATCCATTTCTTGGAGATTTTCTAGTTTATTTGCATAGTGGTGTTCATAATATTCTCTAATGGTTGTTTGTATTTTTGTGGGGTCAGTGGCAATATCCCCCTTGTCGTTTCTGGTTGTCTTTATTTGAATCCAGAAGAGGAAATATTTAAAGAACTAATGACCTAAGTCTTCCCCAAATTGATTAAAAATCCATCCATAGATTCAAGAAACTCAGTGAACCTTAAGTGAGTAAGTACAGAAATGATCACACATATGTACGTCCCATTCAAACTGCTGAAAACAAAAGATAATGAGAAAATCTTAAAGGCAGCCAGAGGAGGGAAAAACACATTACATTCAGATGCACAACAATAAGAATATCAGCTGACTCTCCATCAGAAACAATGTAAATCGGAGGACAAGAGAATGCCAGCTTTAGAATGCTGGGAGGCGGGGAAATTCAGCCTAGATTTCTATATTCAGTGAGAATATACTTCAAAAAGATGGTGAAAGACAAAAGCTGAGAGAATTTGTATCTAGAAGACCTGCATTGTAATAAATATCAAAGAAAGCTTCAGGTTGAAGACAAATGATCCCAGATAGAAGCCCAGATATACAGGAAGGAAGAGCACTAGAAATGGTAAATGAGTGGGTAAAAATACAAGACTATTAAAAAAATTTATCCAAAAGACAATTGAGTTTTATTATTTAAAAACACAATAATGTCAATGAATGATAGGAATTGTAGCATATGTAGAAGTGCAATACATGGCCAGAATAGCACAGAGAATGAGGAGGTGTAAATAGAATTATGCTATTGGACATGGTGGTTTAATTTTAATTCAAGATACATTGTGATATGTGAAAGATCCATATTATAATCCCTACAGCAACCACTAAAAGTTAAACAAAATTGTATTAGGAAGGAAGAAAGGAGAAAGAGAGGGAGGGAGCCAGGGAGAAGGGGGGAAGGAGGGAGGAAGATGAGTGTGGAAACTAAATTAGCATTAAATTTGAGAACTTAGAAAATGACAGTAAAACTTTAGGAAATCAAGAGGAAGAAATTAGTAACAAAAGAAATAAATGAGGTATTTACAACAGTATAGATGTTAAAGAAATGTAACAATACAAAAGCTAATTAGTAATAAAAGTAACACAGTAGGCACAATTCTGGTAAGTCTCATTAAGAAAATTATGCAAAATTTGGAATATAGGTATAAATATGAAGGCAGTTAAAAACTGTAAGAGAATACCATATATAACTCTATGCTAAAAATTTGAAAATATTGATGAAATAGAATATTATATTAGAAAAATATAAATTACATTATGTTTTATCTGTATCTTTTGTAAACTGAATATAGATTTAAAATATCCAGTCTGACAGTCTTTTTATTTTATCTACATCTGTTAGTGTAGTAGTTAATATATGTAATGTTAATGTATGTAACGTTACTGTAGCATCTGTTACATTTTATATAATTATAATATATTTGAGTTTAAATCTATTACCTTCTTTTGTGCTTTCTATTTATCCCAATTGAACCATGGATTATTTTTTTCTTCTTTCCTCTTTTGTCTTCTTTTCTTCATCTCTGGGATTGAGTACGGTTGATGCTTGGACAACACAGGCACTGAGGCACTGACCCCCCTCTGCAGTCAAAACTGACTTCCCCAGTCAGTAGACTACTAATAGTCTACTGTTGACTAGAATTTTTACCAATAACATAAACAGTTGATCGACACATATTTTGTATGTTATGTATTATATACTGTATTCTTACAATAACGCAACTAGAGAAAAGAAAACGTTAAAAAAATCATAGGGAAGAGAAAGCGTATTTACTGTTCATTAAGTGGAAGAGGATCATCATAAAGGTCTTCATTCTTGTCGTTTTCACATTGAGCAGGCTGAGAAAGAAGAGAGGTTGGTCTTGCTGTCTCAAGGGTGGCGGAGGAGGAAGAGGTGGAGGAGGTAGAAGGAGAGGCAGGAGAGGCAGGCACATTGGGTCTAACTTTTATTGAAAAACCATGTGTAAGTGGACGCATGCAGCTCAAACCATGTTGTTCAAGGGTCAACTGTATTTTACAATTTCATTCCATTTTTCTTCTTTCTTGTTTTGGAGATTATACACTACTCTTTTTAAAAATGGCTATCATAGAAATTATGTATGCTTATCAAATCCAATGTTTAACAATATCCTCATCTTTCATCCTTCTCCTGGGAAGAGCAAGGATCTTAGAAACTTTAATTCCATTTATCACCCTCAACTAATATGTTATTATTGTCTCTTTTTTTTGTATTTTTAATTCCCTTGAGTTGTAATTTGTATTTATTTAATATAGTCTATATTTGTTTAGTTTACCTACATATTTGCCACTTTAACTTTTCTTACAGCTCAGATCATCCTCCTGGGGTCAGTTACCTTCTGTCAGAACTATTTATTTAAAATTATTTTTCCTATGAGAGTTAGTTGGTGACATAATGATTTTGTTTGCCTGGTCTTTTTTTTTTTTTTTCTTGTTCTGTAGGGAATTTTTTTTTTAATACTTTAAGTTCTGGGATACATGTGCAGAACGTGCAGGTTTGTTACATAGGTATACACGTGCCATGGTGGTTTGCTGCACCCATCATACCGTCATCTACATTAGGTATTTCTCCTAAGGTTATCCCTCCCTTATCCCCCCACCCCTCGACAGGCCCTGGTGTGTGATGTTCCCCTCCCCTGTGTCCATGTGTTCTCATTGTTCAACTCCCACTTATGAGTGAGAACATGCGGTGTTTGGTTTTCTGTTCTTTTGTTAGTTTGCAGGTCTTTATGTCATTCTCATTTTTGAATGAAATTTTTTTTGAGTATAGAATTGTAAATTTGCAGTTATTTTCTGAAGTATTTCACTATCTCTTAGCTTCCATATTTGTTGAAGAGAAGTCACTTGTCAGTCTGTCACCTTTGAAAATAATGTATCTTCCTCTTTCTGTGTGTGTTATATATTTTTTTCTTCTAATTTCACTCTGATGTGTTTGTATTTGGGTTTCTGTATATTATGTTGGGATTTATTGGCTGCTTAACCTGGATTGATGATGTTCATTAGTTATGAAAAATTATTAGCTAATATTTCTTTCTTTCTTTCTTTCTTTTTTTTTGAGACAGAGTCTTGCTCTGTCACCCAGGCTGGAGTGCAGTGGCACGATCTTGGCTGACTGCAACCTCTGCCTCCCGGGTTCAAGCGATTCTCCTGCCTCAGCCTCCTGAGTAGCTGGGATTACAGGCGTGCGACACCATGCCCGGCTAAATTTTGTATTTTTAGTAAAGATGGGGTTTCACCATGTTGGTCAGGCTGGTCTCGAACTCCTGACCTTGTGATTCACCCACCTCGGCCTCCCAAAGTGCTGGGATTACAGGCATGAGCCACCATGCCTGGCTAGCTATTATTTCTTAAAATAGTGCTTCTCTGCTCCATTTTCTTAATCCTTTATTTCCTTTCCTTGGACTCTGGTTAACTTACGTTAGGTATTCTTACACTATCTTCCATGTCTTTTAACCTATAAAAAATATTTTTCATCACTTTGTCTCTCTGCCCAGCATTCCAAGTAATTCTTCTGATCTTTATTTTATTTTATTACTATTAGTTTTATTGAGACAGGGTCTCCCTCTGTCACCCACACTGGAGTGCAGTGGCGCGATCACGGCTCACTGCAGACTCAACCTTCTGAGCTCAAGTGATCCTCCTATCTCAGCCTCTTGAGTAGCTGGGACTAAAGACGTGCACTACCATGCTTGGCTACTTTTTGTATTTTTTTGTAGAGATGGGATTTTGCCATGTTGCCGAGGCTAGTATCAAACTCCTGGGCTGAAGCAATTCACCCACCTTGGCCTCCCAAAGTGCTGGGATTCCTTAATTCTAGTTCGTTAATTCTCCAAAGCTGCATCAGATTTGTGGTTGAGTTGATATAGTGTTTTTATTCAATTGTTTTAGTTTTCTTTTCTACAAGTTGTTCCTTGTTTAGGTTTGTTAAATCATTTTTAAAGTTTCCTGTGCCAGGAGTATATTTTCAGTTTGGTTTTTGTTCCTTTAAACATAGTAAACATAGCTCTTTAAAATTCCAATATTTAAGGTGTTTTGGGGGTCTATTTTTGCTCTTCTCATTTGTGGCGCTTTGTTTCCATGCTGACTGAGTTATTTTTGACTGTTAACTGCTCATTTTCCTTGGAAAATTATTTGTGGAACTTCTTTGAGGTCTAGGATGAAAGTAGGAGCTCTACGCAAGATTTGTGTTTCTTCTAAGGCAACCGAGCCCACTACCAGTTTGGGACCATTTTCAACTAAATTCCACTTGAGATATTTTAAAAAATATAAGTCGTCCTGTTTATTTGTTTATGTTATGACAAAATATACATAATATAATGTTTACCATGTAAACCATTTTAAGTATCTGGCTCGAAATTTTTTATAAGATTCAGTGACTGTGACTTTAGGCTGCAATTTCACTGAACCGGTTTTTGTTTATAGCTTATTAGGGACCCAACACTCCGTTCTACTCAGCAGTACAACTTTCCTTGCAGCCTTCTGTAGATGTGATGGGAGAAGGGGTTCTCCATTCACTGAAGCCGTAGCCCTTTGGGTTCTCAGCTTTCTGGGAGGATGGTTGGGGAAGGACCCTCTGTTAAATGTATCATGTCTTGTCTTCTCTGTTCTTTGCCTTTCAAGACCATATGAACTGCAGTTTTAGGTCACCTGATTGGGAAGTGCCCTGAGGGCAAATGTAACTTCAGGGTCTAGTTTACTTCTCTGAGTGTCTGTCAATACTTGGAGTTTTATATGATTACTTCTCACCATTTTATTAACCCTGTTTTGCTTTTAAAATGGTATTTTAAATATTTTATTGAGCATTTGTAGTTTTCTACTGTTTCCAATAATCAAGATGCCAAATTGTTGAAAAATGGAGCCTGCCCTCTTAACTAGTCTGCTGGCACACAGGGCTTGCATTCCTTTTTCTCATTTCTTGGGGGAAGACAGTCACTAGCATAACTTTAAGAAGGCTGATATCGGCTCTGATTTCAACCATCAGGAGAAACACTGCAGGAAGGCACCTGGATTCTTAGGAGTGGGGAGGCATGACTTTTTTTCTAATTAGCAATAGTGTACAGATATTAAAGATTACATAATAATGGTACTGTGCTCCAGAGCTCAGGGTTGGGAGAGAGTTTCAAGTTCAGGCAATGGTATATATTTTGTCAAAAAGTTAAAGAACAGAGACTGAAAAGGATATTAGATATTTTTTAGTGTTGGATATTTGGATAACCTGTATTTGGATTATCTGGATTATTTGGATTTCGTATTGGGTAGTTGATTATCTTTGATAGTGTAGTTTCAATAGAGTATTGAGGGTGAACTTTTGTGTAGTGTTAAAAAGAGAATGTAGGTAATGGGTGTTTCCAAAAGATGATAATTGCCGTTAGATATAAGCAAGATCTTCATTTTGTTGATATTAGTATATATGTGACTGTGAGGTTGAAAGTTATAAAGCTAATGACATACAAAAACGTATCACTAGGTATGCAAATAATATTTATTTGCATAATATAGTATGCAATAGTATTTGCATAATAATATTTGCATAATATAGTAATAGTATATTGGATGTATGTGTTCAGAAATATTTAGGCTCAAATTTAATGCTTCTTTTCTTATATATTTTGATATTGAGGTTCCCAGACGTTATGATGATAAGCGGAATAATATTTTATTGGAACTCATACAATATGACAATAGAGAAAAACGTGCTTTCTTGTTAGGGAGTGTTCAGATACATCTTTATGAGGTAATTCAGGTATGTATAAAATGATTTTTTTCACCTTGGTATCACGTTGCCAGTTGGTTGTCCAGTTTGTTGTGATTTATTATACTTGATGGGCTTTTTTTGTTTATTATCTGCCTTCAAATTCATGTGTTTAAGAAATAAAATCTCCTTTTGGCTATATATTTTTTAAAAGAGTTGGCTTATAATAGCATAATGTTTCTAAAAATTTATTTTCCAGCCTGTAATCCCAGCACTTTGGGAGGCCGAGGTGGGCAGATCAACTGAGGTCGGGAGTTCGAGACCAGCCTGACCAACATGGAGAAACCCCATCTCTACTAAAAATACAAAATTAGCTGGACATGGTGGCCCATGCCTGTAATCCCAGCTACCTGGGAGGCTGAGGCAGGAGAATTGCTTGAACCTGGGAGGTGGAGGTTGTGGTGAGCCAAGATTGCACCATTGCACTCCAGCCTGGGCAACAAGAGCAATACTCCGTCTGGAAAAAAAATATTTTCCAGAATATGTATGTGTATATATATATATATATATATATATATATATATATATATATATATACACACATTTTTTTCCAGAATATTTTATATATATATATATATATATATATATATATATATATATATATATATTCCGGAATGTGTGTGTGTATACATATATATATATATATATATATGAAATTAAGTAACCAAAAAACCCACACTTACACTTTTAGGTTGTATCACTAACTAACTTTCTGGAAAATAAATTTTCTTGGCCCACTGCAACATTTGCCTCCCTGGCTCAAGGGATTCTCCTGCCTCAGCCTCCCCACTATCTGGGACTACAGGTACATGCCACTGCACCAGACTGCTTTTTGTGTTTTTAGTAGAGACAGGGTTTTGCTGTGTTGCCCAGGCTGGTCTCGTACTCCTGAGTTCAAATAATCTGCCCGCCTCAGCCTCCCAAAGTGTTGGGATTACAGGCCTGAGCCACTGTGCCTGGCTATTTAAATTTGCAAATAAAAGTTGCATATATTTATCGTGTACAGAATGATGTTTTGAAATATGTATACATTGTAGAATGGCTAAATAAAGTTAAACATGTTTTATTATGTTTCTGAAATGTCTTAAGACATGACTGAAGCTGCAAACTCTGTCTCTTAGTTGGCAATACAAATTTTGGTTTAGTTCTTTCATCCTTAGCTGGGCTGCTTACAGACTTCCTTGTGCATGTGTCTTTTAGAGGTTAGCCAAAGATTTGGGCAGAGTTTATATACAGATTTTATGGTTGCTTCCCTCTTGTTTTCTCCTTTCTAGGAGTCCTTTTCACTTTCCGGCAGCTCATTTTGTGGTTGTGTTGAACTCAGAGTCAAGAACTTACTGATTGGTGAATAAGTATAAACAATCTAAAGTATTTTCAGGAATGTTTTTTGTTACATACAGCAAGGAAGTCTTCAAAGACTAATGGGGTTATGTCAACAGCCAGATTGCAGGGACTCCTATTGCCCAACTTCAGAATAACTTGAACATAGATTATTGCAACATTCTGAATAAAGGAAAATTCGTGACTCCTTGGTGATCTTCAAAAAAGAGAAGAAAAGATGTGGCATAGGAAGAAAAAGGAAAATTTTAAAACAAAAGAATACCAGTTTATGAATGTAGAAGTAATGAAAGAATTACAAATTATTGTTTTTGCAACTCTTTGTAATGAATAATGATTAATTCAGTCAATATTTAGCAATGGCACTAAAAACCATTAGGTAAAAGTTTATTGGGAAGCAAGATATTTGCATGGTGCCGTAGTAACAGCGCAGGGGAAATGTTACTCTACAATAGACAGATGTGGTAGTTGCCACTTTAACCAAGAGCTCGAATTTAGCATAATGAATTGTGGATAACTTAACATCATGTACTTCCTGTAGTGATACAATGTGAAGTACACAGTATTATCTATGACTTATCGTCATCAAAAATGTTTAACCTGGCTGGGTGCAGTGGCTCAGGCCTGTAATCCTAGCACTTTAGGAGACTAAGGTGGGAGAGTTGTTGAGGCCAGTAGTTGGAGACCAGTCTGGCAACATAGCAAGACCCTGTCTCTACACACATAGAATTAGCCAGGTGTGGTGGCATGTGCCTGTAGTCCAAGTGACTTGGGAGGTTGAGGCAGAAGGGTCGATTGAGCCCAGGAGTTCGAGACTGCAGTGAGCTATGATCGTGCTACTGCACTCCAGCCTGGGTGACAGAGCAAGACCCTGTCTCAAAAAAAAAAAAAAAAGAAAAAGAAAGAAGTGTAACCCAAATCTAATCAAGCTGAGTGTAGAACTAACTTCAAGTTTACGGGAATTTAGTGAGTAGGGGAAAATGTTAAACAATACCTTAAGATAAGTACAGAAATGGGACATACCAGTGTAGATTCTTTAAATAGCTTTGGTCATTAAAAAAAAAACCAAAACGCACCAAAGATGGAAGGAACTATTCTAGATTTAAAGAGATACAACACATTTGACTGAATACAGATTCGAAAAAGTTGTAAAAGACTCTTGGGAGCCAGGCTTGGTGGTTCACACCTGTAATTCCAGGACTTTGGGAGGCTGAGGGAGGTGGATTGCTTTAGCCCAGGAGTTTGAGACCAGCCTGGGGAACATGGTGAAACCCTTTCTCTAAAAACAAAACAAAACAGCAAAACAAAAACAAAACCCACAAAAAAACACCCACAAAAAATTAGCCAGGCATGGTGACACCTGCCTGTAGTACCAGCTGCATGGGGGGCTGAGGCAGGAAAATCACCTGAGCCCAGTGAGGTCGAGGCTGCAGTGAGCCATGATTGCACCACTGCACCCCAGCCTGGGCAACAGAGTGAGACCCTGTCTCAAAAAATAAAACATAAACATAAATAAAAGACATTCTTGGGACAATTAGGAAAATTTAATAAATATTTACTGAATATTAGAAAAAATTCTAGAATTGTTAATTTTCTTGGGTATAATACTGATATTGTGGATATATATGTATGAATTTTCTTATTTTTACAGTATCCAAGGTAAACATTGGGAGTGAAGAGTAATGATGATTGCAACTTATAAATAGATCAGCAAACATATCTATACACACACAGAGATTTTAAAAAATGGCATACTGTTAAATCAGATAAATTTCTAATACATAGAAAGAGATGAAGAAGGATAAACATATGGAGTAATGAATAAGTGTAAGCAACCAGAGATTCTCAAAAATATTTTGGGAGAAGATCTTTGGAAATGACTAAAGTTCCTTTGACTGTATGGCAATTTAGGCATCAAAAAATGTGACATTACTTATTAGTTAATTTTTGTTGAAGAAAATGTAGAAGCTTAGATACTTAGACTAGAAGCATATATGCAAACTTTTCAATATTTATTTTTATAAGATCATGAATAATATGCTAATATTTTAAAATACAAAGGTAAATTTTTTAAAATTCAGAAATCACCCATCATTCCACAATTCTAATATAACATTTCATTGTTCAGAGTTTCTTTCCAATTCATTCTTATAAACATAAACAGAAAAATAGAAAATATAAAAAGACCCAAATACATATTCTGGAACTGAAAAGTAAAATATCTGAAATTAAAAATTTGCTGAATGGGCTCAACAGCAGAATGGAGGTGCTAGAGGTTTTCTTATTACTTCCGTTAAAATTTGTGTGACTATTTAAAGTAAAAATTATAACATGATCTGTGCGGTTTATAATGTTTGGAGAGGTAATGCATATGACAACCACAGCATATAGCATAGGGAGAAGATGAGGTCTAAAGGACTTTTATAATGCAAGGTTTTTGCATTTTCTCTGTTTTATTATAATAAAAATAGAGTTCAAGTCTTTATGTTGCTGCTTGATGCCATCTTCTGTCTCCTCCCTCTCCCTCAAGAAAAAATGATTATCCAAAACTTTGTATTTATTATTCCCTTATTTTTCATAGCTTTACTACTTATGTATGATTATAGAAATATTATATTTCTAAATGTAGTATGTTTCTAATATTAATACACTTAGCTAGTGTTAATTTTTTGCTGCTGCATACAATTCCATATGGGTGTATTCCTCTGTTTGCCCATAAATTAATTTTTTAGCTGATCATTTATTTTTACTTGATAAATACAGTATATATTTATGGGGTACAATGTGATGTTTTGATCTATGTATACACTGAAAAAGATTCAATCAAACCAATTAATATTTCCATCACCTCACCAACTTATCTTTTTTTATAATGAGGATGATGAAAATCTATTTTATTCAGCAGTTTTGAAATATACAATACGTTACTATTAACCAGGCAGTGCAGGAGATCACTAGAACCTGCTCCTCCAGTCTAACTTTATACACATCTTCCCTTTCTCCATTCCTACCCCTACTCCCCAGCCTCTGGTAACCACCTTTCTACTGTTTCTATGAGATTGACTTTTTTAGGTTCCACAGATAAGTGAGATCATACAGTGTTTGTCTTTCTGTGCCTGGCTTATTTCACTTAGAATAAAATTCTCCAGTTTTATCCATGTCACAAATGACAGAATTTCCTTTTATTTTAAAGCTGCATAGTATTCCATTGCATGTATGTATATACAGCACATATTCATCTGTTCATTTGGTGATGAACACTAGGTTGCTTCCATATCTTGGCTATCGTGCTGACATGAGTGCAGATATCTCTTTGACATACTGATTTCAATCCCTTTAAATGTATACTCGAAGTGAGATTGCTGGATCATATAGTAATGATATTTTTAATTTTTTGAGGAACACCCATAGTATTTTCCAGAATGTCTGTACGGGTTAAATATCACTTATCTGAAAAAGCCTGGGACCAGAGGCATTTTGGACTTCTAATTTTTTTTTGATGTTGGAATATTTGCATATACATAATGAGATAGCTTGAGGATGGGACCCAAGTCTAAACATGAAGTTCATTTATGTTTCATATACATCTTATATACATAGGCTGGTGGTAATTTTATACAATATTTTAAATAATTTTGTGCATGAAACAAAGTCTTCATTGTATATTGATTGTGGCTTGTCTGTCACATAGGCCAAGTATGGAGTTTTTTTACTTCTGTGTCATTTTGGCACTCAAAAAGTTTCTGGAAAATTGTGGACCTACTCATTACAGCAGAGATGACTATAGATATTGAGCAGGGATACCAAAGGTTAACGTGGTTTAAAAGATCCAGCCATCCCTGAGAGATGCGAGAAGTACTCAGTCCTATCGGGACTCAGCTTATCATATAGAATTATGTTTAAGTAACCCCTCTCTTAGGAGGGTGCAAGGTTAGAGGTAACCAGGCCCATGCATGTTTGTGTCTTTCCACAATGTCAGGCTTTTATTAATGCTATTTCAATCACAAAAGCCACAAGCTACATGGAGTTCCCAAGGAGCCAGTTCTCCTTAAGTACCTCCCGTTCACTCCGCGTGCCGTGGGCACACAGGCTCAAGCCACTCCACAAGTCAGTCAATATTGCAAACATACATAATAGTACACTTAGTATGTAAACATTACATTCCACAACAAAGTAACATTTAATATCAAGAGGAAAAAGAAATAGGAGAAAAGGTTAACGAACTGGCCTATGGGGAGCAAAGAAGACAAAAGGAGCCCTGGTCTGGGCTGGGCAGTCCATTGGTCTTGCAAGGAAGAGTCTGAGGTTGCAGAACCTTCAGTGGCAGAAGTCAAGTTCTTATCACAAGTGACTGTAAGATGGTGTCAGTTAAGATGGCTGTTTCGAGCTGCTGAAAGCCTAATCTTTTATAGTCACAGAGTCCTCTGCTGAAAACAGTGGAAGAGTATGCTTGTTTCTGTCCTTATCTGGTTGAACATAGTCTTTATTTTTTTATTTATGCCTTAAACAAAACATCTTATCCTTGTTGGCAAAGTGCCCTACGAAATATAAAATGGAGTCTTTTTCTAAGATGGAGTTAGTTATGGCAAGGATGCTCGATACACCCTCAAAAACAATGTGGGCATGGCAGTTCCTTTAAGACTTTCAAAAAGGGGAACTGTAACTTAGCAGGAACATTTTTGTCTACAACATAATAAAAATACATTTATTTCTGTTACTTGAACTTGGAATTTTTATTTTCTTCTTTTGAACATTCCTTATGTTTGTACTTTGGCTATTAGGTTCATATGTGCATTTGAAAAATTATTACCTGATTTGTGGTTTAGGTCATTGGTCCCCAATCTTTTTGGCACCAGGGACTGGTTTTGTGGAAGCAAATTTTTCCACAGACCAGCATGGGGAGGGTGGGTCGAGATGGTTCAAGTGCATTACATTTATTGTGCACTTTATTTCTATTATTATTACATGGTAATATATAATGAAATAATTATACAACTCATCAGAACGTAGAATCAGTGGGAGCCCTGAGCTTGGTTTCCTGCAACTAGACAGTCCCATCTGGGGACGATGGGAGGCAGTGACAGATAATCAGGCATTAGATTCTCATAAGGAGCATGCAACCTAGATCCCTTGCATGCATAGTTCACAATAGGTTTTGTGCTCTGATGAGAATCTAATGCCCCCACTGATCTGGCAGGAGGTGAAGCTCAGGCGGTAATGTGAGTGATGAGAAGTGGCTGTAAATACAGATGAAGCTTTGCTCGCTTGCCCACCACTCATTTCCTGCTGTGCAGCCCAGTTCCTAATGGGCCATGGACCAGCACCAGTCCATGGCCTAGGGGTTGGGGACCCTTGGTTTCGATAATATACAGGGAAATACATGGGTAATTCTATATTTAAAATTTTTATTTTTTTTTCTAGAAAGGGTGCTTCATTGAAGAGGTCCAAGTGTTGCATGGAAACATAGTAAGGACTTTACTGAAACTTCCTAAGTTTTATGTGCATGTAATATATTCTTAACATTTCATGTAACTTTACTCTGATATTATTTGTAGCCTACATGTTTTTATTCTTTTAGTTACCATACCAGTCACTGTTTGAAATAGTAGAAATGTATGAAATAGAAAGTACAATATTAACTAACAAAAATCTCCTCCTTCTCCTCCTCCTCTTCCTCCTCTTCTTCTTCTTCTTCTTTTTTTTTTTTTTTTTTGCTAAATGGTGATAAAGAAAATTAGAAATCATTGGGTAAGAGAGTAGAATGCCTCTGGCTGCTGCCTTGACATGCATAGCCTCAGGAGCCTCACTTGCTAAATTGAGGAAGTATTATTTTTCTCTCTGGAGCGTTTCTAAAGAGTTGTTTGCAGTTCTTAATTTAATTTCTTTTTAAGTGCTTAAAATTAGTAGTTGGATTAATTGATCTTTCTATTCAGAGAGGCTTTTGCTGCCAGTGGCCAAAACAGGGGCTAGGAACATAAAAAACAGAAAGATGGACACTTGACTTTATTACCTCTCATGCCCTCCTTTATCAACCTGGGTTTCAGAGAAGTGAAATCACTTGTCTAAATCAAAATTTTATCTGAAACTGGGACTGGAGGTGAGAGGAGTGTGAGTAAATAATTAAAAATATACATACATGAATGTATATTTGTATATTCATACACATGTTTGAATCACGTGTATATATGTATGTCAGCATCTCAGTGTAATCCCAGTAACAATTAGAAGTTGATATTTTCCATATTTTAATTGTATAATACTACTTAACTTTAACATAAAGGGTTTTAACATTTCAGGAACTCAATAAATTCTTCTGTAGGAGTTCCTTGTGTAAACGCTTTTTTAAAAGTCAGGAGATTCATACTTTGGCTTTTCTAACTTACAGATTTGTAAGGTAAAAATATCACTTTTTGTCCCTTCTCCATTAAAATATCATCCTGATCAAACAATAAAATTTATCACATGTTTAGTTTGTCTGCAGGCTGGAGGTGGAATTTATGTTCTCCTATGGAAACTTTGGTTATGGATTTTCACATCAGGTTAGTTCCCCTCTTTTAAAAGATTATTCTGTTGTAACTCTTCAGTCAAATCGTCCTCTTCTGAGGCTCTATTTCAGTTTGAACAATTGTTTAAAATAAATATTTTTAAAAGATGCTTCTTTACCTCCCGACTTTGAGGTATGTGGGCTTCTCTTCAGCCTAAAGAAAGATGAGACTTTACTATGATTTGTTTATACATTTTAAAGCAATGATATTTTATTCAAAATGTCTTTATTATAAAACTTGATTTTAGGCTAGGTGTAGTGGCTCACACCCATAATCCCAACACTTTGGGAGGCCGAGGTGGGTGAATCACCTGAGGCTGGGAGTTCGAGACCAGCCTGGCCAACATGGTGAAACCCCATCTCTACTAAAAATACAAAAATTAGCCAGGCATGGTGGCAGGCGCCTGTAATCCCAGCTACTTGGGAGGCTGGGGCAGGAGAATCGCTTGAACCTGGGAGGCGGGAGTTGTAGTGAGCCAAGATCACACCACAGCACTCCAGCCTGGGCGATAGACTGAGACTCTGTCTCAAAAAAAAATAAAATAAAACTTGCTTTTATTTGTGTGTACACATACATGTTGATGTAATTTGAAACACAAGTATTCAAGAAATCAGTGTGGATTTCTGCATCTAAAAATAGTTTTTAAAAATTGAGTAATTGCCTGGCCTGGTGGCTCACACCTGTAATCCTAGCTACTCTGGAGGCTGAAGCCGGAGGATCACTTGAGTCAGCCTGGGCAATATAGTGAGATCCTGCCCTGAGAAAACAAAATGGAGTAATTGATCTAATTCAGATAATATTTTGTACTCATATGGTCCTTTCCTCCACAGTTATTTCAACATCTGGTGCTATTTGAACTCTCCTTGATTCATCAAGAGACTAATAAACCCAAAGAAGATATCTTCCTAATTTTGACTTCCTCCTTTAAATTCACTACCATAGGTCCACATTGCCACAAATACTTTTATGTACTAACTTATATCCTTTTCTCTCATTATATCCTTAGGCCAGATTCCTAGAAAGGAAATTCTTGTCCAAAACAATGACCTTTTCAAGGAATTATTCTAGAAAAGTTGTACCAATATATACTCTCATCAAATATTGAAAGAACTCTTAATATTCCTGGGTGTCACCAGTTTTGTGGTATTCAAAAATGCAGTCCTCTTAGTGCTGCTGTTATATAGGGGAAATGACCTTTATTTGCATATCATTTTTCACTTTCAGTTTTTCCTTTCTAAAGTTTTGGGTCTTTTTAAATTAGGAATTGAGAGTGAAGACATCAGCCTTATTTAACAAGTCTACCGCTGTGTTAACTGAGAAATCTCTGTAATATGTTTTAAAATTGTGCCTATATTATGTTATAATGATGTTTAATACATTTTGAATCAGAAGTAATATACAGATGAAAGCCACAAGGAACAAGCTTTTTTTTTCCCTTCTCTGCTTTGATTTTTTACTTTTTCTTCTGTTATTTTTTAAATTTCTTATTGTAATTAGGCCTTATAGGGACCCCTAATTGTTTACTCCTTTTGTGACAGTTATAGCTTATGAGCACCAACTCCGGAGGTAGGTTTTGTGTCTGAACACAAGTATAATATATAGTAATAGCCATTTTTAAGGAGAGATATTCTTTTCAGATAAAACTGGGCAAGTATTATTTTATGTAGGTGGAATCTACTAAAAACCAGGAACAAAGGAATTGTATGGAAAAGAATAGGATATATAATAAAAGTTCAAAATAAAAACTTGATTTTATGTCTGTGAACTTTTCAGTGATATTGTCCCCTACTTAACCTATCGTGATACTGTAAACAGGGCACTACATTGGGGGCAGATAAAGCTACATTCAAGTCCTGACTCTTGCCTACTGTGTAGCCTTGAACAAATTACTGATCTTCAGTATCATCTGTAGAATATGCTTAGTTACTTACCGTATAGGTTTATTGAGATGGTTAAATAAGATTAAAAGTATAATAAAATGCTTGGCAAATATTTAGTACCCAATAAATGTTAGTGTCTTCTTTCCTCTCTTAATTCCTTATTTCCTTACATGTCTCATTTAAGGCCTATTTCATAGTCCTGGGGTATTCATAGCATTATGGTATCAATATGGTATGGTATTACAATTAGTGAGTTTTAATTGAAACTAAACAGTGCTAAAATACACTTACATTTTTTTCAGTTAAAACCTCTTCAGAAAATTACTGAGCCATCCATGTTTATGAATCTTGCACCACCTCCAGAAAGAACAGATCCCGTGACGTAAGTGTTTTAAGTCTCGTTAATATGGTCAGATCATGTGGCACTTAAAACAATTTTAATCCATTTGGTGGAGCATTTTGGTGGAGTTATTTTAAGAAGTCCCCAGGACATGGCCAGGATGGGGTAGACTCTGAGGTGAAGAGAGTAGTGAATTGTTTTGCTTAATAACAGGGAGAAATTTTGAATTTCTGGATATAGCCCTGGATAGAGGAGTTGAGGACGTATGGAGATAAAAGAAGAGAAGGAGTGCCAAGTTCATGGCTGAAGGAGGGAAGGGAGGAGTAGCTTAATAAGGAAAGCAGGCCAAGGAGATACCCCTTTTGGGAAAAGAGGTGAGAGACTTAACATAAGACTGTCTGATAGTTATCAGTTTTCTGCTCTGCGGTATAGTAATGTTACCCTTACCTCTACACCACTCCAATTGCTACAAAATCATCTGTAAAAAGTCTATGGTAAAACAAATGTCATTAGCAAACCAAAAGTAACTTAAAATATAGTATGCTAATCAATCTTGAAATTTCAACAATAAAAATAGATTATAGAAAAATGAGCACCTGAGAAAGAGATTTAATCTATGGTGTTATCCAAGAATAAGAAATGGAAAAAAGCTGAAATGGGATTGAGGGAATTAGGTGTTGAACGGGAAATTGTGCTCTGAAGTGCTTATTTTCCCGTAGTCTCACCAACACTGGATATTATCATTAAAATACTTTATCTATTTGATATTGGTGATTTGTTGAAATAGTAAAGCTGAACTTTTTCTTATGTTTACCTTTCTTCTTCATACATTTATTAAATAAACATTTATTGAATGTCTGCTATATCCCCAAGTCATGGCAAATACAAAGACATCTGAGGCCTTCTCCTTGCCCTTGAGTAGCTCGTGGTTTAATGCAAAATAACATAAAAAATAATTACTATGATGATGCCAATGGAATAAAAGCCCTTCAAGAGCCAAACATAAAGAACTGTGGGATGCCAAGGAGCTTCTAATTCTTGTCAGGGAAGTTGGGGAGGAAAGAATGATCAAGTAAGGCTCCACAAAAGAAAGTGCTTGGAGTGAGACTTGTAAAAGTGGTAGTAGTGCATCTGGCTGATTTTGGAGGAGTGAGGGGACACATTCTCTTGATAGAGCACAGAAGTAAAAGCAGGGAGCCATAAGAGACTCTATTATGTTAGAGAACAGTCTTTAGTTGAGAGTGGCTAAGAGATGGAGCAAGGAGGAGAGCAATGAGGGATGAGCTAGAGGAGTTGGCAGGGGCAAGATACGGTGATTGAGAGTTCAGGCCCTAGAGCCAGACTGCATGGGCTCACATCCTATATGACCTTGGGCAAGTTACTTAGGCTCTTTATGCTTCATTTGTTGAATGGGATAAAAATTAAAACTACCCAATTGAGTTACTATAATGATTAAATAAGTTACATGTAAAGTACTTAGAACATGGGAGCAAATAGCAAAATGCCTAATTAGTTGTTACCTATTTATAAAATTAATAAATATTTTTCATTACCATCATCATCATTGTAGGTTTATGCTTCTCAAATGTGAGCAAATTTTACTCCTTTGGGTTCTCAGGAATGTACTCCATATATACTCCAAAAGAACTATTTGAGTTTTTAAATTTATATAGACAGAAATCTGGAGAACATGTATAGGGATGGATATTAAGGGCAGGGGATGATGGTGGAAGGAACATAAAGTTGGATCAGGCTGAGTTTATTGATATGGACTTACTAAACAGAGATTATTTTTATTTATTTATTTTTTTGGAGACAGGGTCTTGTTCTGTTGCCTAGGCAACAGATCATGGCTCACTGCAGCCTTGACCTCTTGAGGCTCAATCAATCCTCCCTCCTCAGCCTCCCAAGTAGCTGGAAATACAGGCATTTGTTACCACGTTTGGCTAATTTTTGTATTTTTTGTAGAGACAGGGTTTTGCCATGTTGCCCAGGCTGGTCTCGAACTCCTGCGCTCAAGTGATCCACCACTTCAGACTCCGAAAGTGCTGGGATTGCAGGTGTGAGCCACTGCAGCTGGCCTAAGCAGACATTTTTGCATTTAATGCTGTAGCTTGGGGAGTTAGAAAGGGCTCTCATAGCTTGTTTACTTGAATGACTGAAAAAGGAACCAAAAGACGGCTCACAGTGAATTAGCTAGAAATGCTCGATTAATGTAGAGGAAGGGTTTTAGAGGCTCAGAGAAATTATGTTAGAGTGGACTTGCCATTTAAGATTGACTCACCCATCCTGGGAGGGTCCAGAAGACACACGTTTTACCATGACTATGAGAAATGAGTTTGTGAAGGGTATCCTGGCATCCTTGGAGAGCTCTGTGATTGCTCTTCCCTGTGGGCCAGACTTTACAGTGGCACCTGCAGTCACTGAATTGGGAAACTTAAATGCAATGGGAGTAATTGGGTCCCAGGGTGGCAGGAACCAAGTGAAGATACTCAACTACCAAAGGCAAGGTGGGCATGGTTACCATAATGGACAGTAGAATCAAAGAAGCAATCAGAATAGTCTTGCTAGTATAAACCTGTGGTGTTGGCTGTCTGATCATGTGTTCCTAGACATGAGTAGATAGGAAGCCTACTAAATTCTAACCTCATCTGTATAAGCAGAAAAGTTCTGGGTCGAGGGAACAAAAGTCTAACCTGCATCATAAAAACAGAGTCATGGCCTCTCAATCAATTCCCAGACTTGAGCTACTTTACAGACTCAGAACTCCTTTAATGAAAGGGAGGTCCTTCAAGGAAGGACCCTAGTATACTTCCAAAAATTTATGCTGTTAGTATTTCTCCCAGCCTTCCCCAAAGGGACCTATGGCCTTTTACCGTGGTATTTGTGCACTGGGGAGAAGGGAACAATCAGAGCTTTTGGGGACTACTAGACACTGTCTCTGAACTAACACTAATTCCAGAGGACTCTGAATGTCACTGTGATCCATCAATGAGTAAGGATTTATGGAGCTCAACTGATCAGTAGAGTTTTGGCTAAGGTCCATCTCACAGTTGGCTCTGTGGGTCCCTGAACATATCCAGTGGTTATTTCCCTGGTTCTAGGATGCATAATTGGAATAGATATTCTCAGTAACTGGCAGAATCATTGCTTTCCTGATCTGTGGAATGAAGGCTTTTATTTTGGGAAAGGCCAAGAAGACGCCATAGAACTCCCTCCATCTATGAAAGTAGTAAACTGAAAGCAATACTGCATGGAGGAATTGCAGAGATTAGTGCCACCATCAGGGACCTGAAAAACA
The DNA here is from genome assembly GCF_000001405.40 of Homo sapiens. Classification (NCBI taxonomy): domain Eukaryota; kingdom Metazoa; phylum Chordata; class Mammalia; order Primates; family Hominidae; genus Homo; species Homo sapiens. The sequence goes on along the minus strand of NC_000002.12, from coordinate 201,568,681 downwards.
CAGGAATGGCGATTCCTACCACATCTCCATTTAACTCCCATATTTGGCCTGTGAAGAAGACAGATGGATATTAGAGAATCACAGTGGATTCTTGTGAGCTTAGCCAAGTGACAACTTCAATTGCAGCTGCTATACTAGATGTGGTTTCATTGTTTGAGCAAATTAACATATCCCCTGGTATCTGATGTGCAGCTACAGATCTGGCAAATGCTTATTTCTCCATACCTGCTAATAAAGACCATCAGGAGCAGTTTGCTTTTGGCTGACAAGGTGAGCAATACACCTTCACTGTCCTAACTTAGGGGTATATCAGCTTTCTAGCCCTACATTACAATTTAGTTCCCAGGGATCTTGATTGCCTTTTTCTTCCACAAAATAGCAGACTGGTCCGTTTTATTGATGACATGCTGATTGGACTTGGTGAGCAAGAAGTAGCAACTACTCTAGACTTACTGATAAGACATTTTTGTGTCAGAGAGTGGGAAATAAATATGACAAAAATTCAAGGGCCTTCTACCTCAGTGAAATTTCTAGGGGTCCATGGTATGGGTGGTGACATCCTGTATACAGTGAAGGATGGGTTGTTGCATCTGGCTTCTCCTACAACAAAAAAGAGATACAACACCTGGAGAAATAACCACAGCTGGGCCTCTTTGGATTTTGGAGGTAATCTGTTCCTCCTTTGGGTGTGTTATTCTGGCCCATTTACTGGATGACTCAAAAAGCTGCCAGTTTTGAGTGGGGCCCAGAACAAGAGAAGGCTCTGCAACAGGTCCAGGCTGCCATGCAAGCTGCTCTGCCATTTGGATCATATCATGCAACAGATCTAATGACGTGTTAGCGGCAGCCATAAGGTACCTAGCTATTGGTCAAAAATTGTTCTGAGAGGAGGGTGTTTATGATGAGATTCACTTTTAAACTGGCACACTGAGTAAAGCAGGTTGCTCTCCCTAGTGTGGGTGGGCCTTATCCAACAAGTTGAATGAAACAAAAAGATTGACTCACCCTGGGGTAAGAGAGAATTCCTCCCGCCTATCTTTGAACTGGGACATTAACTTTTCCCTGCCTTTGGACTCAAACTGAAACATCAGCTCTTCTGGATCTCCAGCCTACCAGCCTTTGGACTGGAACTACACTATTGGCTCTCCTGATTCTCAGGCCTTTGAACTCAGTCTAAAATTATACCTTTGGCTCTCCTGGGTCTCCAGCTTGCTGATTAACTTTGCAGATCTTGGGACTTCTCAGCCTCCATAATCACATGAGCCAATTGCTTATCATAAATATATTTATGTATATATACATCCTATTGGTTCTCTTTTTATGGACAACCCTGACTAATATAATGGAAGAGAGGAACAAACTAATTCGTAAAATATTTAGAATGTTTAGCTATATCTCCTGTAATTAGGAAGTGACTGGAGATGGAAGATGACAGAAGGGGAAAGGAGGAAAAAAGATGTTCACATTTAGGGACCACTGGGTATACATTTGTTGCTGTTATTTCCTGAACCAGGGAACACTTAAGAAAGAGCATATCTGGAGAAGGGGAAAATCGTGAGTTCTATTTTGGACATGTTGAGTTTAAGGTGCTTACCACTATGCATAGTATAGAATAGAGTTTAAGAATCTAAACTTTATTGTCAAAGAGACTGTGTTCAAATGTTAGCTTTGCCACTTACCAGCTGTAAGACCTTGGGAGGAGTTGTTTAATCTTTCTAACACTAGCTTTCTTATATATGAAATAGGATCTAATAATTCTCATCTGATGGGCTTGCTGTGAAAAGTGAATGAGGTAATATACATAGCCATATGAACATTGCACCTAGCACAAAATACATTCCAAAAAATTAATAGATTTTAAAAATAAAATATTAAACTAGTTCAACCATTGTGGAAGACAGTGTGGTGATTCCTCAGGGATCTAGAACTAGAAACACCATTTGACCCAGCCATCCCAATACTGGGTATATACCCAAAGGATTATAAATCATGCTGCTGTAAAGACACATGCACACGTATGTTTATTGCGGCACTATTCACAATAGCAAGACTTGGAACTAACCCAAATGTCCATCAATGATAGACTGGATTAAGAAAATGTGGCACATATACACCATGGAATACTATGCAGCCATAAAAAAGGATGAGTTCATGTCCTTTGCAGGGACATGGGTGAAGCTGGAAACCTTCATTCTGAGCAAACTATCGCAAGGACAAAAAACCAAACACTGCATGTTGTCACTCATAGGTGGGAATTGAACAATGAGAACACTTGGACACAGAATGGGGAACATCACACACTGGGGCCTGTGAGGGGTGGGGGGAGGGGGGAGGGAGAGCATTAGGAGATATACCTAATGTAAATGACGAGTTAATGGGTGCAGCACACAACATGGCACATGTATACATATGTAACAAACCTGAACATTGTGCACATATACCCTAGAACTTAAAGTATAATAATAAAAAAAAAAAGAAATTTAAAAAAAGAGTTAGAGATTTGGGTCTAAAGATTTGGAGAGAGGTCTGGGCTCAAATACTTTGTACTTCTCATTAGAACTTGAGGCCCTTCTGTCCTTTTCCATCCCTGCTGCCTATGATCTAAGTTTAGTAGTAAGGATAATCAAGAGAGCACTTATCTCTAGATTTGTGGCTCTTGGCTTTTTTCCTAGCTCTAGCCTTCGATGGCCCAAGGTGGCTAGGTGAGCTAAAAGTGTAAAAGAGAAGGGTTCAAAAGTGATAGCTGCCACTGATTTTGGAAGTGGACTTTTGTATAATTTCAATATTTCACTTTATTATTATTTTGCAGAAAAGTTATTACACCACAGACAGTAGAATATCCAGCATTCTTATCCCCAGACCTGAATGTTACTGTTGGGACTCCAGCTGTGCAATCCTCCAACCAGCCATCTGTAGTGCGACTTGAAAAACTTCAGCAACAACCCCGGGAAAGGTAAAAAAAAAAAAAAAAAAAAATTCAAAAGAGCTCAAAATTTTCATCTTAGGTGTTATTTGTATAATATATTAATTTCTCCCTTTGAGACATAGGCTTGCTATAGGCTCAGAAACTTTCATTATGGTGCCGTTGTTTCATGGGTTCAGAGATTATTTCTGATTTTTACTTGTCAATTTAGGTATCTTGTTTGAAAAAGTGTTATGCCAAAGAAAGAGGTGAAAACTCCCTTTATTTTTATTTTTTGAAACAGTGTCTCACTCTGTCACCCAGCTTGGCCCAGATTGGAGTGTAGTGGCACGATTATGCTCACTGCAGCCCCAAACTCTTGGGCTCAAGCAATCTTCCAGCCTCAGCCTCCCAAGAAGCAGGGACTACAGACACATCACACATCACCACACCTGGCTAATTTTTTTTTTTTTTTGAGACGAGGCCTTGCTCTGTTGACCAGTCTGGTCTCGAACTCCTGGCCTCAAGTGATCCTCCAGTCTCAGCCTCCGAAAGTGCTGGGATTTCATTGTGCCTAGCTGAGGTGAAAACTCATTTATGAGGGATAAAGCATAATTCTTGCTGTCTCCTCATTCACCAGTGTATTTCGTAGGTCTCGTGCTTTTTTTTTTCTTTCTGTATTTCTTGTCCTTTTTTTTGCTATGCTTCAGTCTGGGTATTTTCTTCTGACTTATATTCTAGTTCACAGGCTCTTTCTTGTTTCTATTCTGCCATTAAATCAATTGAATTCTTAATTTCAGTTATTTTATTTCTCGACTATGGAATTTCCCTTCATTTTTATAGTTTCTATTTATCTGCCACAATCCACAGCCTTGTCTTTTAATTCTTTGAACATATTTATTATTGTCTCGGTCAGCTCAGGCTGCTATAACAAATACCATAGATTGAATGGTTTGAACAATAGACTTTTATTTATTACAGTTCTGGAGGCTGGGACATCCAAGATTAAGGTGCCAACTGATTTGATTCCTGCTGAGGGCCCTCTTCCTGGTTTGCAAATGGCCTTCTATTTACCATATCCTCACACTGTGGAGGGAGATCATCTCTCTCATGTCTCTTATCATAAGAGTACCAATCCCATTCATGAGGGCTCTACCCTCATGACCCAGTTACCTCCCAAAGGCCCTTCCTCCAAATAGCATCACATAAGGGATTAGGATTTCAACATATGAATTTTGGGGTATGTACACTTTCAGTTTATAGCAATCATTGCTATTTTAAAATCCAAGTCTGACCATTTCATTATCTGGATCTTCTGTGAGTCTATTTAAATTATTGGTTTTTTTCTCTTAGTTTTCAGTCAGTTCTTACATTCTCACATGCTTAGTTGTTTTGACTGAGTGCCAGACATTGTACTTGAAAATTTATAGAACTAATTTGAGGAGCTTAATTTTAATTACATATACCTACAGAGAAAGTATACATTTGTATCTGGCAGCCAGCTGGGCTAGGAGCACTAACAATCCCAGATCACTTTAATTCAATTAAGATTGAAATTGAAATGATTTGAAGCTGGGCTTTAGTTCTTGTGAGGGGGGTTAGTCTCTTTGTGGTTTATTCTTACTCCTAGAGTCAGGACTGGGACTAGTGTGAGGCACATGAGGTAACTTAGGTCATAACATTTGAAGAGACACTCATTCTCTTTTGGGGTCCCAACCGGGTGTTTTCCAGGACTTCTCATCCCAACAAGCCCTGGACTCTGGTTTTTGTTCTCACATCGTTGTATTTCTATCTCAAAGCTCTGCTCAGCTTTTTAACTTCTTGGCCATCTCAAGGCATAAATGCCTTGAAGGAAAAATGGCACCAAATGATGGGCTCCATGTCTCTGGACTTCCTTTCTGTCTGGAATCTTGGGTGTGCAAATCCTTGCTGTCTTTATAACTCACTGATTCTTTCCAACACGATTTAGACAGTGTTTTGTCCAGCTTTTACAGTTGTGCAGTGAGATGATTGGTCTGAAATAACCTAGCTCAGAATTACAGTGATCATTTTAAAGATCATAGTATCTTTTCTGAAAGAACTTAGAGTATAATGAGTAGAGACATAAAAAAGCAAAACAAGTAAATTATAAATTAAGAAATAAACTACAAAGGTATCAAAAAGATGGTAGAAAATAAAGGAGTTGACTGATTTTTATAAGAATTATTCCCCGTCCAGGAGGTGAGGGGTGCCTCTGCCCGGCCGCCCCTACTGGGAAGTGAGGAGCCCCTCTGCCCGGCCAGCCGCCCCGTCCGGGAGGGAGGTGGGGGGTCAGCCCCCCGCCCGGCCAGCCGCCCCGTCCGGGAGGGAGGTGAGGGGGTCAGCCCCCCGCCCGGCCAGCCGCCCCGTCCGGGAGGGAGGTGGGGGGGTCAAGCCCCCCGCCCGGCCAGCCGCCCAGTCCGGGAGGGAGGTGGGGGGGTCAGCCCCCCGCCCGGCCAGCCGCCCCGTCCGGGAGGTGAGGGGCGCCTCTGCCCGGCCGCCCCTACTGGGAAGTGAGGAGCCCCTCTGCCCAGCCAGCCGCCCAGTCCGGGAGGGAGGTGGGGGGTCAGCCCCCGCCCGGCCAGCCGCCCCGTCCGGGAGGGAGGTGGGGGGTCAGCCCCCCGCCCGGCCAGCCGCCCCATCCGGGAGGTGAGGGGCGCCTCTGCCCGGCCGCCCCTACTGGGAGGTGAGGAGCCCCTCTGCCCGGCCACCACCCCGTCTGGGAGGTGTGCCCAACAGCTCATTGAGAACGGGCCAGGATGACAATGGCGGCTTTGTGGAATAGAAAGGGGGGAAAGGTGGGGAAAAGATTGAGAAATCGGATGGTTGCGGTGTCTGTGTAGAAAGAAGTAGACATGGGAGACTTTTCATTTTGTTCTGTACTAAGAAAAATTCTTCTGCCTTGGGATCCTGTTGATCTGTGACCTTACCCCCAACCCTGTGCTCTCTGAAACATGTGCTGTGTCCACTCAGGGTTAAATGGATTAAGGGCGGTGCAAGATGTGCTTTGTTAAACAGATGCTTGAAGGCAGCATGCTCGTTAAGAGTCATCACCACTCCCTAATCTCAAGTACCCAGGGACACAAACGCTGCGGAAGGCTGCAGGGTCCTCTGCCTAGGAAAACCAGAGACCTTTGTTCACTTGTTTATCTGCTGACCTTCCCTCCACTATTGTCCTATGACCCTGCCAAATCCCCCTCTGTGAGAAACACCCAAGAATGATCAATAAAAAAAATAAATAAATAAATAAATAAATAAAGAATTATTAGAGAAGGGGCCGGGCGTGGTGGCTCACGCCTGTAGTCCCAGCACTTTGGGAGGCTGAGGCGGGTGGATCACGAGGTCAGGAGATTGAGACCATCCTGGTTAACACAGTGAAACCCCATCTCTACTAAAAATACAAAAAATTAGCCGGGCGTGGTGGTGGGCGCCTGTAGTCCCACCTACTCGGGAGGCTGAGGGAGGAGAATCGCTTGAACCCAAGAGGGGGAGGTTTCAGTGAGCCGAGATCGCGCCACTGCACTCCAGCCTGGGAGACAGTGCAAGACTCCATCTCAAAAAAAAAAAAAAAAAAGAATTATTAGAGAAGATATTTGAGGTAACATTAAAGGAAAGGAGTCAGCATACCAAAGATCCAGGGGTAGAGAATTACTGTATGAATTTGTATGAAAGCTCTAAGATAAGAAGAGATTATGCCTAGAAAAAGATGGCAGCCATTTGTAAATGGACCAAAAAGTAAGGGGGAAGGTGGCTTGAGACAAGATAGGTGGAGACCAGATTATTCAGAGCCTTATAGACCATAATTTGAATTTTATTATAAGAAAAGTAGGAGGCTGTTGTAGGTGTTTTATATTATCTTTTTTTTTTTCCTTTTCTTTCCTTTTTTTTGAGATGGAGTCTCACTCTGTCACCCAGGCGGGAGTGCAGTGGCGTGATCTTGGCTCACTGCAACCTCTGCCTCCCGAGTTCAAGAGATTCTCTTGCCTCAGCCTCCCGAGTAGCTGGGACTACAGGCATGTGCCACCATGCCCGGCTAATTTTTTTGTACTTTTAGTGGAGATGGGGTTTCACCATGTTGGTCAGGCTGGTCTCGAACTTCTGACCTCAAATGATCCACGTGCCTTGACCTTCCAAAGTGTTGGGATTACAGGCGTGAGCCACCAAGCCCAGCCTATATTATCTTTTAAATATAATATTTGATCCAAAATAATAATCCATAATACTAATTATGTATAGAATAATATAATGCTACCAACCAGTTCTTAACCTAACCTAAAACATTATGGATAATTTGTATCTACTTATGAGTTTCTCTCCTATCTCATCCTCCTGCCTGTTTCCCAGAAGTTAACTACTTCAATGAGTTTTGATTTTATTTTTTGCCTTTTGAAAATTAATTTTTTTAAAAAAGTCGTATATGTAGGATGCTTAAATAATGCATTATTTGATTTTGCTTACATTACCCACCATTATGTTTCTAAGACTCATCTATGCTGTTTCATGGCATTCCATTTGGTGAATATGCTGCAATTTTCATTTGTTTACTAATAGTCATTGGTTGTATTCTCTTCCTATTGCTGCATAACAAATTATCACAAACTTAGTTGTTTAAAACAATATCTATGTATTTTCTTACGGTAGGTCAGAAGTCTGGGAAGAGTGTAATTGAATTCATGAGGCTGGCCGGGCGTGGTGGCTCACGCCTGTAATTCCAGCATTTTGGGAGGCCGAGGCGGGCCGATCATGAGGTCAGGAGTTTGAGACCAACCTGGCCAACATGGTGAAAACTTGTCTCTACTAAAAATTCAAAAATTAGCCAGGCGTGGTGGCGGGCACCTGTAATCCCAGCTACTCAGGAGCCTGAGGCAGGAGAATCGTTGGAACCTGGGAGGCAGAGGTTGCAGTGAGCTGAGATCATGCCACTGCACTCCAGCCTGGGCGACAGAACAAGACTCTGTCTCAAAAAAAAAAAAAGAGAGATTTCACAAGGCTGAAATATAGGTGTTGGTCAGCGCATTCTCATTTAGCGGGGTCCTCTTCCAAGTTTGTTCAGGTTGTTTGAAGAATTCAGTTTCTTGTGATTATAGGAGCTTCTCTTCTTCTGGAACTCTCATAATGTGATAATTTGTTTGTTTAACAGTGTCCCGTAAGTCCTGTAGCCTTTCTTTATTCTATTCTTTTTCATCTGCCCGTATTATTTCAATAGACCTTCTTTTAAGTTCAGAAACTATTTCTTCTGCGTGGCCTGGTCTCTATTGTACATTTCATTATTATTATTGTTGTTGTTGTTGTTATTATTATTATTATTATTATTATTATTATTATTATTATTATTATTTGAGACAGAGTCTTGCTCTGTTGCCCAGGCTGGAGTGCAGTGGTACTATCTCGGCTCACTGCAACCTCCACCTCCTGGGTTCAAGGAGTTCTCGTGCCTCAGCCTCCGAGTAGCTGGAATTACAGATGTGAGCCACCAAGCCTAATTTTTGTATTTTTACTAGAGACAGGGTTTCGCCTTATTGGCCAGCATGGTCTTGAACTCCTGATCTCAAATGATCCACTCACCTTGGCCTCCCAAAGTGCTGGGATTACAGGTGTGAGCCACCGTACCTGGCCCACAATTTTACATTTTATTTCAGTCATTGAATTCTTCAGCTCTAGAATGTCCGTTTGGTTCTTTTTATATCTATTTATTTGTTGAATTTATCATTTAAATCATGAATTGTTTTCCTGATTTAATTGTCTGTCTGTATTCTCTTATATCTCGCTGAGTTTCCTTAAGATCATTATTTTTAATTTTTTTCTGACATTTCATGTATTTCCTTATGATCGGGGTCTGTTACTGGAGAATTATTGTTTTTATTGAAGGTGACGTTTCCTTGCTTTTTCCTGATTCATGTGTCCCTACATTGATTTCTATGCATCTGATGGAAAAGTCACCTCTTTCAGTCGTATGTAGTAGATTTCCCAGGGAAATATTTGTATGAATATTGTATGACATCTTGGGATATCAGATTGGCGGGGCACATTGGCCCGGTTCTAGGTGGATCCAGTAGTTTAGTCTTCACATAGTTTTTTCGGCTATAATCTATATTAGTGGCATTTGCAAGTTTCTCAGTAGCCTAGGCTGAGAGAGTCTGTAGAGGTGGTGGTGTGACTTTGTCAGGGATGGTCTCACTGGGCTGTTTCTTAAATGGGTGGCATGCAGTGGCTTGTCTGACCTGGGAGTATTCCTGCCCAGAGCAACTTGTGGGGCTGTTTCATAGGCGTCAGATGTGGGCACACAGCTGTTCAGCTGGCCTGGAATCCTATCTGCCAGGGGCAGCCCGTAGGGATGTTTCTTGGGCCTGAGATGTGGGGGCACAGCTGCTTTGCTGGCCTGGTGATGTGTCTGCTGGGGGCTGCCCACAGGGCCATTTCACAGGTCTGGGATGCAGGTGCAAAGCTGCTCAGGGGCATGGCCACTGGAGGTAGCCTGAGGAGCTGTTTCTCAGGTCCTGGACATGGGCTCTTGGCTGCTTGCCCAGCCTGGGGACATGCCTGTCAGGGGCAGCCTGCAAGATGGTTTCTCTGGCCCTTATTGGGGGTACAGGGCCATTGGGCAAGCCAGGGGTGCTACGGGGCTGTTTCTCAGGTCCTGAGCATGGGTGCATAGCCACCCTGTTGGCCCAGGGATATATCAGCTGCTCTGAGGCTCAAGAGTCTCTTCGGCTTGGGGGCATGCAGCAGTTTGGCCAGCTTAAGGACAGGTTCACCCTGGGTGAGAGTGGCAGTTTCAGTTCCTCCAGCTGGAAGTATGGTGGCTGGGGTTGGTTTCCCTGCTGTGCAGGACCATAGTCACAGCTAGTACTAGACCCAGGCTCTGTGCAACTGGGGTGTAGTGTTCAGTCACCTATGTGGGTTTGGAGGTGTAATGAAGATGGCGCTCCAGTGCTGGAGAGGTGCAGTGGCCACTGTCCCCCAGAGGAGGGTGCGCTTCAAGATGGCACTGTGCTGTAGCAGCTTGGCTCACAGAGGTGGATCTGGGGGCAGCGGGGAGCATACCTTGCGTTCCTAATCCAGGGCAATGCAGCTATGTGAATTCCCAGCATCTCTTAACACTGTACTCAAGGCCTGTGAGGACTATGGGGTTCTGCTGTAGAAAGGATTGTTGATATTTGTGGTGGCAATGGGGGCTGGTGGGGATATTCTGCTAACCTTTTCCCAACAATGGGAAGTCCCTCCTGTGTCCAGGCTGATCTGATCCAGACAGAGGAGACAGGGCAGCAGAGGCTGTTTGCCTTCACACTGCCCTCCTGGACTTCCAGTCACCGCAGGTGTGTCTCCATTCCCCTGCTGCATGCCAGTGCTGTCCCTTTGACATTCCAGTCAAATCTTAGTTGTTTATTCAGTGCATTGGTCCTTTCCTGTGGGAGTGATAAGTGCCAGGCATCTCTAGTCAGCTATCTTGCTGGCATCATGGCTTGAAAAACCTGTATGAGTAGTGGGAGATAATACTAAGACAGTTGTAGATAAAAAATCCAGGGAAAATGCTACCAGTTGTTAAACATTTAGCGAATTAATTAGGAGGAGGTTGTTTTCACTGATATTTATTAAAGTTTAAAAGTGAAGTCGTCCTAGGTATGCAAAGGAAATAATTCAAATGCAATAGACAGTTGCTAGGGAGGTGGCGATAAGTGTAATTAAAAGCGCTCAGGTTATGATGTGTTAGCAATTTTGATATTTAAATCCTTGGGGTAGAAGCCTGTAAGAAAAGGCATACATGTAAATGTGAGGCTTACAGTAATAAGCAAAAAAGTGGTGAAGAGTGTAGCTCTAAAGAGGCCTCCTATTTTTTTAATATCCTGGTCATCATTAAGGTTATGAATGATGGATCTGGAGCATATAAACAGCATAGCTTTGAAGAATGCATGTGTACAGATATGGAGAAATGCTAGATGTGGTTGATTAATACCAATAGTGACCTAGTTGGCTTGATGTGGAAAATGTGACCTTTTTGATGTCATTTTGTGTTAGGGCACAAATTGCTGAGAATAAAGTGTTAACAGCACCTAAGCATATTGTTAGTGTTTTAATTGTTTTGTTGTTTTCTATGAGTAGGTGAAAAGCAGATTAATAGGAAAATCCTGCTACAACTTCTGTGCTGGAATGGAGTAGGTCTGAGACAGGTGCTGGGCCTTCTATTGTTGATGGTAATCATAAATGAAGGCCAAATTGGACAGATTAGCCAGTTGTTTCCAGAAGGAGCCCAATTAATGGAAAGATATAGGGTTGGGGTTGAGCATGAAAATTTGATGAAACTCCCATGTGTCTTAGAATAGTAAAAATTGTGCTATTGATAATAGAAATCTGATATCTCCAATGCAATATATAAAATAGCTTGGAGGGATGCTATACTTGCATCCCCTCTGCTGTATCATCATTTGATAAGTAAAAATGATATAATTCTCACCCCTTCTCATCCAATAGAGTTGCCAGTTGTCAGAGGTTGTTGGCAGTAACTGAAATTTGTATAAGGATGAGAAATATAAGTAAATATTTTAAAAATCAATGTTTGAATTTAAATTTATGTATCATATTGAAAATGCTATGATTGATCATGTAACAGAAAGTGCCACTGGTACAGATATTATTGAGAAATAATGTAACTTGAAGCTGAGTGTTAGTTTTAAGGTTTGAATAGTTACTTGGGTTATTTCTTGGCCTAGTAAATGTATATTAGAGCTGGAATGAGACTGGTTATAAAAGCATATGATGTAGAAGTTTTTACATAGTGAGGGTATGAAATATCTTTATATGTGTTGGTAATAGTTATGATAATTTCTAAAATTAAGATAAGTGAAATGGTGATAAAGGAAGAGAATAAACATATTACTTTTTTCTTTTTTTGCTTTTATTTATTTTTATTATTTATTTATTTATTATTTATATTTTTTAGACAGAGTCTCACTCTGTCACCCAGGCTGGTGTGCAGTGGTGCGAACTTGGCTCACTATAACTTCTGCCTCCCAGGTTCAAGCAATTCTCCTGCCTCAGCCTCTAGAGTAGCTGGAATTACAGGTGTGCACCACCATACCCTGCTAATTTTTGTATTTTTAGTAGAGACAGGGTTTCACCATGTTGGCCAGGCTGCTCTCAAACTCCTAACCTCAGGTGATCTGCCTGCCTTGGGCTCTCAAAGTGCTGGGATTACAGATGTGAGCCAAACACTTACTACTTTTTTGGAGTTGCATCTTTTTTTTTTTTTTCTTTTTGAAGTGGAGTCTTGCTTTGTCGCCCAGGCTGGAGTCAATGGCGTGATCTCGGCTCACTGCAAGCTCCGCCTCCCGGGTTCACGCCATTCTTCTGCCTCAGCCTCTCGAGTAGCTGGGACTACAGGCGCCCGCCACCACCCCTGGCTAATTTTTTGTGTTCTTAGTAGAGACGGGGTTTCACCGTGTTAGCCAGGATGGTCTCGATCTCCTGACCTCGTGATCCGCCCTCTTCGGCCTCTCAAAGTGCTGGGATTACAGGCGTAAGCCACTGCACCCGGCCTGAAGTTGCATCATTTTTTTGGTCCCTAAAACCAATGGATTACTTGTATCCTTTAAAAGTTGATAAAGCCATATTGTTATATTAATATATGGGGGCATTATTAGCAGTTATCGCATACTTTCTCAGTAAATAAAGAGTTTTAAGCTTCTATTGTTTTATTTATAATCTGAATTTTTTTAAAAACAGTATGTAGGTCCTAGAATAATTTTGTCATTAAGTGATAGGAGTAGCAGAGGTAGATGTATAAAGCATTTTCTAATGTGAGTGATGGCTAATTTATTAATGTGATTGGTAAATTTTCCTTGTTGCATTGTAATTAATATGCAGAGGGAATATTAGGCTATAATTAATATATTAAGTCCTATTAATAATAATGGTAAAATTAAATCATGAAAATGGTGCTGTGACTACACATAGTTCTCTGATTAGGTTGATGGTTGGTGGTAGGGCTAGATTGGTTAGGCTAGCTAATACTCATCATGTTGTTATTAAAGGGAGTAATGTCTGCAGTCCTTGAATGAAGAGCATATTTCAGCTATAAATTCATTCATAATTTGAGTTTGTGATGAAGAATAGTATGGATGAGGTGAGGGCATGGGCAATTATTAGGGTTATGGCTCCTATAAAAATTCGTTGAGCTTGGATGAAAATGGCTATAAATGTTAGTGCTATATGATTTATGGATGAATATGTGATAAGTGATTGTTTTTATTGAGACAGAGTCTCGCTGTGTCTCCCAGGCTGGAATGAAATGGCACGATCTTGGCTTCCTGCAACCTCTGCCTCCTGGCTTCAAGCTATTCTTGTGCCTCAGCCTCCTGAGTAGCTGGGATTACAGGCATGCGCTACCATGCCTGGCTAATTTTTGTATTTTTAGTAGAGATGGGATTTTGCCACGTTGGCCAGGCTGGTCTTGAACTCCTGGCCTCAAGTGATCCATCCACTTCGGCTTCCCAAAGTGCTGGGATTACAGGCGTGAGCCACCAAGCCTGACTGTGATAAGTGATTTTAAGTCTATTTGGTGTAAACAAATAGAGTGTGTTATAATTATTCATCACGGGGATACTATATGAAATGGATAAGCTATATATTCCATTAGTGGGTTTGGAATTATAGTAATTCGTATTATATTAAAGCCTGCTAATTTTATGGCTGCAAAAACTGTGGATTCAGCAATTGGAGTTTCTGTGTGTACTTTGTTAGTCAGAGATAGAAACTATAAAGGGGTATTTTGACCATAAATGCTATAATGCATGCTAATCATAAAAGACTATTATGTCAAGAGCTGAGTTTGAACACAGTAACAGGTTATTAAAAAGTGTAATGAGTATGTGGAGTTTTGGATAAAAATTAATGATACGAGTTGAGGTAAAAAACCAATTAGTGTGTAGAACAGGAAATAGAGCCCTGGATTTAATCATTCTCTTTTGTTTCCTTATCAGAGAATAATAATTAGAGTTGGAATTAGTGTTGCTTCAAAGAGAATGTAAAATAGATTTAGTTCTGTGGCAGTAAATGTTATGATTAAGAATAAATGTAGAAAGATTAATATTGAAATATGTAGCTTTTTCATATATATGATTCTTTGGAGAGATGATGTTAACTTGCTATAATTATTAGGGGAAGTAATCAATTTGTTAGTATAATGAAATGGAGGCTGATAGTGAGTTGGAGAAAAAAACTAATGAAAAGTTTAGGTTATTTTTACTAAATTGGCTTAAGAGGAATAATTTGATGAAACTAATTAGTAAGCAGTGCATAGTTGTGTGAATTCAAATTTTAGAATTTTTAGAATATCGTGTCACTGGCATAAGTATAATTGTGGGTACAATAATTGCTAGCATTGGAGAAGATTTGAGTTTTATATGTAATCTGAGCCATATGTACTAGATACCATTGTTAGTAATGCCAGGCCTATGGCAGCCTCACAGGCTGCAGATACTAGTAAAATGATAGGTATTATGGTGGATAAGAAAAAGCATATATTTAAAATTACAGGGCTTCCTAGAATAGTGATAGTATTATATGTTTTAAACATAGTAATGGAGATATTAGGTGTGATCCCATTATACTAGTAGTCCTGTTAGGGATGTGATGTAAACTAGAATGATACTGATATAAATTGAAAGCATATTGGTAATTATGCTTACCATATGAGTCAGAATTATTTGTTGTAATTTAAACTTGTTGCCATACTTAAGTCACTCATTCTAGTCCATCTTGGATTCATTCATAAGCTTAGGCCTAAGTCTAGAATGCAGTTTAAAATTAGAGCTATAGTAAGAATAACTTTTGGATTACTTGAGATGCTCATGGTAGTAGTAATAGGAGGGAAATTTCTAGGTTGAATAGAAATGTAATAGTTAATACAAAAAATTTTCTGGAAATGGCAGGCAGACAGTGCCTATTAGATCAAATCCACATTTGTATGAGCTTGATTTTTCTGTATAGATGTTTAGTTGTGGGAAGCAGAATGTGATGATTACAAGTAGTCGTGCTAATGATGTATTAGTTGCTAAAGTTAATGTAAGGTTAATTATTATTTTCCAGCTTAGACTGAAGCTAACTGATTGGAAGTCAGTTGTACAGTTAATACTAAAAGAATAGGAACTTCATCAATAGACAGAAATGTACAGAAATAGTAATTACATCTGTAAAATATCATTATTAGGTAACTTGGTTACCTAAAAACTTTGGTTTTGAAAACCAAAATGGTGGTTAAATGTTAAGTTGACATAAGAAGAAAAGGATAAGGAAGTTGGAGCTGATAATTACATGTAGTCATTGGAAGCCTGTTACTATGAAGAATATTGAGTCATTTACACCATCACAGATGGTAAAGGATGTTTTGAAGTGTTCTAAGATTTGTAATAATATAAAAGAAATGCCAGATGAAATTGTGATGAAGAGAGCTTGAAGTATATGTTTGCGGATTTCTTCTATTAAGCTATGGTGTACTTGGGTGATTGATACTCCTGAGGCTAACAGGACTGATGTATTGAGTAGTTAAACTTCTAGGAGAATAAGTGGGTGAATACCTGTTGGTGGTCAGCAACCTCCCAGTTCTGGGGTCGGGGCTAGGCTTGAGTGATAGAAGGCTCAGAAAAAAACATGTGATATGATAAATTATTCTGTATTAGAGGCATTTTTGAATGATTAATGTATGGAGGCCTTGCAGTGCACTTTCTCAGCTATCTCATCATCACTGGTAGACGGTTAATATATTAGTTAGTAGACCTACACATAATAAAATAATCAAGTTAAAGTGAAATAATATTACTAAGATGTCATGAATAGAGTTAATAATATTCCTGTACGTGGTCAGGAGCTAGGATTAACTATATGGTCAGTGTAGGACTATTGGGTCATATAGTAAAGACTATCCAGGAGTGTGGAATCATAAGCTTGAATTGGGGCTACAGCAAATTCAAGAAGAGTGAGTAAAATTACATTTATAAAGATGATAAATGTAATTGAGGCTGTTGCAAAGATAATGTTAATAGAGTTAAATCTTGAACAATGGAAGGTTAGGGTTGCCACCCCCTACCCATGCAGTGGAAAATCCATATATAACTTTTGACTCCCTTACAACTTAACTACTAATAGCCTACTGTTGACTGGAAGCCCCACCAATAACATAAACAGTCAGCAAATATTTCATGTTTTACAAAAAGTGCAAAGTTTTTGCACCTGCTGGTGTGGTTTCAGCAATGGCTTCATGAATTTTTCTTTCTTCTTTTCTTTAACAATAGTCCTTATGCTGGATTCATTTATCTTGAAATGGTGGGCAACCTCAATCTATGGTACATATCAAGCAACTCAACTTATTCTTGTAATGTCATAATTTTTCTCTGTTTCTTAGGAGCACTTCTAGCATCACTAGTGGCACTTCGTACAGGTCCCATGGTGTTATTCAAGGTTTACACTGCGAAGCTCAATGAAAAATATACAAGGGCTGGGCGCAGTGGCTCACACCTGTAATCCCAGCACTTTGGGAGGAGAGGATCCCTGAGTTCTGGAGTTTGAGACCAGCCTGGGCAACATGGTGAAACCTCATGTCACAAAAAATACAAAACTTAGCCAGGCGTGGCATGCACCTGTAGTTACTCAAGGCTGAGGTGGGAGAAGTACTTGGGCCTGGGGGGTGGAGCCGAGATCACACGGGGCCGAGATCGCACCACTGCATTCCAGCCTGGGCAACAGAACTAGACTGTGTCCCAAAAAAGAAAAAAAAAAGAAAGAAACAAAGAAAAGAGAAAGAAAGAAACAAGAAAGAAAAATACACAAGAACCACGAGAGATCACTTTTTTTTTTTTTTTTAGACGGAGTTTCCCTCTTGTTGGCCAGGCTGAAGTGCGATGGTGCGATCTCAGCTCACTGCAACCTCCGGCTCCCGGGTTAAAGCGATTCTCCTGCCTCAGCCTCCTGAGTAGCTGGGATTACAGGCATGCACCACCATGCCCGGCTAATATTTTTTGTATTTTTAGTAGAGACGGGGTTTCTCCATGTTGGTGAGGCTAGTCGAGAGATCACTTTTTACAATGACATGCATTTATTTACTGGAGAGACGTCTCACGCAGAGTTGATTAGTGTCACATGGCATTAAAAGTGAATACTCACAATGCCTGAGCTCTCTGCTATAGCAAGAATAGGTGACTACAAAATTATTACAGTAGTACAGTATGAACTACAGTTAATTTATGCAGTTATGATTTAATACAGTATCTTTACATTTGTTTGCATTTCTCTCAATTGCAAATGGCACCATGTATAATCTCTATGTGCATGAGTTTTACATTTTATAATAAATCTGTGTATATTTTATGGTAGTAAATGATAAAATAGAGTAGTACTTTATAATAGACTAGTACTTTAAAATAGTAGTACTTTAAAATAGACTAGTACTTTATAATAAATGTCTATGTGCATACATTTTAAATTTTATAATAAATCTGTGTATATTTTATGGTAGTAAATGATAAAATAGACTAGTACATATATTTTATGCATTCATGATATACTAACTGAAACATTTTTAAAAAAATATTTCTAGGCTATGCAGCTTATCTGTGAGTTTTTTCAAATTGTAACTAATCTCAAACAATTTTCCAATATATTTATTGAAAGAAATCCACATATAGGTGGACGTGCACAGTTCAAGCTCATGTTGCTCAAGAATCAACTGTGCTAATGTGGCTCCACCAATTAAATGCATGAATGGACAGCTGTAATACTGGCTGTTAGTGGTAGAGCTGCAGCCACTATGGGTTGAGTAAAAAGTCTCAATAATTACTAGTAGAGGGATAAGTGGAATGGGTTTTCCTTGTGGTAGGAAGTGGGCCAGTGTTGCTTTTGTTTTGTGGTGGAAACCAGTAGTTACTGTTCCTGCTCATAGTGGGATAACCATACCTAGATATATTGATAATGGGGTGATTGGTGTAGATGAATGACTTAATGATCCGAATAAATTTGTTGAGCCAATGAAAATAGGATAAAGGAGATTAATATTAGAAATCAAGTTTGTTGTTTTATATTATGGAATGTTATCACTTGCTTTAATACAAGTTACACTAATCATTGTATAGAGATTAGTCGATTACTAATTAGGCAATTGGGAGCAGGGAATAGAATGGGAGTGAAATGATGAGGATACTAGGTGGTCCTATTATTGTGGGAGTAATGAAAGAGATAAATAAATTTTCATTCACTTTTTTTCTTAGGGGTTTCATGTTTTGGTGCTTCAATATTTTTTGGTGACAGGTTTAAAGAGTAGGTATATTTTGAAATTTTTAATTGAAATAGGCTAAATAGGGCTAGAATTATTGAAAAAAGTGATAAATTATGTTGATGTAGCTAATTGTGGCATATTGTTGTGGAAAGATCAATGCTTTCATTCTTTAACTTAAAAGGTTAATGCCACTTAGCTTCACGATGACATAGGTGCCGATCAGTTTTTGCAGCACTAATTCAAGTACAATAGGCGTAAAGCTGTGATTTGATCCACAAATTTCTGAGCATTGTCCATAGTATAGGCCTGGTCATGTGGATGTTAGAGTTGCTTGATTTAAACATCCTGGAATTTAATCTGTTTTTAGGCCTAATGATGGAACAGCTTATGGATGTAATACATCTTTGAATGAGATTAATATGAAAATTGACATTTCCATAAGTAGGACTACTCGAATTATCAACTTCTAGTGGTCATAAATCTCCTGGTTTAAGGTCTGTTGTAGGGATTATATAAGAATCAAACTTCAGGTCTTTGTAGTCTGTATATTTATACCTAAATATCATTGGTAGCCTATGGTTTTTACAGTTGGGGAAGAGATACTCATTTTACCTATCATGTATAGGATTCATAAAGACAGTAAAGTAATTAGGATTAAAATAATAGCGAGTAAGATAATTCATACTGTTTCTACTTCTTAAGCATCTATTTTGTGTGGGTTAGTTTAGTTGTTAGTATTAATGAAATAACATAAAGGACTAAAGAGCTAATTAAGAAAACGATTATTACAGTGTGATTTTGTAAGTGTAGTTCTTCTATAATAGATGATGCTGCATCTTGAAAGCCTGACTGGAATAGGTATGCCACAAAGATATAAAGAATTTTAACCTATAAATTAACTTTGACAAAGTTATGTAACATTTTTACTAGTATCTTGCTTGTTGAAAAAGTCATAATGGTTATGAAGCTAGCCTGAAACCAGTTATAGGGGGTTTGACTCCTTGCTTTCTTATTTTTAGCTTCTACGTATATGGGCTTTTTGATTGTATAATATGGTTATGGGTGGCCATGAAATCATTCGAAATTTTTAGATGAGAGTTCCACCACTGACACTTCCCATTTTGAAGTGAAGCCTTCTCAGATTATGAAAATTATTAATATTAATGTTATTAATTAAATAAATGAGCCTGTTGATGAAATGGTGTTTCATGTTGTATATACATTAGGGCAGTGACCTGTAGTGGACCAGAAGTGTAAGGTCTTACACTTTAGTTTCTGAAAAAAATACTTAAAATATTATTTTGAACTCATAGATTTAAACATTTGATAGGCTGCAATCCATTGCAGGTTTTAATCTTTGTTAAAGTGTATTGGTCTATTTTATGTGACATTAATTTGCCTGAATTTTTTGCAGGAGAATTGGCTTAGAAAACTCTTCTAGCTTCACAGATTCACACTTCTGATGTTTTCATTTGGCTGGGGGGTGTGTGTGTGTGTAGTATAATGGAATGCTTTTTAAGATTTCCTGGGGTCCTGTCCTGGAAGAGATACTTGGCTGGTCAGTTTTGAGCATTCATAGTCATTAGACTGCTCCAGGCCCTTTAGATCTTACCATGAATCCTGAAACGAGAAAAGCCCTCCCAGTTTCAACTGCTATTCTCAAATTGTGTCTGCACACTACTGGATTTTTGTACTAAAACTATATTTTATTTGTAATGTTCACATCTATATTCATGAATGAGATTAAACTGTAATTTTTCTTTTTTGTAATGTCTTTGTCAGGTTTTATTGTCAAGGCCATTATGTCCTCATGAAATGAACTGGGAAACATTCCCTGTCTTCCATTTAATCCTTGTTAATTATATCTTTAAGGTATTCAAGCTTTTTGAAGTTTCTTGGATTAGAAGATACATCCTTTTTTTCACTTGTTTTATTGTGGAAGATATTGTATATGTATTGAATAATTATATATATATAGTGTTATGGACTGAATGTTTGTGTCTCCCTTCAAATTCATATGTTAAAATCCTAGTCCCCAGTGTGATGTTATTTGGAGGCATTGCCTTTGGAAGATAATTAGGGTTAGATTAGGTCATGAGGGTAGGACTGTTACAATGATGGGATTAATGCCCTCATAAAAAGAGAAAGAGACACAAGATTCATCTCTTTCCACTATGTGAGGATATAAGAAAGCCATCTGCAAACAGTGAAGACTACTCTCACCAGACACTGGATCTGCCAGCACCTTGATCTTGGAATTCCTGGCCTCTAGAACTGTGAGAAATAAATGTATATTGTTTGGGGGAGGGATAGCATTAGGAGAAATACTTAATGTAAATGATGAGTTGATGGGTGCAGCAAACCAACGTGGCACATGTATACCTATGTATCAAACCTGCACGTTGTGCACAAGTACCCTAGAACTTAAAGTACATTAAAAAAAAAGTCTGTTGTTTAAGTCACCCAGTCTATTGTATTCTGTTACAGCAGCTCAAACTGACTAAGACGTATAGTTTAAATACTAAGAGTAATATATATTGAATAATTTCTATAACAAGTATGTATAGCCTAAATAATGATAATAACGCCATTGTGTACATATTTATGATTCAGGTTAAGAAATACACCACCAGTAATATCAGAAATACATTTTGTGTACCCTTCTGAGGTTACATCCCTCTCCTTAACCATCCCCAGGTAACTAGTACCTTGATTTTTGTTGTAATCATTCCCTGTCCTTTGACTGTATCCCTAGACAATATATTGTTGGTTTGTCTCTTTTAGAACATTTTATAAATGGATCACATTGCAAGTATTCTTCTGTGAATCATACCATATGTATTCTTCTATCACTTGCTTTTTTCATTCATAACTTATTTCTTTCTTTAGGCTGGAAAAGATGAAAAAAGAATATAGAAATCTGAATACATGGATAGATAAAGCTAACTATTTAGAAAGCATTCTAATGCCAAAATTGGAACATAAGGATTCTGAGGTAATTGACATAATACATTCTCCTATATATAGCTTTTAATACTTTTTATTAAGAATGGGATTATGATAATTAAAAGTGATGATCAAATTTTTTGTCCTTGATATATAAAATATTTTTCATGGTTCAGGTACTTACCTGTTTTGATAATGTGCCATTCAATGAATATTTATTGATAATTTATAGGGTTTAATAGTTACTGATAATTTATAAGGATATCATTCATATACCATACAAATGACCCATTTAAAGTATAGAACTCAGTGGCATTTAGTATCTTCACTGAGTTGTGTATCCATCACCACAGTCAATTTTAGAACGTTTTTATCACCTGCAAAAGCAACCCCATACCCTTTAGCCAATACCTCCCAATTTTTCCATCCCCTCCACTAGCCCTAGGCAGCAATTAGTCAACTTTCTAACTGTATAGCTTTAGCCTATTCTAGACATTTCATATAAATGGAATCATACAATGTGTTGTTCTTTGTGATTTGCCTCTTTTGCTTGCTATGTTTTTAAGTTTCACCCCTGTTGTAGCATGTACCAGTACTTCATTCTTTTCTCTCTCCAGATAACATTCTATTATTTGGATATGCCACATTTTGTTTATGCATTCCTCAGCTGATGGGCATTTAGTTTGTTTCTACTTAAAAGCTATTATGAATAATGCTGCTGTGAACATTTATGTGCAAGTTTATGTGTGAACAAATGTTTTCAATTCTCTGGGGTATATATAAAGGAGTAGAAGCTGGACTGTGTCATAGTTTCCTGTTTCGATTTATGAGGAGCTTCCAAACCGTTTTCCACAGCAGCTGCATCATCGTACATTCCAACCAGCAATGTATGAAAGATCAACATCTTCATCTACCCTTTTTAACTTCTAAAAATTATTATTATACCCATCCTAGTGGGTTTGAAGTGGTATCTCATTGTAGGTTTGATTTGCATTTCTCTAATGACTAATGATGTGAACATCTTTCATGTGTTTACTGGACATTTGTATATCTTCTTTGGATAAAGTTTATTCAAATCCTTTGCCAATTTTAAAATTGAGTTATTTTTCTTTTTATTGTTAAGTTGTAAGAGTTCTTTGTATATTCTGGACATTAAACTCTTATCAGAAATATGAGTAAGGTTTGATATTTAGAAATATACTCTAACCTATACATGTTGACTTGGAAATAAAGGATTCATAGCTCTCTCAATGGATGGATAAAACATTGACTATGATCATAGTCTAAAATGTTAGTTATAACATATTGATATTTTCATTTTTTTATACCTCTGTGATAATTGGGCAGAGTTGGGCTTCTGTTGGATAAACTGATTAGTATTTACCAATACACTATTCATATTTTAGAGACATTTTGGAGGACTTTTTATTAAAGGGACTAAGAACTTAGGGTTCTTTTTAAAAGATCAGTATTTTATAAGTGCCCACTGATCACTTTACCTTATAATTCTCCTTGGAATTTTGTAAAGAGACACATCACTTTTAAGTCATAGGCCATAATGTATTCTAATAAAAAAAGTAATCTGTTTCCTGGGGGTATCTTCTCATACCCCCTGAAGTTACAATATTATGTAATTTATCTTGTAATATTCATCTCCCACATTCATCACTCAAATACTCTATCCATTCTTGGATACACTTTCTTTGGAACATCAACTCCTAGCCAGAGTATGTGGCTCCTTAAAATAGTGCTGTTTGAATTGCTTTCCTCACAAACCCATCTCCTTCTTGTCTTCTGTAAATTTGGGTGTGGAGGAAGGTGTATTGTATTAAAAGTAGTTATGAAGGCAGAGGAAAATGTTTTCGTTCTTTAAATATTTTCCCATATATATTTTTTTTTCTTTTTTTTTTTTTTTTTTTTTTTTGCTTCTAGGAAACTAATATAGATGAGGCATCTGAAAACACGAAAAGTAATCATCCTGAAGAGGAGCTTGAAAATATTGTAGGAGTAGGTAAGAAACTACTTTGATTTTTTTATTATTAAGATAATTGAAATCAAAGTGATTATATCACAAAAAGACAATTAGTAATTTGCTTTAAGTAGATTTCTGTTTTGTTAGGAAATAAATAGGCATTTCACTATAGTTTTGGCATATGGTAGGTGTGATAATTTTAAAGAAAAGTGTTAGACCCTATTACGAGTTTTAAAAAGTTTTAAGGCCAGGCACGGTGGCTCATGCCTGTAATCCCAGCATTTTGGGAGGCCGAGGCGGGTGGATCATGAGGTCAGGAGTTCAAGACCAGCCTGGCCAAGATGGTGGAACCCTGTCTCTACTAAAAATACAAAAAATTAGCCAGGCGCGGTGGCAGGTGCCTGTAATCCCAGCTACTTAGGAGGCTGAGGCAGGAGAATTGCTTGAACTTGGAGGCCGGAGGTTGCAGTGAGCCGAGATCTTGCCACGGCACTCCAGCCTGGGCGACAGAGTGAGACTCCATCTCACACAAAAAAAGACGTTTTAATGTTGCTTTATTTTTAAATTTTATTATTATTATTATCTGAGACAGGGTCTAGTTCTGTCACCCAGGCTGGAGTGCAGTTGCACAACCACAGCTCACTGCAGACTTGACCTCCTGGGTTCAATCAGTCTTCCCACCTTAGCCTCCCAAGTAGCTGGGACTACAGGCACACGCCACCATGCCTGGCTAATTTTTGTATTTTTTTTTTTTTTTTTTGTAGAGACAGGATTTTGCCATGTTGCCCATGCTGGTCTCAAACTCTTGAGCTCAAGCAATCCTCCTGCCTTGGCTTCCCGAAGTGCTGAGATTATAGGCATAAGCCACCACGCTTGGCCAATGCTCCTTTACTTTTTTAAGGATGAGAAAAAAGTTAAAATATTAACTATGACCTGTGAAAAGGCATTTTTATTAGACATTGTGAACTATAGAGCTATTGGTCTCTTTTATGTAGAGGAGTGTGTTTATGCAGAGGAATGTGTGTGTGTGTGTGTGTGAAAAAGAAAGTGTGGCAGAGGAAGAAGGAGAGGAAATTAGATTAGCATTACATTTGAGAATTTATCATAAAGTATCAGTAAGAGATTTAATAAGTGGACTGTTCATGCAGTCTTTTAAAAATCTCTTAAATTCACTAAGAAAGCAAGTGAAACCCAGCCATCCCATTACTGGGTATGTACCCAAAGGATTATAAATCATGCTGCTCTAAAGACACATGCACACGTATGTTTATTGCGGCACTATTCACAATAGCAAAGACTTGGAACCAAACCAGATGTCCAACAATGATAGACTGGATTAAGAAAATACGGCACATATACACCATGGAATACTATGCAGCCATAAAAAAGGATGAGTTCATGTCCTTTGTAGGGAAATGGATGAAGCTGAAAACCATCATTCTGAGCAAACTATCACAAGGACAAAAAAACGAACACCGCATGTTCTCACTCATAGGTGGGAAATGAACAATGAGAACACTTGGACACAGGAAGGGGAACATCACACACTGGGGCCTGTCGTGGGATGGGGGCAGTGGGGAGGGATAGCATTAGGTGATATACCTAATGTAAATGATGAGTTAATGGGTGCAGCACACCAACATGGCACATGTATACATATGTAACAAATCTGTATGTTGTGCACATGTACCCTAGAACTTAAAGTATAATAATAAAAAAAAGAAAGCAAGTTAAAGTATAGTACTACACTTTAAAATACATAATAATATTTCTTTATCTTTGTTTGCGGATGGCAGGATCTTACATATAGAAAATTCTGTAGACTCCACACAAAAAGACCTGTTAGAACCAATACATGAATTCAGTAAAGTTGCAGGAGATAAAACCAACACAGAAAAATCAGTTTTGTTTCTATACACTAACAATGAACTATCCAAAAAAGAAATCAAGAAAATAATTCCAGTTTACAATAGCATCAAAAAGAATAAAATAATTAGGAATAAACTTTTCAAAGGAGGTCAAAGACCTTGCACTCTGAAAACTAAAAAACATTGATAATGAAATTAAGGATAAGAAAATAAAGGGAAAAATATCCTGTGTTCATGAGTTTGAAGATTTAATACTCTGAAAAATGTTCATACTACCCAAAGCAATCTACAGATTCAGTGCAATCTCTATCAAAATTCTAATGGTGTTTTTCACAGAAGTAGAAAAAGCAATCCTAAAATTTATGTGGAACCACAGAGGACTCTGGATAGTCAAAACAGTCTTGAGAAAGAAGAACGTGGAGGTATCACACGTTCTGATTTCAAAATGTATTACAAAACTATAGCAATTAAAATAGCATGGACTGGCATAAAGATAAACATATAGATCAATAGAATAGAAGAGAGAGCCTAGAAATAAACCCATGCAAATGTGATGAACTGATCTTTGAGAAGTGTGCCAAGAATACACACAATGAGGAAAGAATAGTCTTTTCAGCAAATGGTGTTGGGAAAACTGGATATTCACATGCAAAAGAATTGAAATTAGACTTTTGCTTAACACCATAAACAAAAATCAATTCTCAATGGATTAATGACTTAAATGTAAGACTGGAAACTGTAAAACTCCTAGAAGAAAACATAGGGGAAAATCTCATTGACACTGGTGTTGGCAATGATTTATTGGATAAGACACCAAAGGCACAGGCAACAAAAACAAAAACAGACAGTGGGGCTATATCAAATTAAAAAGCTTCTACACAGTAAAGGAAACAACAGAGTGAAGAGGAAACCTACAGAATGGGGGAATATATTTGTAAACCATATATTTGTTAAAGGGCTAATATTCCAAAACATATAAGGAAACTTTTCAACTCAATAGCAAAAAAATAAATAAATAAAAAATGGACTGAGCACTTGAATACATATTTATCCAAAGAAGACATTACAAGTGTCCAATGGGTATACAAAAACTGTTTATCATCATTAATCATCAGGTAAATACAAATCAAAATCATAATGAGATATCACACCTGTTAAGATGGCTATTATTGAAAAGTCAACAAGTGTTGGCAAGGATGTGAAGAAATTTGAACCCTAGTACACTGTTGGGGGAATGTAAAATGATGCAGCTGCTTTTGAAAACAGCATGGTGGTTACTCAAAAAAATGACAAATAGATAAATCATATGATCCTGCCATTTCACTTCTGGGTGTCTATCCAAAAGAATTGAAATCAGCATCTCAAGGCAATATTTGCACTCCTATGTTTATTGCCATGTTATTACTATAGTCAAGATGTAGAAACAACCTAAATGTCATAGATGAATGAATAAACAAAATGTGGTATACACACATAATTCAGAGACATTGCAGGTTCAGTTCTAGACCACCACAATAAAGCAAGTCATGTGATTTTTTTTTGTTTCCTAGGGCATATAAACATTACATTTACACTATACTTTTGTCTATTAAGTGTGCAATAGCATTATGTAAAAAGTCAATGTACATGACTTAATTAAAAAATACTTAATTGCTGGCTGGGCACAGTGGCTCATGCATGTAATATCAGCACTCTGGGAGGCCAAGGCAGGAGGATTGCATGAACCCAAGAGTTCAAGGGTGCAGTGCATCAGGTAGGATCATGCCACTGTACTTCGGCCTGGGTGGCAGAGCAAGACCCTATCTCAAAAAATAGAGAGGCCAGGCACAGTGGCTCAAGCTTGTAATCTCAGCACTTTGGGAGGCCGAGGCAGGCAGATCACCTGAGGTCAGGAGTTCAAGACCAGCCTGGCCAACATGGTGAAACCCTATCTCTACTAAAAATACAAAAATTAGCAGGGTGTGGTCGCTCACGCCTGTAGTCCCAGCTACTCAGGAGGCTGAGACATGAGAATCTCTTGAACCCGGGAGGTGGAGGTTGCAGTAAGCTGAGATCATGCCACTGCACTCCAGCCTGGGTAACAGAGTGAGATGAGACTCTGTCATATATATATGTATGGGTTTTTTGTAAATTTTATATATATATATATATATATATATATATATATATATATATATATATAAAATCATCTGAGCCTTCAGTGAGTTGCAATATTTTTGCTGCTGGAGGGTCTTGCCTTGATCTTAATGGCTGGGACTGATCAAGATGGTAGTTGCTGAAGGTTGGGGTGGCTGTGGCAATTTTTAAAAATAAGACAACAATGAATTTTGCTGCGTCAGTTGGCTCTTCCTTTCATGAAGGATTTCTCTGTAGTATGCGATGGTGTTTGATAGCATTTTACCCACAGTAGAACTTCTTTCAAAATTGGAGTCAATCCTCTCAAACCCTGCTGCTGCTTTGTCAACTAAGTTTATATAGAATTCTAAATCCTTTGTTGTCATTTTAGCAGTGTTCACAGCATCTTTGGCAGTAGATTCCATCTCAAGAAACCACTTTTCTTTGCTCATCCATAAGAAGCAATTCCTCATCCATTCAAATTTTATAATGAGATTGTAGCAGTTTACTCACATCTTCAGGCTTCACTTCTAATTCTACCTCTGTTGCTATTTTCATCACATCTGTAGTTACTTTCTCTACTGAAGTTTTATTGAACATCTTAAAGTCATCCATGAGGGTTGTAATCAACTGCTTCCAAATTCCTGTTAATGTTGGTATTTTGAGCTCCTCTCCTGAAGCACAAATGTCCTTAATGGCATCTAGAATGGTAAATCCTTTGCAGAAGGTTTTCGATTTACTTTGCCAAGATCCCTCAGAGGAATTATCTAAGGCAGCTAAAGCCTTACAAAATGTATTTCTGAAATGAGAGGACTTGAAAGTTGAAATTACTCCTTGATCTGTGAGCTGCAGAATGGATCTATGTTTGCAGGCATGAAAGCAACATTAATGTCCTCAGACATTTCCATCAGAGCTCTTGGATGACCAGGTGCATTGTCACTGAGCAGTAATATTTTGAAAGGTATCTTTTTTTCTGAATAGTAAGTCTCAACAGCAAGCTTAAAATATTCAGTAAACCATGCTGCAAACAGATCTGCTGTCATCCATGCTTTGTTGTTCCATTTATAGAGCACAGGCAGAGTACACTTGACATAAATGTTAAGGGCCCTGGGATTTTTAGAATGGTAAATGAGCATTGGCTTCAATTTAAAATCAGCAGCTACATTAGCCTCTAACAAGAGAGTTGGCCTGTCCTTTGAAGCGTTGAAGCCAGGCATTGAGTTCTCCTCTCTAGCTATGAAAGTCTAGATGACACCTTCTTTCAGTATAAGACTGTTTCATCTACGATAAAAACCTATTTAGTGTAGTCACTTTTATCAATATCTTAGCTAGATCTTCTGGGTAACTCGCTGCAGCTTCTACATCAGCACTTGCTGCTTTACCTTGCACTTTTGTGTTACAAAAATACTGTCTTTCCTTAAACCTCACGAACCAACATTTGCTGGCTTCAAGGTTTTCTTCTGCAGCCACCTCACCTCTCAGCTTTCATTGGATTGAAGAGAGTTAGGGGCTTTCTCTGGATTAGGCTTTGGCTTAAGGGACTGTTTGTGGCTGGTTTAATCTTCTGTCCAGATTATTAAAATTTTCTCCATATCTGCAATAAGCTGTTTTGCTTTCTTATCATTTGTGTGTGGAGTAGCACTTCTCGCTTTTGTCAAAAATGTTTTCCTTTGCATTCTCATCTGGGCTGTTTGGTGCAAGAGGCCTAGCTTTTGGCCTATCTCAGCTTTCAACATGCCTTCCTCAGTAAGCTTAATCATTTCTAGCTTTTGATTTAAAGTGAGGGATGTACAAATCTTCTTTCACTTGAACACTTAGATCCATTTTGGGGTTATTAATGGCCTAATTTCAATATTGTTGTGTCTCTGGGAATAGAGAGGCCAAGGAGAGGAAGAAAGATGGGGGAACAGCTGGTCAGTGGCATAGTTACAACACACACAACATTTATAAATTAAGTTTGCCATCTTACAAAAGTCTAATATCCAGCATTTATAAGGGATCTTGGCAAAAAAAACCAAAACCAAAAACAAAAAAAAAACAACCTCGTTAAAAAGTGGGCAAAGATTTACAAAAAAAAAAAAAAAAAACCTCGTTAAAAAGTGGGCAAAGGACATGAACAGACACTTTTCAAAAGAAGACACACATATGGCCAACAGGCATATGAAAAAATGCTCAACATCACTGATCATTAGAGAAATGTGAATCAAAACCATAATGAGATACCATCTCACACCAGTCAGAATGGCTACTATTAAAAAGTCAAAAAATAACAGATGCCGGCAAGGTTGCAGAGAAAAAGGAATGCTTATACACTGTTGGTGGGAGTGTAAATTAGTTCAACTACTGTAGAAGACAGTGTGGTGGTTCCTCAAAGACCTAAAGACAGAAATGCCATTTGACCCAGCAATCCCATTACTGGGTATATACCCAAAGGAATATAAATCATTCTTTTATAAAGACACATGCACAGGTATGTTCATGGCAGTACCATTCACAATAGCAAAGAAATGGAATCAAGCTAAATGCCCATCAATGGTAGACTGGATAAAGAAAATGTAGTACATATACACCATAGAATACTATGCAGCCATAAAAAGAATGAGATCATGTCCTTTGCAGGAGCATAGATGGAGCTGGAGACCATTATCCTTAGCAACAAATGCAGGAACAGAAAACTAAATACCACATGTTCTTACTTATAAGTGGGAGCTAAATGATGAGAGCACATGGACACATAGAGGGGAACAACACACACTGGGACCTATCAGAGAGTGGAGGGTAGGAGGAGGCAGAGGATCAGGAAAAATAACTAATGGATAATAGGCTTAATACCTGGTGATGAAATAATCTGTCCAACAAACCCCCATGACACACGTTTACCTATATAACAAACCAACACATGTACAATTGAACTTAAAAGTTAAATTTTTATAAAAAAAGTTTGCTATCTTAGATGGGTGTGGTTTGTGGTGCCCCTCAACAATTACAATAGTAACATCAAAGATCACTGGTCATAGAGTACCATAAAAGATATTATAATAATGAAAAAGTTTGAAATATTTTGAGAATTATCAAAATGTGATGCAGAGACACTAAGTGAACACATGCTTTTGGAAAAATGGCACCAGTAGTCTTGCTCAACGCAAGGTTGCCACAGACCTTCAATTTGTACAAAACACAGTATCTGAGAAGTGCAATAAAAAGAGATATGCCAGTCTACATACAATGGGATATCATTCAGCATTTAAAAATAAGGAAATCCTGCCATATGTGACAACGTGGATGGACCTTGAGGACATTATACTAAGTGAAATAAGCCAGTCACAGAAAGACAAATATTGCATGATGCCATATATGTGAGGTATATGAAATAGTCAGAGTAGAATGCTGGTTGCCTGAGGCTAGGGGGAGGGGCAAATAGGGAATTGCTTTTCAACAAGTATAAAGTTTAAGTTATGCAAGATGATGAAGTTCTAGAGATCTGCTTTACAACATTGTGCTGATAGTTAACATTATTGTGTTTTGCACTAGAAAATTTAAGAGGATAGGTCTCATGTGAATTGTTCTTACCACCATTAAAAGAAAAAAGAAAGAGCTGAACGAAGTCATGTAGTTGTGACCATAGCAAATTTTTTTGCTAGAATTCTGCTTCAGTTATTTATTTTCTTTTTGTCCCTTTTAGGTTTTCCCTTTTTACATGCTAAATATGTATTCCTTATATTTCTAGGAAAATTTTACAAGTATTTTAACCAGCCTTCCTTGAATGGTCCTATTTTGTCTGATTTCATATGCCTTTATTCTAGTCTCTTCTTCCAATCCCAGTCCCATCACTTATCATCTGGAGTTTATTTCCTCCCAACTTTTAAAAAATATAGCATGTACCTGTGTTTGTGTCTTGTATTTATGGATCTGAAATGTTATCATTTACCACTCCCCCATCTTCCCAGAGATTCATCAGCTTGTTTATACTAAGTAGTGTTTATGTTTGGATAGCTGCTTTGATTTAAGTTGCTCTTTGTTTTTAGTGAGAAAAAATGTAATAGTATTTTATTAATGTACATACATATGTGTTTATTGTTTTTATGTAAAATAAAATACCCCTATTAATTGTTTAAGCAGATATCCCTCTTGTAAATGAGGAAGCTGAAACTACTGCAAATGAGGTAAGGGAAATTGGAAGAGAACTTTTAATAGTCATTATTTTATAAAGGGATAAAATATTTATAAATGGAGAAATATTTATAGATAGAGAAAGGCATCCAAGAAGTTACTCAGTTGTTTTATGGTTTCTATTATGGCAATATCTGTATAGTTACACTCTTGAAAGAGCCTTCTGCATAAAATAGTAACATTTAAAAATATGAAGATAGGGGACAAAATGTGTTGAGGAAGAGATGAAGGAGAAACAAGAAAAAAGCATGAAGTTCTACGTAAGATCTTAGAAATAAATGCCATAGATGTAACTGCAGTTTTTACTCTTTCTCACCAAAATCTTTTATCATATTGTAAACTTTGCACAGGAAATGATATTCTATAGTTTAAAATAGAAATAAACAAAACATAGAGTTTACATAATATAATTTGCTTTTCAGCTAAATTTACATAAGGTATTCATTCCATAAAGGAGTGGCTCCCCATGTAAATCAGTGAAGAGTAAAATGTTCACTTACTGCTTGACAAGTAGGATTTAATGATTTCCATTCCTGGGTCAGTGGCTCCCAAATACCAATTGAAGAGTCAGTATGTATTACTGTTTTCCGCAGTTCAAGGAGAGTAAAAGAAGATAATATAGAGAATTTTTCATAAAGCTAAATTTATTTAGTTTAACAGGCTATCCTTTATTTTACAATATTGTTCTTTGTACTGTGGTGCTATTAATATTCTCTTTATTTTCTTATATAGTTGTGATTTATGGTATCATTCCTTGTGCATTTTGTTATTAAAATTTCCTTTGTTTCATGATATATTGGTGACAGTGTAATAACAGTAAAATGTCAGACCCTCAGATTTTTTATTTTGAGATGTTGCTGATTTATAAATTTGGATATATGAGAACCACTGCTTTATCATTTTTATGGATAGTATTCTACAGTCCATGGTTTCAGGCAAGTAAAGAACTTACTATGTTTACTAAGGAATTAAAATTTACAAATAATAATGGTAATTTGTTATGCTAAAGGATAAGGGTACAATTGATTTTGAGTCATTTTCTTAATTTGTAAAATTTTCCAGTCAATAATGATTAACTGGTAGTTTGTTTTATTGCTGTATTTTCTAGTTACTGGATAATGATTCTGAGAAAGGCCTGACTATACCAACTTTGAACCAATCGGACCAAGATAATTCAACTGCTGATGCTTCTAAAAATGATGAATCAACACCTTCACCCACAGAAGTGCACTCATTGTGCACTATTTCTAACCAGGAAACAATAAAAGCAGGCAGAATACCACCTTTAGGTGAACGTCAATCAGAAAGCATGCCAGACAGAAAAATGAAAAATGTATTTTTTCCATTAGAAGTAAAATTAAAAGATAACTATCCAAGCATTTTAAAAGCAGACTCATCTCTATCAGAGGTAAATTTGAGGAGTATCTGTATAAATCCAAAGAGCAGGAACTTAGATTCATCTCCAACAGAAATTAGCTGGCAAAACAACAATCTAAACTTAGCTGAAAGGGAGAACACAGGCTTAGTTTCCACCAGATTAAAAATTAAAAGGTAGCTTTCAAAGCCAAGACCCAAAAGAAGGCCTTGAGCTCAAGGTGTCTGCCCTTATATTAGAAGTATAAGACTAGGGAGACAAAATAATCTATTTTAAAAAATTAAATACAAATAAATCGAAAATGCATTCAAATGTCTCCAAGTGGAAATGTGTCTAAGTATATTAAATATTCCTGCTTTACTTATATCAATCAAGAAATGAGGATAAAAAACTTTCAAGAAAAGCAAAGTGATTTGAGATGCCAGTAATACAAATTAATCTCTTGGGTTAGTAATTCAGCTGAAAGTGTAACGACAATAACAAAATGTAAATTCAAAGGAAATTTAAAAGCCTGAGGAGTTATTTCAGTGGAAATTCTTAATAAAACTATTATATTATAGGAAATAACATGTTCTCCTTATTACAAATAATTTTATAGTTTAAAATGAGAATAAGAGTGTGAATTTAAAGGTACACCAAATAATAGACTTTCTCAAAATGACAGCCATTCTACTTATATCTTTATATCTTATTGGAATAACTATTACAGGTAGTTCATCAAATGGTATAAAAAGATATATAGGTCAGAAGATAAAGAATTTGAGTTCTAAGTGAGATTCTGCTTCTAAATACTAGCTTGGGCATCTAAGTCTCTAGACCTATTTTTCTCATTATTTGAATGGTAGATCAGACTAGGTCATTTCTAAATTCTCTCCCAAATTTCAAAAGACATAATTTTAACTGGGAATTACTCTCAGTTACCTATGTCAAATAACATTCTTGTTTTTTCTGAATGTGAAAGTAATGCACAGTCACAGAAAATTTAGAAAATGGAGAGAAATGTAAAAGAAAAAATAAAAGCAGTTATAATTCTACTGCTAGATTTAACAATTTTATTTTCTTTTAGTCTTTCTTATGCATATGTACATATATCTTTTATGAATTTTAAAAGCTTGAATCAAAATAGACATATAATTTTTATTTTTTGACTTTACATGCATGCCACTTGAATTTTCTTAAAAATCTGCAAGATGTAGAATATCCTCAAATATTAATATTCCATAAGTTTTTAAACAGTTTTCATATTGTTGGACATTAAGTTTGAAATTAACACTTTTGCTTATTTATTTAGATCTGTGGATCTGTGATTATCTCCTAATGTATTTACAGAAATGGCATGCTAACAAATTGCTCTCCAGAAAGACTGTACCACTTTACATTCTTACCAACAGTATTTGAGTATTAATGGTCTTTTAAATAATGATTAACACTTTTTTTTGCTCATTAGTCATTTTGGTTTTCCCTGCTATGAGTAGACAGATCATGTCCTTTGTCCATTTTTTTGTTTGAAGACTTGGGGATTTTGTTTAGGTTTTATAATGAGCTCTTTTTATTTTCAAGATATTAACCACTTGTATGGGCACATAGTTTGTAGTTTACCTTTTAATGTATGTATTACATTCAGTCTGACTTCCAAAATATTCAACTTTCACTTGATAAGTAAGTTATTTATTGCTGTATAACAAACCACTCCAAAACCTAGTGGATTAAAAAAGATGTTTTATTATCTCTCAAGATACTGTGGGGTTGACTTGCTTGTTGGGCAGTTCTTCTGCTCCACTTGATGTTGGATGTTAGATGGACTTATCTAGGAGCTTGATTAGGCTGGAACACTCATGATCACTCACTTACATGTCTGACACCTTGAATAGCTGTTAGGGCTGGGCTCATCTGGGATGCAAGAACATCTGGTTTAATGTGTCTGTTTCCTTCTTTCTGTCTCAGATATATATATATCTCAGATTTGATAGATAGATAGATAGATAGATAGATAGATAGATAGATAGATAGATAATATACAGATCTCTCTTTCCGTGTAATCTTGGGAATTATCCTTCTCCTTCTCCATGGGGCTTCTACTTGTGCTCTTTCTATGTAATCTCTCTAACAAGGCTGCTGAGCTTTTTATGTGGCAGCTCAAGGCTTCCAAAATACAAAAACAGAACCTTCAGGTCTTCTTAAGACATAGGCTTGGGACGAGCACAGGGTCACCCTCACTAACTTCTGTTAATTACAGCAAGTCCCATACTCAGTCCTGATTCAGTATGGGAAGAGACTACAGAAGGGCATAAATCTTGGGAGGGGTATGCATTGGGGGCCATATTTGGAGATTAACTAAGTTCCAAGTAAATCATATTCCTCCCACATGCAAAATATACTCACTTGCCTCCCAAGATCCTCAATGTCATGCTATTACTGCATCAAGCTCAGGCTTGAAGTACAAAATGTTTTTATCTAACTAAAGTTCATGTGGGTGAGGCTTTTTAGGTATGGCTCCTTTCAGACTTAAAATCTATGAATTGAAGAGACCATCTGTCCCCTACATACAATGATGAGCCAAGAACAGGAAAATTGGAACAGACACTTAAATTCTAAATGTAGAGGGAGGGAAAACATGAGGCATATATCAGTCAGTTGACCATAGTAATTCTGAAGTTCTTGGCCTTGCCCTCATGTTTTGGCCTTACCCTTTGAATAAGCCTTTTTCCATAAGAAATAACTTCTGTTTGTAGTTGCAGCCCATGTTCAGTGTGAGGGAAGTTGAAAGTTCAAATGTGTCTTTTCATTTTTGCTTTCAGTGAAGGCTGAAATTTCACATATGTGTCTTTTCTTTCTAAACTATCCCTGTTCCTTTCAGTCTAAGATGCTATTATTCTCTTAAAGATTTTGTGGGCTTCCTGTGTATCAAATTAAGATCTCAATTAGTCAAATGTTACACTTCTAAATATCTTCAAGACAGGCCCCTGTTTCCTTGGGCTGAGAGTCAGGGTGCTGTGGCAAAATGTCCTTAAGAAATTTAGAAGTGCCCTTGTCTGGCAAAGAAGGCCTGAGATGCCACTTAAGATTCTTAAAATAATTTTTGTCTAGCTGAGTAGGCCTATGAGTCACCACCTTAAATCTTTTTGAGGCCTTAACAGATCTTACAGCCATACCCTTGTCATCTTGACCCTGAACCACATTCCAATGAACCCACAACTGAGTCCCCAATGACTAATATATTACCAAATGTGGTTATCAGTTCTCAGTCCTCATCTCTGTGACTACTTAGCCGCATTTGACAAAATAGTTCCACCCTTTTCTTGAAACTGATCTTTTTCACTGGCCTTTTGTAATATTACATTCTCCTAGTTTTCTTCCTTCTTCGTTGACTACTCTTTGCTGGGGAGGTCTCAATTGTCTCACACCCAGTCCTTGTATTTTATTTTTTTCTCTAACCTTGTATTTTATTTTTTCTCTAACTCTCTAACCTGAATAATAGGTTATTCATTCAGCCCTGTAACTTTAAATATAATTTATAAATGAATAACTTCCACATCTTGGGGCTCTTCTTTGAACTCCAAGAGCATATATGTAAAAACTTACTTCACTTAGATAGCTTATAGAAACGTCAAACTTAACATGACGAAGACTGAATTCTTAATTTCACCTCCACTAACTCTCCACCCCTAATTTAGATTCCCTCCTCTTAATGTTGCCTATTCCTTTAATCTTTTCAGCATATAAACATTCCAGGCATTATTTCTAGGTGAATGAAATATGTTGTTGAACATAAAAGACAAAAATAAATGTTCTTGTGGAGCTTATATTCAAAAAAGACAAAAATAAATGTTCTTGTGGAGTTTATATTCTTATAAATGGCACCTCTAAACTGTTAAGACCAACACCCTAGGAGTCAGCCTTGATATCGTGGTTTCTCTCATCTCTTATATCCAATCCACCATCAAGTCTTGTTAATTCTGTATTCAAAATGTATCTGAAATCCACCACTGTAATTGCTATCACCTTAGACCAAGCTACTTTCATCTCTCCTGTCTGCTATAAAAGCTGTTTTCCTACTTCCAATTTTGCCTCTATCTGGTTTGTTCTTCTCATAGCAGCCAGACCGATCTTGTAAAGACGAAATCTAAATCATGTCACTCCTCTGATCAGTATTCTTCAATGGCGTGTTTTCATGCCTGGAATAAAGTCCAAACTTCTCACCATCATCTACAATGCCCCTATTTAATCTTTCTGTCCTCATGTGTTAGCATTGTTCCCTTTGTTCACTCTGCTTCAGCCACATTAGTATTCTTACTATTCCTTGAACAAACTAAACTTATTCCAGCCTCAAGCTCTTTCTAATATTCTTCTCTGTCAGGGGAGTGCTCTCCCCTGCGGATCTTCTCAGGGTTCATTCATTCACACCATTTAGGACTCTGCTCAGATGTTCCCTCCTTAGTGGAGGCTGGGTTTGGGGGCTCCTCTGACCACTCTATGTAAAGTAATTATCTACCCATCCACCCTCCTCCATCCCTAGTATTCTTTCTTCATATATCATTTCCTGGTATCATATTATGTTTCTTTAGTCATTTATTGTCTGTTACTCCCATTTGACTTTAAATTACAGATGGTACTGAGATTTAGTCTTATTTACCACTGTATCTTACTATCTAGTAATAATGATGAGTATTTTAAACTCAAAGACATACATAATTAGAGCTGTTACTACTTAGAACTCACCACTAATAGTGATGAGTCCACGGTAGGCAGTAGTAAATATCTGTTGAATTAGTTTAGTTAAAAATACTGCAGGGTCGGCCAGGCGCGGTGGCTCACCCCTATAATCCCAGCACTCTGGGAGGCCGAGGCAGGTGAATCACGAGGTCAGGAGATCAAGACCATCCTGGCTAACACGGTGAAACCCTGTCTCTACTAAAAAACAAAAAATTAGCTGGGCGTGGTGGCGGGCGCCTGTAGTCCCAGCTACTCAGGAGGCTGAGGCAGGAGAATGGCGTGAACCAGGGAGGCGGAGCTTGCAGTGAGCTGAGATCGCGCCACTGCACTCCAGCCTGGGCAACAGAGTGAGACTCCATCTCAAAAAAAAAAAAAAAAACCCACAAAAAACAAAACAAAACAAAAACACTGCAGTGTCTTGAGGCATTTGCTCTGGGAATACATTATAACTCCTGGGCCGCACTGTATGTAATTAAATCAATCACATAGTCATAGGAAATGCAATCATTTTAATACTCTGAAGGTGGATGAACCATCTAGCTCTGACACACTAAATGTCAGGCATAAGGCAGCAAGATTATTTCCACAAAGGGTAAGTGGTAAGAGCTCTAATTGAGTTTAAAAGCCTGTAGGGTCTGCAGAAGATTAGGGTTAATGAAGGCAGAGAGTGATATATGTGACATCATTAACCTCATATCTCCGATTCATCCATTTATATTTAACTGCCCTCTTTAAGCCATGAATTCCATGCATTAAATTTTAAATCCCTTACTAATGATTGATGGTACTGTTGGGAAATATGCCGTAATCTCTCCAAAACCTTGTCCTTGCTAATTCTGTACTTGGAATCAACCAAAACCATGCATGTGAAATGCACCTTGCAATTATTTTATCCACAGACAGAATTTTCTTCTTTTTTAAGGCTGCGTAGTATTCCACTGTGTACATATACTATATTTTCTTTATCCATTGATCTGTTGATAGACACTTAAGTTGCTTCCATATCTTAGCTATTACAATAGCACAACAGTAAACACGGGGATGCAGATATCTCTTTGATATACCAACTTCAAATCCTTTGGATATATACCCAGAAGTAGGATTGCTGGACCATATGGTAATTCTATTTTTAGTTTTATTGGGAACCTCCATACTACTTTCTAAAATGGCTGTACTAATTTATATTCCCACAAATAGTGTACAAGGGTTCCCTTTTCTCCACATCCTTGCCAACACGTATCATTCTTCTTTTTGATAATAGCCCTTGTAACAGGCATGAAATGATATCATATTGTGGTTTCAATTTGCATTTCTCTGATGATCAGAGATATTGAGTATTTTTAGTATATCTATTGGCCTTTCATATGTCTTCCTTTGAGCCATGTCTGTTCAGTTCCTTTGCCCATTTTAAAATTAGGTTATTTGTTTTCTTGCTTTTGGGTTGTTTGTGTACCTTATATATTTTGAATATTAGCCCCTTATCAGCTGTATGGTTTGCAGATATTTTCTTCCAGTTCATGTTTTGTCTCTTCACTCTGTTCATTGTTTCCTTTTCTGTACAGAAGCTTTTGATTTGATGCAACTCCATTTGTCTTATTTTTGCTTTTCGTGCCTGCATTTTTGGAGTCCTATCCAAGAAATCATTGCATAGACCAGTATTGTGGAGATTTTCCCTTATGTTTTCCTCTATTAACTTTACAATTCCACATTTCCACATCTTACATATAAGTCTTTTATACATTTTGAGATGATTTTTGTGTATGGTGTGAGATAAGTGTCCAATTTTATCTTCTGGGCCATATCTATTTTTCCCAACATCATTTATTAAAGAGTCTGTTCTTTCCCTTTTGTGTTTTTGGCATCTTTGTCAAATATCAACTAATTATAAATACTGAATACTTGGGTTTATTACTGGGTTGTCTACCTGTTCCATTGGTTTATGTGTCTTTGTGCCAGTGCCATGCTGTTTTTATTACAATAGCTTTATAACATAATTTGAAACCAGGGAGTTGTGATGCATCTAGCTTTGTTCTTTTTGCTCGAGATTGCTTTGGCTGTTTGGGGTATTTTATGGTTCCATATGGGTTTTAGGATTATTTTTTCTATTTCTGTGAAAAATGACATTGGAGTTTTAGTGGGAATTGGATTGAATCTGTAGACTGCATTGGGTAGTATGGATGTTTTAAAAATATTAATTCTTACAATTCATGAATATGGTCTATCTTTCCATTTGTTTTTATCTTCTTTCTTTCCTCAGTGTTTCATAGTTTTCCTTGTAGAAGTCTTTTACCTCCTTGGTTAAATTTATTCCTAGGTATTTTATTTTTAGTATAGCTATGGTAAATGGGATTGCCTCCTTGATTTCTTTTTTAGCTAGCTCACTGTGTATAGAAACTACTAATTTTTGTTGTTTTGTTCCTTCCAAGTTTTATTTTAGGTTCAGGAGTTACTTCTGCAGGCTTGTTACATGGGTAAATTTCATGTCTCTGGGGCTTAGTGTACAAATTATTTTATCACCCAGGTAGCAAATATTGTATCCAATAGGTAGTTTTTCGATACTCACCCTCCTTCTACCTTCCACCCTCAAGTAGGCCCTGGTATCTGTTCCCTTCTTTCTGTCCATGTGTATTCAATGTTTAGCTCCCACTTATAAGTGAGAACATGTAGTATTTCGTTTTCTATTCCTGCATTAATTCCCTTAGGATAATGGTCTTGAGCTGCATCCATGTTTCTGCAAATGACATGATTTCTTTTTTTTTATAGTTGCATCAGATTCCGTGGAATATACATACCACATTTGCCTTATCCAATCTACCATTGATGGGAGTCTAGGTTGATTCCATGTCTTTCCTATTGTGAATAGTGCTATGATGAACATATACATGAATGTGTCTTTT
Organism: Homo sapiens; assembly: GCF_000001405.40. Lineage (NCBI taxonomy): Eukaryota > Metazoa > Chordata > Mammalia > Primates > Hominidae > Homo > Homo sapiens. The sequence goes on along the minus strand of NC_000002.12, from coordinate 201,528,443 downwards.
TGGTAGAATAATTTATATTCCTTGGGTATATACCCAGTAATGGGATTGCTGGGTCAAGTGGTAGTTCTGTTTTAAGTTCTTTGAGAAATCTCCAAACAGCTTTTCACAGTGGGTGAAGTAATTTACATTTACACCAACAGTATATAAGTGTTCCCTTTTCTCCACAGCCTCACCAGCATCTATTGTTTTTTGACTTTTTAATAATAGCCATTCTGAATGGTGTGAGATGTTAACTCATTGTGGTTTTGATTTGCATTTCTCTCTGATGATGAGTAATGTTGAGCATATTTTCATACGTTTATTGGTGGTGTATATATCTTTTGATAGGTGTCTGTTCATGTCCTTTGCCCACTTTTTAATGTTTTTTTTTTTTTTCGCTTTTTGCTTGTTGATTCAAGTTCCTTATAGATTCTGGATATTAGACTTTTTTCAGAAGTGTAGTTTGCAAATATTTTCTCCCATTCTTTAAGTTGTCTGTTTACTCTGTTGATAGTTTCTTCTGCTGTGCAGAAGCTCTTTAGTTTTTATTAGGTCCTACTTGTCAATTTTTATTTTTGTTGCAATTGTTTTTGGAGTCTTCATAATTAAATCTTTTCCAGGGTCTATGTCCAGAATGGTGTTTCCTAGGTTTCCTTCTAGGGTTTTTATAGTTTTAGGTTTTCCATTTAAGTCTTTAATCTAACTTGAGTTGATTTTGGTAGATGGTGAAAGGAAGGGGTCTGTTTTAATCTTCTGCATGTGGCTAGCAAGTTATCCTAGCACCATTTATTGAGTGGGGAGTGCCTTTCCCACTGCTTGTTATTGTCGACTTTGTCAAAAATCAGATGGATGTAGGTGTGTGGCTTTATTTCTGGGTTCACCATTCTGTTCCATTGGTCTATGTGTCTGTTTTTGTACCAATACCATGCTGTTTTGGTTACTGTAACCTTGTACTGTAGTTTGAAGTTGGGTAGTGTGATGCCTCCAGCTTTGTTCTTTCTGCTTAAGATTGCTTTGACTATTTTGGCTCTTTTTGGCTCCATATGAATTTTAGAATAGCTTTTTTCTAATTCTGCAAAGAATGTCATTGGTGGTTTGGTAGGAATAGTATTGGATCTATAAATTTCTTGGGGCAGTATGGCTATTTTAACAATATTAATTCTTCCTCTCCATGAGCATGGAATATTTTACCATTTGTTTGTCTTGTCTATGATTTCTTTTAGCAGTGTTTTGTAATTCTGGTTGTAGAGATCTTTCACCTCCCTGGTTAGCTGTATTTCTAGGTATTTTACTCTTATTTTGGCTATGTGAATGGGATTGTGTTCTTGATTTGGCTCTCAGCTTGGACATTATTGGTGTATAGAAATGCTAATGATTTTTATACATTGATTTTTGCATCCTGAAACTGCCGACGTTGTTTATCAGATCTAGAAGCCTTTGGGCAGAGACTATGGGGTTTTGTAGGTATAGAATTATATCATCTGCAAAAAGGGATAGTTTGACTTCTTCACTTCCTTTTTGGATGCATTTTATTTCTTTATCTTGCCTGATTTTGGAAGAACTTCCAGAACTACATTGAATAGGAGTAGTGAGAGTTGGTATCCTTGTCTTGTTTTGGTTCTCAAGGGAATGTTTCCAGCTTTTCCCCATTCAGTATGATGTTGGCTTTGGGTTTGTCATACATGGCTCTTAATATTTTGAGATATGTTCCTCTGATGCCGTCTTTTGAGAGTTTTTGACATGCAGGGATGTTGAATTTTATTGAAAGCTTTTTCTATGTCTATTGAGATGATCATGTTGTTTTTAGTTCTGTTCACGTGATGAATCACATTTATTGATTTGCTTATGTTGAACCAACCTTGCATCCCAGGAATAAAGCCTACTTGATCATGGTAGATTAGCTTTCTGATGTGCTGCTGGATTTGGTTTGCTAGGTTTTTGTTTTTTGAGATGGAGTCTTGCTTTGTCGTTCAGGCTGTAGTGCAGTGGCGTGATCTCGGATCACTGCAGCCTCTGCCTCCTGGGTTCAAGCGATTGTCCTGCCTCAGCCTCCTGAGTAGCTGGGACTACAGGTGTGTGCCACCACACCCGCCTAATTTTTGTATTTTTAGTAGAGACAGGATTTCACCATATTGGCCAGGCTGATCTCAAACCCTGACCTCAAGTGATCCACCTGCCTCAGCCTCCCAAAGTGCTGGGATTACAGGTGTGAGCCACCATGCCTGGCCCAGTTTGCTAGTATTTTATTGAGGATTTTTGCATCTATGTTCATCAGGGATATTGACCTGAAATTGTTGTTGTTGTTGTTGTGTCTCTGCTAGGTTTTGGTATCAGAATGATGCTGGCCTCTTAGAGTGAGTTAAAGAAGACTATCTCCTTCTTAAATTTTTGGAATAGTTTCAGTAGAATTGGTACAAGTTCTTCTTTATACATCTGGTAGAATTCAGCTGTGAATTATCTGGTCCTGGGCTTTTTCTGATTGGCAGGTTTTTTATTACTGATTCAATTTTGGAACACACCAATGGTCTGTTCAGGGTTTCAGTTTCCTCCTGGTTAGGTCTTGGAGGTTGTATGTATCCAGGAATTTATCCATTTTTTCTATGTTTTCTAGCTTGTGTGTATAGAGGTGTTTTAAATAGTCTCTGAAGGTTTTTTGTATTTCTGTGGAGTTGATGATAATGTTCCCTTTGTCATTTCTGATTGTGTTTATTTGGATCTTCTCTCTTTTTCTTGATTAGTCTAACTAGCAGCCTATCAATCTTATTTATATTTTCAAAGAACCAACTTTTGGTTTCATTGATCTTTTGTGTCAGTTTTCACATCTCCATTTTGTTCAGTTCAGCTCTGATTTTGGTTATTTCTTTTCTTCTGCTGGCTTTGTTGTTGATTTCCTCTAATTTTTCTGCTTCCTGTAGAAAAATTCTGCTTCCTGTGACATTAGGTTGTTAATTTAAGACCTTTCTAACTTTTGATGTGGGCATTTAGTGCTATAGACTTTCCTCTTAATGCTTTTGCTGGGTCTCAGAGATCTTGGTATGTTTTATCCTTGTTCTCATTAATTTCAAAGAATTTCTTGATTTCTGCCTTAATTTCATTATTTACCCAAAAGTCATTCAGAATTAGGTTGTCTAATTTCCATGTGATTATATGGCTTTGAGCAATTTTCTTAGTATTGATCTGTATTTTTGTTGTACTATGGTCCCAGAGCATGGTTGATATAATTTTTTTTAAATTTACTGAGAGTTGTTTTATTTCTGGTTGTGTGGCCAATTTTAGAGCATGTGCCACATGCACATGAGAAGAATGTATATTCTGTTATTCTGGGGCAGAGAGTTCTGTAGATGTCCGTTAGGTCCACTTGGTCAAATGTCAAGTTTAGGTCCCGAATATCTTTGTTAGTTTTCTGCCTCAATGAGCTAATACTCTCAGTGGGGTGTCAAAGTCTCCCACTGTTTTTGTGTGGTTATCTAAGTCTCCTTGTAGGTCTCTAAGAACTTGTTTCATGTATCTGGGTGCTCCAGTGTTGGGTGCATATATATTTAGGATAGTTAAGTCTTCTTGTTGAAGTGAACCCTTTATCTTACGTAATGTCTTACTTTGTCTTTTTTTATCGTTGTTGGCTTAAAGTCTGTTTTGTCTGAAATAAGAATAGCAACTGCTGTTCTCTTTTGTTTTGTTTGCTTGATAGATCATTCTCCATCCCTTTACTTTGAGCCTATGGGTGTCATTGCATGTGAGATGGGTCTTTTAAGGACACCATACAGTTGGGTCTTGCTTCTTTGTCCAGCTTGCCACTCTGCCTTTTAAGTGGAGGCACATTACATTTACATTCAAGATTAATATTGATTTATGTGGATTTGATCCTGTCGTCATGTTGTTAGCTGGTTGTTGTGTAGACTTGATTGTGTAGTTGTTTTATAGTGTCAGTGGGCTGTGTACTTAAATATGTTTTTTTGGTGACTAGTGAGTCTTTTTTCCCCCATATTTAGCACTTCCTTGCTGCCTTCTTGTAAGGCAGTTCTGATGGTAAAGAATTCCCTTAGCATTCACTTGTCTGAAAATGATCTTATTTCCTCTTAGCTTATGAAGCTTAGTTTGGCTGGATATAAAATTCCTGGTTGGAATTTCTTTTCTTTAAGGTTGTTGAGTATAGGCTCCCAATCTCTTCTGGCATATAAGGTTTCTGCTGAAGGGTCTCTTGTGAGCCTGATGGGGTTTCATTTGTAGATGACCTGCCCTTTTTTCCTCTAGCTACCTTTAATATTTTTTCTTTTGCATTGACCTTGGAGAATCTGATGACTATATGTCTTGGGGATGGTCATCTATATGTCTTGGTGATGGGGATAACTATATGTCTTGGGGATGGGGATTATATATTTTGTGGACAATATCCTGAAATATATTTTCCAAGTTGCTTGCTCTCTCTCCCTTTCTTAAGGGATACCAATGAGTTGTAGGGCTGGTTTCTTTACATAACCCTATATTTCTCAGATATTTTGTTCATTTTTCTTAATTTTTAAAAATTTTTTCTCACTAAATTAATTCAAAGAACTGGTCTTTGAGGTCTGAGATTCTTTCCTCAGCTTGGTCTATTCTGCTTTTGATGCTTCTGATTGTATTGTGAAATTCTTATAGTGAGTTTTTCAGCTCTACCAGATTAGTTTGTCTCCTGCTTAAAATGACTATTTTGTCTTTCAGCTCTTGACTCATTTCACTGGATTCCTTAGATTCCTTGAATTGGGTTTCAACTTTCTCCTGAATCTTGATGACTTTGCTGCCAAACAGATTCTGGGTTCTATGTCTGTCATTTCGGCATTTCAGTCTGGTTAAGAACCATTGCTGGGGAGCTAGTGCAGTTGTTCAGAGGTAAGGAGACACTCTGGCTTTTAGAGTTGCCAGAGTTCTTTCACTGGTTCATTCTCATCTGTGTGAGCTGATGTTCCTTTAATCTTTAAAGTTGCTGTCCTTTGGATGGGGCTTCTTGCTTTTGTATTCTTTGATTCCCTTGAGGGTTTGGCTGTGGTATAAGTTGGGTTTAGTCGACTGGCTTCATTTCTGGATGATTTCAGTGGGTCAAGGCTCAGCTCAGCACTCCTGGGCTGTGTGCTCTAACCCTGGGGGCCTAGCACCAGGCACACTGCTTTGTTCTCTGGCCCCTCAAGGTTAAGCATCTGCTGGAGGGCCTGAGGTGTTCCTGGTCCTTGGGAAACAATACTCCAATGGGGACTGCTGGCAGAAGTGCTTTGTTGGAGTGACGTCAGTGGGGTCTGCACACACATGCACACCAGCAGGGTCAGCATGATGGCAGCGGCAAGGTCCACGTGCATGCACTGGTATGGCAGGGCAGTGAGGTCCACACACACGTGTGCTGGCAAAGTGGTGGGGGGAGGCTGCAGGTGGATGCATGCTGGCAGGGGCCCATCTACAAAAGCTCTCTGATGGTTAGGCAGGATCTGCCAGCCAAAGAGCTATGGCAGTGGCTTCTGGGAAACACCCCGGTTGGGCATCTGAGGCTGCACTGCAAGTCGGAGTGGCCAAGTAGGGAAGCTGGGAGTGGCCAGCAGATGGGAGGATGGAAGCACTCAGACCAAACTGGCCCTGTCTCACAGGCAAGATACCCCTGTTCTATCCAGGTCCAACAGTCAACAAAAGCCAAAATCACCTAGAGGAATATGGCAGGCCTTGCAGAATGGCCATCTCTGGCCATGGTCCACTGCAGTTTTCCTGCACCTAAACCCTCTGGGCTCCACACAGGTTGGAGCCCTGTCCCTGCCAACTCTCCAAGCAGCTCTCCCTGCCAGCTCAAATGTCTGTGGGGGTCATGGGGTCACCTGCAGCTAGGATTCTGGAGATCCATGTTGAGAGTGGGCCACTCTATACCTATTTAACCTACCCTTTCCTTAGAAGCTGCTTGGGGCCAGGAATGAGTCCTTGTGCTTGGCAACCCCATGCAGGGTTCCCAGCTTCCTCCCACTTCAACCAGAGTCTGCATCCTCCCTCCATCCACTCTCAATGCCTTCCTTCCGAAGATCTGCTTGGAGTGTGCTGGTCTTCTTGATGATCTTATCTTGGTGAGGGAAGCTCTTCCTGGCTGTGTCTAGTTGGCCATCCTGGCTCCTCTTCCTGGATTTTTGTATGTTGATTGTATCCTTCATTTTTACTGAATTCATTGATCAGTTATAAGAGTTTTTGGTAGAGTCTTTACATTTTTCTATGTATAAGATCATGTCTCTGCAAACAGGGATAATTTGACGTCCTCCTTTCCAATTTGGATGTCCTTAATTTCTTTCTCTTGGCTAATTACTCTGGCTAGAACTTCCAGTACTATGTTGAATAAAAGTGGTTAGAGTGGGTGGTGGTGTCTTGTTCCAGTTCTTAGTTGAAAGTTTTTCCCCCATTCAGTATGATGTTAGCTGTGGGTTTGTCATGTATGGCCTTTATTGTATACTGAAGTGTATTAAATACATTGAATTGAGTATTGAGGTACTTTCCTTTTATACCTAATTAAGAGTTTTTATCATAAAGGGATGTTGAATTTTATCAAATCCTTTTTCTAATCTATTGAGATAATCATATGGTTTTTTTCGTTCTTTCTGTTTATATGATGTATCATGTTTAGTGATTTGCACATGCTGAACCATCCTTGAGTTCCTGGGATAAATCCCACTTGATCATGTTGTATTAATGGATTTGATTTGTTAGCATTTTGTTTAGGACTTTTGCATCTACATTAATCAGGGATATTGGCCTGTAGTTTTCTTTCTTTTTTTGTTGTGTCATTGTCTGCTTTTGGTATCAGGGTGATGCTGGTCTCATACAATGAGTTAGGAAGAGTGATATGGTTTGGATTTGCATCCCCACCCAAATGTAATGTCAAATTGGATAAGGGGACTTGTGGGAGATGATTGCATCATGGGGGAGGATTTCTCTCTTGCTGTTCTCATGATAGTGAGTGAGTTATCAGGAGATCTGATGGTTTAAAAGTGTGGGCACCTCTCTCTGTGTGTCTCTTTCTCTCTCTCTCTCTCTCTCTGTCTGTCTCTCTCTCCTGCCACCATGTGAAGAAGGTGCTTGCTTTTCCTCACCTTTTGCCATGATTGTAAGTTTCCTGAGGCCTCCCAGCCATGCTTCCTGTTAAGCCTGTGGAACTGTGAGTCAATTAAACCTCTTTTCTTCATAAATTACCCAGTCTCAGGTAGTTTTTTATAACAGTGTGAGAACAAACTAATACAAAGAGTTTTATCTGCTTCAATTTTTTGGAATAGTTTGAGAAGAATTGGTATTAATTCTTCTTTAAACTTTGGTAGAATTCAGATTAAGCAATTTGGTCCTGGACTTTTCTTTGTTAGGAGATGTTTTATTACTAATTCAGTCTCATTACTTCTTATTGGTCTGTTCAGACTTTCTATTTCTTCTTGGTTCAATCTTGGTAGGTTGTATGTTTCCAGGAATATATCCATTTCCTCTAGGTTTTCAAATTTATTGGTATATTCTTGTTCATGGTAGTCTCTAATGATTTTTTTTTTATTTCTGTGGTATCCATTTTGATGTCTCTTCTTCTGTTTCTTTTTTTTTTTTCTGAGACAGGATCTCTGTTGCCCAGACTGGAGTGCAGTGGCACGATCTTGACTCACCACGACCTTCACCTCCCAGACTCAAGCGATTCTCTTGCCTCAGCCTCCCTAGTAGCTTGGATTACAGGCATGCTCCACTACTGCCCAGATAATTTTTGTATGTTTAGTAGAGATGGGGTTTCACCATGTTGGCCAGGCTAGTCTCAAACTGCTGACCTCAAATGATCCACCCGCCTCAGCCTCCCAAAGTGCTGGGATTACAGGCATGAGCTACCGCACCTGACCCTCAATGAACTTTAATCCTTAATTTCTTTCTTCACGCAGTGGTTATTCAGGAATATGTTGTTTAATTTCCATGTATTTGTATTATTTTAAATGTTTATCTTACTGATTTCTACATTTATTCCATTGTGGTCAGATAAGAGACTAGATAAGATTTCAAATTTGAAAATTTTTTGAGACTTGTTTTGTGTCCTAACATATGGTCATTCCTGAAGAATGTTCTGTGCTCTGAAGAAAAGAATGTATTTTCTGCAGCTGTTAGGTGAAATGTACTGTAAATGTCTGTTAAGTCCCTTTGGTCTATGATGTAGTTTAAATCCAATGTTTCTTTTTGATTTTCTTTCTAGGGATGTCTCCAATGCTAATAGTGGATTGTTGAAGTCTCCATCTATTATCGTATTGGAGCCTATCCCTCTCTTTAGATCTAATAATATTTGCTTTATATATCTGGGTGCTGTGGTATTGGGTGCATATACATTTACAATTGTTATTTTCTTGCTGACTTGATCCTTTTGTTATTATTATATAATGTTCTTCATTGTTTCTTTTGACAGCTTTTTACTTGAAGTCTGTTTTGTCTGATATAGGTATAGCTATCCCTGCTTGCTTTTCGTTTCTGTTTGTGTGGAATATCTTTTTCTCTCTCTTTGCTTTCAAGTGTTTGACAGTGAAGTGATTCTATTTTAGGCAACATATATTTGCATCTTGTTATGTTTATCCATTCATCCAGTGTGTATTTTTAAAATCGGCATTTAATTCATTTATATTCAAGGTTATACTTGATAGGTGAAGACGTTTTTTGTCTGCCTGTGTTATTTCAAAGGACCTGTCTTCAAATTCAGAAATTTTTTATTCTGCTTGGTCTAGTCTGATGTTAAAGCTCTTGATTGTATTTTTTATTTCATTCATTTAATTCCTCATAGCATTCCTGTGGTTCTTTTTTTAATGACATCTATCTCTTTGTTGAAGTACTCATTCAAATCATGATTTTTCCCCTGATTTCATTGAATCCTCAATCTGTATTCTCTTGTATCTCAGTGTTTCCTTAAGATTATTATTTTGAATATTTTTCTGGAATTTTATATATTTCCTTATGCTAGGGGTCTGTTACTAGATAATTATCGTGTTCCTTTGTGTCATGTTTCCTTGCTTTTTCATGTTTGATATGTCTCTATGTAGATTTCACATATCTGGTGTAATAGTCACGTCTTTTGGGGAAGGTTTTGTAGGGAAAGACTTATTTGTTTAGATGGGTCTTGGGTGTTGGTTCAGCAGGGTACACTGGATTTGATTCTGGATGGACACAGTAGTATAGTCACCATGTAGTTTCTTCAGCTGTAATCTGTGCTTGTGTCATTTGCATCTCAGTGGCCTAGGTTGGGAGAGTTTATGGCAGTGGTGGTGCGGCTTTGCTGGTGGTGGGCAAAGTTTCTTCCTACCCCAGGAAGTAAGGAAAAGTCACCTAGATTCAGCTTATGGGATTTGGGCATAGTTCACAATGGAGAAGGGAACTAAACCTTCCAGGTGAGGCTCTTTAGGCCAATTTAACTGACCTAACAACAACTGTGGTTGTTCCTACATCTGAATGTATATGAGGAGTTATTGTGTTATATGCTGGATCATCTCCATTACATAAACATCAGAATGATTGGAAGAGTCATGTGTAAAGAAGTGCTAGTGTGACATACAAATTACTACTTGCCTGTCTCCATGTCCCCTTCCAGATGGCTCAATAAAAAAATTTGCAGAATCCTAGGAGGACAAAGGGAAACCATGGCCTTCATTAAGGACCTAAAGGCAGCAGAAAAATTAAGAAATGCATTATCTAAATACAACATTCCTGTATGGCCAGTAAAATTTGCTAATGGAGCTGGAGACTTACAGTGCATTATTACCAACTGAATTCATTTGTTGCCTCCATACCTTAGCTGTTCCAAACATTGCGACTTACTGAATCCATTCTACAGACAGCTGACTCTTGGTACTCTGTCTTGGACATTGTCAACACACCTTTCGTACACCACTGACACCTGAGGACTAAGATCAGTTTGTAAACATTTGTAGTACTCCCTTAAGGATACCTACTCATCTACCATTTTCCACCAGTGGGTGGGTTGGGATTTAGCCTGAATGCTTGTACCCTCTGATATCCACAAGTTTCACTGTATAGATGATGTCCTATTGGTTAGCAAGTCAAAAGCCTTAGTCTCAATAGTCATGAATGTGGTAGTTACCGTGTTTCCACTAGCAGCAGTGGCTCATAAGCCCTGACAAAATTAGGTGGACTGCTTACCAGATAAAGTTTATTGGGTCTATCTGGGCAGATTCATAATGGGCAGTCCTTTTGGCAGTCAAAGAAAAACTATTGCCTTTTTGCAGTCCCCCTACCTCCACCCCAACCACCATAAAATGAGGCCCAGCACCTTGACGGGCTCTGGGCACAGGATGTGGCATGTGCCTCACTATGGCCTTAATCTTGGCTAACCTACAGACTGGCATCCTTTTAATAGGGCCCAGTCCAACAGGCTGAGTTAGAAGCTGTCCAGCAAGCTTATGTCAGGGGCTCTGCAATCCTAATGACTTTTTTGAGCTATGAATCTGTACTGATTAGAGCCTCTGCCTGAAGACACCCTTTGGGGTTTTGGACTTGTTTCCCTCTGACATAGCTATCAGGTACACTCTTTTTGAAAAGTAGCTATTACCTTGAGTAACTAGTAGCAAGAGGTACTGAGCTCTTCTCAAAAGTGAACACTCTAGCTGAGGAGACCTTGTGACTCTTTGACTTTTTCCCATCTTGAGGTGGGTCAAGTTGGACTCAGCTACTAACAAGGTAGAAAGGGCCCAACAAGCCTCACTTGTAAAATGGAAATGGTAGATTCAAGAACACGGACATCCTGGCCCCAGCAGTATTTCATCTTTACAGTAAGAAGTGGCAGTTACCCCTTTGGGGGAAACCTTGGCCCCCACTCTGCCCTCTGAAGAAAATTGCTGGTTCAATAGGGCTTTACTATAAATAATATAGTCCTCTCTTTCTGACTTAGAAGTCTTCTGGCAGCATCTATAAAACTGTGGCAGGATAACTTGACAGCTTGTAAGTAGGGTAAAACCCTAGAATTTGCACTGTTTCTGCCAATTTTGACAATAAGAATGGGATGCTGACAGAGACATGGCTTTCTGGAAGAGGAAGGAAAAGAAAACCCTGCAGGCTGGGTTAGGGAATATGAGAAGATTCCTTGGATTTCGGTGGCAAATGCTCTCATCCAAGTGGTATGAGGCAGGGGTTGGGGAGGGGAAATGGCTAATAACGGTCTTCCCCTTGTCTTGCCTGTTAATGACTGTTCAGAGGCTGGGTTGTGACAGGCAGGATCGAAACCACCCAAACGGTGCTTTGTTTGTTGCTCACTCTCCCTTAGTGGTGGGGAGGTGGGGAAGAAGGGGATGACCTCAGCTGCTTTAAGGAAAAGGCCCAGTACATTGGGGAACTTCAGGCAGGGGAAGGACACAAAGTTTTATGGTTCTGTTAGACATAGGCACCAAAGGCTCCCAGGTAGAGCTATAGCAGCATGTGCCAGAAAGAAAAAATTCCCTGTGTCTGGGAGCTTTCCGGAGGCAGGGAGGTACACGGGAGGAGGTAGTACCAATCCTGACATGAGGTGAAATAGAAAAAAAAAAAAAAAAGCCTTCCTATTACTCCAGCTTTATCCCGTAGGTGAGGCCCTCTTGCTCCCTTGCTCTCCCTACGCACCTAGTCTGAAAATAAGGTTAAACTCCTGACAGCTGTTGGAGCATCTGTGCCCCACCCCTTCCCCGCCCACCCCCATACGCAGGTGAGTCTGTGTTCTGGTAGGGGGGAAAAAAAATCTCCACAAAAACCTGAAATCAATTAATATGGTTTAAGCAAAACTTACTGTGGGGAGAAAGTTAAAGTGATCTTATGCATAGGGCTCTCTGCCAATTCAATATATAGTCATGTGCCACATAATGACATTTTGGTCAACAGACCACATGATATGGTCTGGTTCTGTGCCCCCACCCAAATCTCATCTCGAATTATAATCCCCATATGTCAAGGGAGGGGCCTTGTGGGAGGCAATTGGATTATGGGAGCGATTTCCCCCGTGCTGTTCTCCTGATAGTGAGTGAGACCAGCTGGTTTAAAAGTGTGGCACTTCCCCTTCACTCACCCACTCTCTCCTGCTGCCTTGTAAAGAAGGTGCTTGCTTCTCTTTTTCCCCTCCACCTTGACTGTAAGTTTCCTGAGGCCTCCTCAACCATGCAGAACTGTGAGTCAATTAAACCTTTTTTCCTTGTAAATTACCCAGTCTCAGTTCTTTAGAGCAGTGTGAAAACAAACTAATACACTGAATATGTGACGGCAGTACCATAAGACCATAATATCATATTTTACTGTACCTTTTCTGTGTTTAGATACACAAATATTTACCATTGTGCTTCAACTGTCTACAGTATTTAGTCCAGTAACATGATGTACAGGTTTGTAGCCTAGTAGCAATAGGCTAGATCCTATAGCATAGGTGTGTAGTAGGCCACACCATCTAGGTTTATATAAGTACATACTATGATGCTTACACAATGACAAAATCATCTGATAACACGTTTCTCAGTGTATTCACATTGTTAATTGGCACATGAATACTGCTGTTATAGCATCTATTGTTAAGGGTGTGTAATGAAATCGATGTGTTACACACTTGTACTGTGAATGCTCATAAAGTGTCAAGGGAAATTTTCCCATTCAGGGCACTGCCACATGTAGAGGAGTCCTTGCCATTTGCCACAGGTGGGTGGATCCGGATTTAAGTGAGTGCCTCTGCCCTCTGTTATTACAATTTGATATGAGATTTGGGTGGGGACATAGAGACAAACAATATCATGTAGTCTGTTGTTGACCAAAAGGTCTTTATATGGCACATGACTATATATTGAATTGGCTGAGTGCCCTATGTGTAAGATCATGTTACCTTTCTCCCAGACAGTAAGTTTTGCTCAAAGATACAGGTGATGCCCTGTTGGTTGGCAAGTCAAAATCCTCAATTTCAGTGGCCCTGACTATGGTGTTATTACACCTCTACCAACAGGAGTGGCTGACAAACCCTGACAAATTCAAGGACCTGCTTGCCAGGTCAGGAGTTCGAGACCAGCCTGGCCAACATGGGGAAACTGTGTCTCTACTAAAAATACAAAAATTAGCCAGGCGTGGTGGTACACACCTGTGGTCCCAGCTACTCAGGAGGCTGAGGCAGGAGAATGGCTTGAACCTGGGAGACTGAGGCTGCAGTGAGCCGAGATTCCACCACTGTGCTCCAGCCTGGGCAACAGAGCAAGACTCTGTCTCAAAAAAAAAAAAAAAAAAAAAAAAAAAAAAAAAAAAAAAAAAAAAAAAAACTATGGGCAGATTCACAACACTCAATTCCTTTGGCAATCAAAGAAAAAACTATCTCTTTGATCCCCTACTAGTTTTTAATTTTTTTGAGTGTGAAAGACCATATGTACTTCACTTTGGGATTCTACTTAGTCCTTTATTTAGCATGCTTTGAAAGGGGCCTAAACCAACAGGCCTTGCTAGCCAAATGGTAATAGTGTGTTTAGGGGTGCATCTGACCTGGTCCTAGCATCATTTTGGTTTTGCAAAAAAAATTGGCAGCCATTAATTTAGGCAATACATTTTTCTTTATTCTGCCACCAAAAACAAAGCCACTGGTTCAGTTGGGGCCCTGGATTCACAGTTTCCCCTAAATATCTGGACCAGGTTCACAGATGGTTCAGCAGATGAAACCTGATGGTATCAGCTGGGCCACTATGGCTGTTTAGCCCAAGGGCCAGCTATGCAGATCCAAAAATTGATTTCATTATTTCACTTAGTGGGCAGAATTCTGGCCAATACTCTTCCTAGAGAAACTTATACCCAATTTTATGTGGACAGTTCAATGAGTTTTGACAAATGTGTATTTTTGTGTAATCGTCACCCATTATCAAGAACTAGAATGTTTCCATCACTACACCATTATGTTTGATGTTAGTTATAGGGTTTTCATAGACATTCTTCATTAGGTTTAAGAAAGTCTCTTCTAGTCCTAGTTTGCTGAGAGATTTGATGAATAATAGGTGCTGGATTTTGTCAGATGCTGTTTCTGAAATTACTGATATGATCATATGTTTTTTAGTATATTAGTATAATAAAATATTAATGCACAGATATTTTTATTGTTAAACCAACTTTACGTTCCTAGGATCAACCCTACTTGGTTATAATGTATTTATCCTTTTCATATATTGTTGGGTTCATTTGCTAAATTTTATGAGAAGTTTTTCACACATAGTCATGAGAAATATAGGTCTGTAGCTTTCTTGTAATGTTGTTACTAGTTTTGGTAAAGTTGGTATTGTAGAATGAGTTGGGAAATATTCTCCCCCCTTCAGTATTCTAGAAGAATTTATGAATAATTTGTTCTTCTTTTGCTATTTTCTTAAGGTGGAGCCTGAGGTAAACAATTTGAGATATTTCTTTTTTATTACATATATTATTATAAATTTCTAAGTACTGCTTTAAATTTATCCCATAAATATTGACTTATGTTTTTATTTTCATTCAGTTCAAAACACATTCTTATTTATCTTTCGATTTGTTCTTTGATGGATCGGTTACTCAGAAATGTCTTTAGTTTCCTAACATTTGAAGATTTTCTAGAAATGACTGTAATTTAATTCTACTTGGTCAGAAAACATATCTATGATTTGAATCCTTTAAAACTGAAACTGTTTTATAGCCTACAATTTTGTATATTTTGGCCTCCAGCTGCATCCATGTTGCTGCAAAGGACATGATTTCATTTTGTTACGGCTACATAGTATTCCATAGTGTGTATGTACCACATTTTCTTTATCCAGTCCATTGTTGATGGGCACCTAGGTTGACTCCATGTCTTTGCTATTGTGAATGGTGCTGCAATGAACATACAAATGCATATGTCTTTTTGGTAGAACAATTTATTTTTCTTTGGATATATAACTGGTAATGGGACTGCTGGCTGAAATTGTAGTTCTATTTTCAGTTCTTTGAGAAATTCCTAAAGTGCTTTCCACAGCGGCTGAACTAATTTACATTCCCACTAATAGTGTGTAAGCATTCTCTTTTCTCTGCAGCCTTGCCAACATCTATTGTTTTCTGACATTTTAATAATAGCCATTCTGACTGGTGTAAGATGGTGTCTCATTGTGGCTTTGATTTGCATTTCTCTGATGATTAGTGATGCTGAGCATTTTTAAATATGTTTGCTGCTTGTATGTCTTCTTTTGAGAAGTGTCTATTCATGTCTTTTCCTCACTTTTTATGAGATTGTTTTTTGTTTGTTCAATTGTTTACATTCCTTATAGGTTGTGGATATTAGTCCTTTGTCAGACTCGTAGTTTGTGAATATTTTCTCCCATTCCGTAGGTTGTCTGTTTACTCTGTTGATAGTTTCTTTTTTTTATTTTTTTATTTTTCTTTTTTTTTATTTTATTATTATTATACTTTAAGTTTTAGGGTACATGTGCACAATGTGCAGGTTAGTTACATATGTATACATGTGCCATGCTGGTGTGCTGCACCCATTAAATCATCATTTAGCTTTAGGTATATCTCCTAAAGCTATCCCTCCCTCCTCCCCCCACCCCACAACAGTCCCCAGAGTGTGATGTTCCCCTTCCTGTGTCCATGTGTTCTCCTAGTAAACCATCTTGCCTTTTATTCAGTTTCTTTAAAAAAACTATACATGCAACTACCCTATGACCCACCAATTGCACTCTTGAGCATTTATTCCAGGGAAATTAAGACTTACATGTTCATAAAAATACCTATATACAATGTTCATAGCAGCCTTATTCATAATAGCTCCAAACTGGAACACAACCCAGATGTCCTTTAACTGGTGAATAAACTTTGGTACATCCATACAATGGAATAATACTCAGCAATAAAAAGGAATAAACTATTTATATATACAACAACCTGGATGAATTTTTAGAGATTTATGCTGAGTAAAAAAAAGACAATCCCAAAATGTTACACACTGTATGATTCCATTTATATAACATTCTTGAAATGACAAAATTATAAAAAATGAACAGATTAGTGGTTACCAGACATTAATAGGGGATGGGGGCAGGAAGGAAATGGTGAGATTATAAAAGGATATTAGAGGTCCTTGTGGAAATGTCTAGGTCTTAACTGTATAATGTCAATATCCTGGTTGTGAAATTGTACTACAGTTTTGAAAGATGTTACTATTGAAGAAAGCTGAATAAGGAAGAGAACATGAGCTCTCTCTGTTATTTCTTACAACTGCACATTAATTTACATTTATTTCAAAATAAAAAGCTTAACTTTTAAAAAGAAAGATCATTGTCAAATATTTTAACGAAAAAGAAAACTTACCTAAGATGTTTTTCTTAGGAGTGGTAGTCAGAGCCATACCCAACATATAAAACAAAATTAAATTGAAAAAGATAAATTGGGTTTGTAACCCACTAAACATATATTCCAGTATATACAATCAACAGACTTAAAAGATTGAATCTATCACCTAGGGCAACAGACTTGTAAACTGAAGACATCTCAGAGTTCTAGAACAAATTTCTGAAAGTCCAAGTTAATTGCTTCACAAACAAGTCACAAAATCTTTAGAATTCTGTGGGAAAACAATCTTCGGAGTTGTTTGAAGTTAAAAGAAGAGTTTTTTTTTTTTTTTTTTTTTTTTTTTTAATGAGCCAAGGTAGACAGTGTGTTATAGAAATGCAGTATTTTGAGGCAAACTTCTGGAGTACTAAATCTGAATTGGAAAGGACTGATAACATCTCTTTCAACTCATAGCTGATTCAGGTGACAGTCTTTCAATAGTTCCTTCACATTTTTAGAGCCCGTTCATAAATTAAGCCTTTCAAGATATAGCTTAATTAGCTTTTACTTAAACCCTGACAGTGACTGGACCCTAAATCATTTCCCCAAAAGTCAGGATGAAAAAAAGGTGAGGAGAGATGGGGAAATTAATTTTACTTAGCAATGAAAGGTAGCGTTTGGTGGTAGTAAGAGAACTCGTATGATACAGTAAAAAGACCTTGGATTTTACAGGCAGAAATATTTAGGTTTAAATCCAGATTCTTCCATGGTCCTATAACTTTGGGCAGTTTACATCTGAGTTTCAGTTTTCTCATCTGCAAAATGAGTATACTACCTATCACCTCTTTCAAAGAATTTTAAAGGGCTTGGAACATAATAGACACTTGCTAAACGGTAAGTATTAACTTTACTCACCTGTGTAAGTATAGGATAAGTACGAAAAGTAGAATCGTTGGATCAGAGGGTACAAGCGTATTTATTTTGATACTGCCAGATTATGCTTTAAAATAGATATGCTAATTTGCATTTGCATCAAAACGCTAGAAAGTACTCATCCCACACTCACATTTTCGTTTTTAAGAATTTGATGCACAAAATAATAGTCCACTGATACTTTAATTTGCATTTTCCTGATTATTAATGAGTGAACAATTTTCATGTGTTTATTATCTATTTGTAGTTCTGTTATTTGTTTATAATCTCTGCCCATATTTACAAGTCGGGTTGTGTTTGCTTACTTACATGTGAAAATGCTTTATATGTTTTGGATAACAATACATTATCTATGCTGTTTGCTATTTATGTTTTTTAACTTCTTTGAGGTCAAAGGTATTTTTAAACATCTATGTGGTCAAATTCAACACCTTTTCCTTTTTGGCTGTTGGTTTATATCTTGTTTAGAAGGTCCTTAGGTTATGTCAGTATTCTCCTATATGTTTTTCTAGTACTTTTATAGCATATGGTTTTTATGTTTAACTATTTAATCTATCTATGATTTTTTTTAATATGACGTAAGAACTTACCAATATCTTTGCTGAAATGGATAGGCAATTGTCTCAATGCAATTTATTACCTTTTCCCTATAGTCAACTTATTCTTGTCTGTCAGCATCCCTTCCTGAGGGTTTCACCCCTGTCCCAGCCCCAATCCCTAGTGTGGTTAGCAGTCTTGACACTGCCTCAGAGGCTACAAGGATGAGCATATAATTTAATTAAAAATATTAAGACAGGGTGTTCTTATTCTTTTATTTTTATTTATTTATTTATTGAGACAGTGTCTTGCTTTGTCACCTAGGCTGGAGTGCAGTGGTGCAACCTTGGCTCACTGCAACCTCCTCCTCCCAGGTTCAGGCAATTCTCGTGCCTCAGCCTCCCGAGTAGCTGGGACTATAGGCGCACACCACCACACCTGGCTAATTGTTGTATTTTTAGTAGAGACAGGGTTACACCATGTTGGCCAGGCTGGTCTTGAACTCCTGACCTCAGGTGATCAGCCCACCTTGGCCTCCCAAATGATTACAGGTGTGAGCCACATCCCCGACCCCTTATTCTTTTAAACCAAGAGCTAGCAGTGGTAATTTCCTACCAGATGAAGAGAGAATGCCTGTAAAAGCCAACATGGAGAGAGAGTGTCCTGATCACATTAAGTCCCTGGAGCCAGCCATGCCCATCCCTTAGAATTCCTAGTTAAATGAGCCACTGTATTTCCTATTTAAAATAAAGTATATTATTTCTAAGGCAAACTTCATAAAATGCAGCGATATCTTTAAAATTAAATGTATATATTATATATTAGGGTTGATTGTACTTAAAGGTTACCCCATTTGGGGAGTAAGGAATGGAAGGAGAGAACAGTTGTGATCTAAAACTTGGGAGAGTGCCTGGTTTATAATAGCTGCTCCATATTTTTGTTAAATAATTACTTAATAAGTGAATGAATGACAAATAGATTCATTTAAAAATTAACAAATATTTTGAGAAGAAAAATAAGATAGTAAAATTTCTAAGCATGAAAATAATGAAAAGTAAATAATTGTTTTTAATCACATAATTTACTATGTAAAATAACACTATTTGGAGTTTCCACTTAAGTGACAAATAGAACATGGTTTTAGTATAGATATCTTATCTCTTTTCATGAGAAAACTGGTAAAGTCTTTATCCAGAAGTGGTTTGAGGGGTCTAAGTTTCAGAGCATTTAAAACTGAATGTAAAAATAGACAAGTGGGACTACATCAAACTTAAAAACTTCTTGCATCAAGGAAACAATAGAGTAAAAAGGTAATCCATGGAATGGTAGCGAACATTTGCAAATCATATATCTGATAAGGGGTTAATATCCAGAATATATAAGGAACTTCTACAACTCAACACCAACAAAAAACAACACAGTTAAAAAATGGAGAGTTCTCCAAAGAAGCTATACAAATGGCCAATAAGCATATGAAAAGATGCTCAACATTACAAATCATAAGACAAATGCCAATCAAAACCACAGTGAATTATCACCTCCCACCCACTGGGATGGCCTCTATCAAAAGAAAAGAAAATAACGTGTTGGTGAGGATGTGGAGAAATTGGAACCCTTGTGCACTGTTGGTGGAAATGTAAAATGATGCAGCCACTATGGAAAACAACATGGAGGTGCCTCAAAATATTAAAAATAGAATTATCATGTGATCCTATTTCTGATACATAGATACATACCTATTTCTGGGTATATATCTAAAAGAATTCAAAACAGGACCTTGAAGAAATTTCGCACACCCATGTTTACTGCAACATTATTCACAATACCCAAGAGGTAGAAACATCACAGATATCCTTAGATGAACAGATAAGGAAACTGTGGTATATAAATACAATGGAATGTTATTCAACCTTAAAAAAAAAAAAGAAATCTCGTCACATGCTAGAGCATGGATGAACTTTGAGGAATTATGCTAAGTGAAATGAGCCCATCACGAAAGGACAAATACTTCACAATGCCACTGGAGTGGAGATTATGAGTGCGATCATGGCTCACTGCAGCCTCAAACTCTGAGGCTCAAGCCATCCTTCCACCTCGGCCTCCCAAAGTGCTAGGATTATAGGCATGGGCCGCCACACCCAGCTGGGTTTCAGTTTTGCCAGATGAACAAATTTTTGAGATCTGTTGCACAACAATGTGAATATACTTAACACTATTGAACTGTACATTTAAAAAATGGTTAACATTGTAAAATTAATGTTATGTGCTTTTTACCACAATAAAAAATAAAATGGAAAAAAACCACAATTGTAGGAAATGCAGTCTGTCTTTCTGTAATTACTTCAAGTTTGAACTTTGACATCTTCATTTATATAATTTTTAAGTCAACTAATTTAAATAATTAACTGCATTTAGTACTTTAAACAGTTTCTTGTACCTATAAAATTAGAAAATTCCTGCCTTTGGCACCCTTTGACTATGTCATATTGTCCTATAGTTCTCTCAGTTTACATAAAAGGCTTTTATTCTTTGGAGCAAGATAATAAATCTATTTGTGTCAGCCCAGATACATTTATTCTTAAACTTATGTTAGTTTCTATAATTTGCAAATGAGTCTTGACTATATAGCTCATCTTTTCCTGCTGCTTTGAAATTCAACATTTATCCTATGCTAATTTAACATGTGATGTGGTTTGATTTTGTGTCCCACCCAAATCTCATCTTGAATTGTAATCCCCACGTCGGGGGAGGGGCTTGGTGGGAGGTGACTGAATCATGGCGGTGGACTTCCCCCTTGTTCTGGTGACAGTGAGTGAGTTCTCACAAGATCTGGTTGTTTGAAAGTGTGTGACACTTCCCCCTTTGCTTGCTCTCTCTCCTGCCACCATGTGAAGAAGGCCTTGCTTCCCCTTCACCTCCCACCATGATTCGAAGTTTCCTGAGGCCCCCCCAGTCATGCTTCCTGTTAAGTCTGTGGAACTGTGAGTCAATTAAACCTCTTTTCTTCATAAATTACCCAGTTTCAGGTAGTTCTTTATAGTTGTGTGCAAATGGACTAATACAACATGCTAATTATTATATGCTAATTTCCTTATGTACATGAGCTGTTTCAGTATTCTGTTCCATTAATTTTGCCTATTTCTATGACATTACTATACAACATTACTTACTATAACTTTAAATTCATTTAATATTGGCAGGGAACACACATATCTGCTTTTTCATCATTTTCTTGGTAATTCTTATAAATTCTTATTGATGAAGTATTAGAATCATCTTGGCAAGTTCTATAACTCTGAGATTTTAATTGGGGTTGCATTGAATTATAGATTGGTATAGTTTGATATATTTACAAAATTTGCATCCAGGAAAATTCAGTAACCTCTATTTTCTTTATTAATATTTCATAGCTCCTGTTCATTTCTTATTAGATTGATTCTTTAGTATTGGATAGTTTCTGATGTAAACGTGAATGGGATCTTTTTAAGATTATATTTTTCAGGCAATATTTGGACATAGTGTTATATAATACCGTGTATATATTTGTATGTTGATTTTATATTGGTTCACTTTGCTAAACTCTGTTATTCTTAATTTTTCAGTTCTCTTGAATTTTTTTAAAGATAAGTGATCATGTCATCCATTAAGCACAGTTTTGTTTCCTGACTTCTAATATTTCTACCTGTTGTTTCTTTTTCTAATCTTGGCTAAACTATTAAGCAGTATTGGACAGCAGCAGTAAGAAAAGGCATTCTTGTTACAGATTCTGATGAATATTCTATTAGTGTCTCAATTTTAAGTGCAATGCATGAGGTAGGAAAGCACTTTTTTAATCCTATTCCTAGTTTGTTAGAAGATTTATTTGAAAATCAAGAATAAGGTTGATTGGGCTGGGCGCGGTGGCTCACGCCTGTAATCCCTAAACTTTGGGAAGCTGGGACAGGGGGATCACGACATCAGGAGATCGAGACCATCCCGGCTAACACGGTGAAACCACATCTCTACTAAAAATACAAAAAATTAGCCAGGCATGGTGGCAGGCACCTGTAGTCCCAGCTACTCGGGAGGCTGAGGCAGGAGAATCGCTTGAACCCAGAAGGCAGAGGTTGCAGTGAGCCGAGGTCAGGCCAGTGCACTCCAGTCTGGATGACAGAGCAAGACTCCGTCTCAAAAACAAAACAAAATGAAAAAGAATGGGGTTAATTTTTATCAAATGCTGACCCCTGTGGAGGAAATTACACAATTTGTCTCTTATAATTTGTTTATATAATGAATTACATGAATAGATTTTCTAATGTTGAACCATCTTTGTATTCCCATATAATTCCTCCTGGGTTATACTACACAGAATTTGCTATAACTTATTTAGGAATTTTGTACATCTATTCATAATGAGATTGACCTAAAAATTTGGCATCATTTATCTGTAAATGTTGACTTGGTGTTTTGTTTGTTTGTTTGTTTGTTTGTTTTTGAGACGGAGTCTCGCTCTGTCGCCCAGGCTGGAGTGCAGTGGCGCAATCTCGGCTCACTGCAACCTCCGCCTCCCGGGTTCGCGCCATTCTCCTGCCTCAGCCTCCCGAGTAGCTGGGACTACAGGCGCCTGCCACCGCCCCCAGCTAATTTTTTGTATTTTTAGTAGAGACGGGGTTTCACCATGTTAGCCAGGATGGTCTCGATCTCCTGACCTTGTGATCCACCAGCCTCGGCCTCCCAAAGTGCTCGGATTACAGGTGTGAGCCACTGCGCCCGGCCGGCTTTGTGCTTTTTTATAAGTAGATTAGTTTTTTAAAATAACCTTTTAATTTTGGAATAACTGTAGATTTACAGAACACTTGTAAAGATATTAGAGAGTTCCTATATACCCCTCATCCACTTTCTTCCATTGTTAACATCTTACATTACCATAGTACATTTGCCAAAACTAAGAAACCAACATTAGTACGTTACTATTACCTAAATCCAGACTGAATTTGTCCAATTTTTCCATTAATATACTCTTTGTGTCTCAAGATTCAGTACAGAGTACTACATTGCATTTTGTTGTCATGACTCTCCAGTTTCCTCTGGTTTTTGACAGTTTTTCTGATTTTCCTTGTTTTGTTGTTGTTGTTGTTGTTTTTAACATGACTTTGACAATCTTGATGAGCACTAGCCAGGTATCCTGCAGAATGTCCCCAATCTGTGTTTGTCTGATGTTTTTTCCATTATTATGTTTGCATTCTGAGTTTTTGGAAAAAATACATCAGTGGTGAAGTGCCCTTCTCAGTGCATCCTATCAGAGATTGATGATAGCACAGGATGACACTAGGGAAAAAGGCAGCATATGACTGATTGCTTAGAAAAGTGAACCTTCTGGGGGCCGGGTGCAGTGGCTCACACCTGTAATCCCAGCACTTTGGGAGGCCGAGGTGGGCAGATCACTTGAGGTCAGGAGTTCGAGACCAGCCTGGCCAACGTGGTGAAACCTCCTCTACTAAAAATACAAAAATTAGCCAGACATGATGGTGTGCACCTGTAGTTACAACTACAAGAATCACTTGAACCCAGGGGGTGGAGGTTGCAGTGAACTGAGATTGTGCCACTGCACTCCAGCCTGGGCAACAGAGAGATACTTCATCTCAAACAAAACAAAACAAAAAAAAAAGTGAACCATTTGGGGAGCCCCCAGCTAAATTGGTGTTCCAGTACCAGGGTGACTAGTAACCCTACCCTAGCAGGAAATGAAGGAGAACTGGATATGGGTGTTTACAGTGTGCCTTCACAGAATATTTCTTTTACCTGGCAGATGGCCTAATGCCTAGTAATCTGAGACCAGGGGGTCCTTTACACAGGAAACTTGTTTATACTAGCAGATGCCCTTTATCTCTTCTCTGACTTGTGTCCACTTTATTTCTCCTGACCAGTACACTGGCACTAGGAACCTTACCTTATGTTCCCTCCAGCATCCCAGGGAAAACCTGGCATGGAATAGCCCCTAGTTCTTCAGATGGAAGGTGCAAATTTTGCATACCACCACAATAGGAAACAAGTTCAAAGATTTTTTACTTATAGATCCTGGGCAAGGAGGGCACAGTGAGTCAGGAGGGCAGTCCGTCAGTCCCTGGGTCATGAGAAGCAGGAATGAAAAGTCAGACAGAGAGAGAGAGAAGAGCATGTGACAGAGAATAGGGCATGGGTCACTTTAAGTTTGTGGGTAAATTCCTGAATGGTCCATTTAAAGGAAGTGGTGCGAAAGCAGGGAACTCAGTCTGCCAGGTAGGAGAGATGCCTCTGAGTTCTAATCTCTGGCCGCCATCTTGAGCTATTTGGGCATGGTATAGAATTGAAAACTGTGTCAAGAGTGACCAAGCTCTATTTCTGGTATGAGAAATTTAAACTTGTATTCAAAATGGATGTCAAGGCAACATAAAATTGAAGAGTTCACTACAGGGACAAAGTGAGCCTTATAATTGTACTAGTTTACTGCCTGAAGGCAGCAGCACAGGAGCGGGAAGCCAAACAGAACTTGGAGATCTCATTGGGTTGAGGAGATAGAGTCTGAAATTTAGCAGACAGAGGCGAACTGGTAGGGTACCAGAAGAGAAAAAACTACAGCAGCAAGAAAGCTCCAGATAACTGTAAAGAAGTTCCTCTGGAGTCTTTGGCTGAATACTGATCTAAGCAGAAAATTACTGAAAGCAAGGAAAAGAACCACTGGAAAGATAAGGTAGAAAATTATAGGTACTCACACAGGACTTCCAATAATTCCATATTCTCATCAGCCAGAGTGGAAAGACTCATAACACATGAGAGTAAGTAGAATCCTTAGAAGGGTATCACCTTTGTAGAGAGGCTAAATCAGCCCCTTCTAAAGCTCCACTAAAAGTTTCTCTAGACAACCTTCTATGCAATAAATCTTAAAAGAACCCAACTAATTCCAAGTAATTTAAATGTGCATAAGAGCAAATTCAAAACGATTTAAAAGAAAGAAAAAAAAATTTATCAATCAACAACATAAAATCCACAATTCCTAACATTCAATACAATGTTACCAGGTGTTCGGCCAGGCACAGTGGCTCACACCTGCAATCCCAGGACTTTGGGAGGCTGAGGTAGGAGGATTGCTTAAGGTCAGGAATTCAAGACCAGCCTGGGTAACAAAGCAAGACCCTGTGTCTACAAAATAAATTTTTAAAATTAGCCAGGTGTGGTGGTGCCCCCCTATAGTTCCAGCTACTCAGAAGGCTGAGGCAGTAGGATCACTTGAGCCCAGGAGTTAGAGGCTACAGTGAGCTGATTTTGCAACTGCACTCCCACTTGGGCAACAGAGTGAGACTCTGTCTCTTAAGTTAAATTTTAAAATTACCAGGTATACCAGCAATGTGTGCCTGAAGTCCCAGCTACTCAGGAGGCTCAAGCAGGAAGATCATTTGAGCCCTGGGGTTTGAATCCAGACTGAGCAACATAGTGAGACCTAGTGTCTAAACAATGAAATAATAAAATGTATTTTTAAAAAATACTGGGCATATAAAAAAGCAATAAAATATGACTCATTATGTAGGGAAAAATCAAATAATAGAAAAAGATCCTGAAATGACATCAATGATAGAACAGAATGTTAAGAGAGCCATTATAAATATAGTTCATACGTTCAAGAAGGTAGAGGAAACGTGAGTATGATGAGGAAAAAAATAGAGGGTATAATTAACCCCAAAGGAATTTTTAGAGATAAAAAATATCTGAAATAGTAACCTTTAAGAGATTAACAACATATTAGATGCTGCAGAAGATAAGATCACTGAACCTGAAGACAGAGGATTAGGAGCTACACAAAAATGAAACACAAATAGAAAAAAAAAACAACACAGTATCACTAACATGTGAAAATACAAAGTGGTATAACACACATGTAACTGGAGTCTGGGAGGGGAACTGAAAAATGATTTGAAGAAAATGGTCAAAATATTTTTAAGTTTGATGAAAACTATAAACCCACATATCTGAGAAGCTCAATAGATTCCAAGGGAATGAACCTAAAGAAAACCATGCTAATAATCACATTACTAAGAATCAATGATAAAGAGAAACCTTTACTCAGAGGGGCAAAAGGCACATTATTTACAGATTTAAATAAGAAATATTTACAGAGGAACAAATAAAAACAGACTTTTTTTTTTTTTTTTTTTTGAGATGGAGTCTTACTCTGTCGCCTAGGCTGGAGTGCAGTGGCACGATCTTGGCTCACCACAACCTCCACCTCCCAGGTTGAAGAGATTCTCCTGCCTCAGCCTCCTGAGTAGCTGGGATTACAGGCGTGTGCCATGACACCCAGCTAATTTTTGTATTTTTAGTAGAGACGGGGTTTCATCATGTTGGTCAGGCTGGTCTCAAACTCCTGACCTCGTGATCCTCCCATGTCGGCCTCCCAAAGTGCTGGGATTACAGGCATGAGCCACTGCACCCGGCCCAGACTTCTTATTAGACTATGAAAGGCAGAAGACTATGGAGTGACATCTTTATAGTAATGAAAGAAAATGAAACCTGTTCACCTAGAATTCATGTTCAAAACAGTAGAAACGTTTTTTGGAGTTTGTATTCACCCTTTCATCTGCTCCTAAGTACAGCAGCACTGTTGGTCTTGAGCAGCAGAAGCCTAGTTCCCAATTCCCTTTATGGAACTGGAGGGAACATAGTTTTATTTGCAAATTATTGTATATGTCCGTTCTAAGCTGGCTGGAGGATACCTGAAGGATGGACTTGCTTGTCTCTATCTCACATAACATGGAATGAGGGCAGGAAAAGCAGTGAGCAGTATTCATAAAAGCTATCTGGGGACTAAAAATCCACAGATAACTGGGTCAAGAGATTAAATCTAATTTCTTCACTTATAAGTCTATTCAAATTGTCTATTTCTACTTGTGTCAGTTTTGGTAGTTTGGCTTTTTTAAGAGATGTGTTTATTTCATCTAAGTTATCCAACTTGTTGGTGTACAAATGTTCATAGTATTCTTATAATCCTTTTGGTTTCTGTAAAATCAGTAATAATATCCCACTTCCATTTCTGATCTTAATAGTTTGAGTCTTTCTTTTTTTCTTAATCAATTTAGCTATAAAGGTTTGTAAATTTTGTTGACCTTTACAAAGAACCATCTTTTGGTTTCACTGATATTCTCTATCGTGTTTCTATTCTCTATTTTATTTACCTCCACTCTAATCTTTATTGTTTCCTTCCTTCTTTTAACTTTAGGTTTAGTTTGCTGCTCTTATTCTAATGTATGCATTAAGGAATGTATACATAGTTCCTTAACATAAAGTTAAGTTGTTAATTTGAGATCTTTCTTTTTTTTTTTTTTTTTTTTTTTTGAGATGGAGTTTCGCTCTTGTTGCCCAGGCTAGAGTGCAATGGCGTGATCTTGGCTCACTGCAACCTCCACCTCCTGGGTTCAAGCAATTCTGCCTCAGCCTCCTGAGTAGCTAGGATTACAGGCATGTACCACCATGCCCAGCTAATTTTGTATTTTTAGTAGAGACGGGGTTTCTCCATGTTGGTCAGGCTAGTCTCGAACTCCCGATCTCAGGTGATCCGCCCACTTTGGCCTCCCAAAGTGCTGGGATTACAGGCATAAGCCACCATGCCCGGCCTGAGATCTTTCTCTTTTTTAGTGTAAATGCTTATAGCCATAAATTTCTCCCCTTAGCATCGATTTTTCTGTGTCCCATAAGTTTTGGTATGTTGTGTTTTCATTTGTCTCAAGGTAGTTCCTAATTTTTCTTGTAATTTCTTCTGTGACCCATTGGTTTTTAAAGAATTTTTTGTTTAATTTCCAAATGTTTGTGAATTTTCTAATTTTCTTCTATTACTGATTTCTAGCTTTATTCTACTGTAAAAGAATAAATTTCAGTATGTGTAGAAGTTTTTCAGTTAAGAATCATGTTAAACATGATTTAACATGAGTTAATCATGAGTAACATGTTAAGCATGAGTAACAAAAACTTAGAAACAGTGCCTTAAATCGTAATATTGTGGTTTCATGACGTCATCAGGGGCCCAGATTCCTTTTCTTTATGGACAGCCATCTTCAGCATGAGCATGTTACTGAAGGGTAACACCAGATGGACTTTATATCTCCAGGCATCACATGTATTCCAGGCAGGAAGAAAGAAAAAGACAAGTTCAGTTACATACTTATCACCTAAGTCGGCCTCTGTGTTTTTGTTTTGTTTTTTATTTTTTGTTTTTATTTTGAAACAGAGTCTCACTCTGTCACTCAGGCTGGAGTGCAGTGATGCAATCTTGGCTCACTGCAACCTCCACCTCCCGGGTTCAAGTGATTCTCCTGCCTCAGCCTCCCAAGTAGCTGGAACCACAGGCGCGTGCCACCATGCCCGGCTAATTTTTTGTATTTTTAGTAGAGACAGGGTTTCACCGTGTTAGCCAGGATGGTCTCGATCTCCTGACCTCGTGATCTACCCACCTCGGCCTCCCAAAGTACTGAGATTACAGGTGTGAGCCACTGCACCTGACTGTCGGCCTCTGTTTTAAGACACTCAGAAGAGAGAGTTAAGATACTCTCTCAACAACTTCCAATTATGTCTAGTTGGCCAAAATTTTGTCACATGGCCACTCCTGTCTGCAAAGGAGGCTAGAAGATGTAGCTCTTTTGATAGGGGACATTTCTGCCCCTTAAAAAAATGTAAGTTCTTGAGATAATACATTTTAGGAAGGCAACTAGCATTTTCTGTCACAGGAATCAAGAGACTACTTAGGATACCACTGCTTGGGGAAACATGATGGTGGCTTGTTCTATAGTAGTAGGGGGGTTGATGGGAAAAAGTGATTGGATATATATATATCATATATAAATTATATATATTATATACTCAATATATATTAATATATAAATTATATATATATATAATTTTTTTTAGACAGGGTCTCACTCTGTTGCACAGGCTATAGTGTAGTGGTATGATCATAGCTCACTGCAACCTCCCACTCCCAGGCTCAAGTGATCCCCCACCTCAGCCTCCTGAGTAGCTGGGACCATAGGCTGCACCACCACACCTGGCTAATTTTTTGTATTTTTTGTAGAGACAAGGTTTTTCCATGTTGCTCAGGCTGATCTCAAACTCCTGGACTCAAGTGAGCCACCTGCCTCAGCCTCCCAAAGTGCTGGGATTACAGGTGTGAGCCACTGCAACTGGTCATACTTGATCTGTTTTGAAGGCAGCAGCCACAGGACTTAATGCTGGATTAGTTATGGAAAGGAGAAGGAGAGGAATAAAAACCCTTAGGTTTCTGGCCTAACAATTCCAGAGATAGATGCATCATCAACTGAGAAGAGGAAAAACAGAAAAGCTAAGGGTTTTCTTTTTTGGGAGTGTGGTGCCTAATCTAAAATTGTATTTTATATACATTAAATTTGAGATAATTATCATACAGCTAAAGAGAACTCAATATCCTCTTGAATATCTCTGAGCTATTTAGAATCTTTTCCAAGGGTCACCCTCCTCCTACATTTGTCAGAAATATTTCTATTTATGCTGGAGTTAGTTCCATTTGTTCTTATTGATTCTTCACTTACATGTATCAATTTTTCTCATATATATGGTAAACTTCATTTTATGTTTATAAATGGAGGGGTATGTTGATTATATAGGTATACTCTGTCTATGTGCTGGGCAGGCTTCCCTGGAGGGTGTGTGGGGATGGAAGATGGCAGGTAGGATGGCTGAGGACTCTACATTTCCAAAGAACCAGTGTGTTTCCTGGATGGAACTCCCTTTCCTTTTTTTCAAATCCCCTTTTAGGTATCTAATTTGGAAGTGTGAGTCTCAGCAATCGTTACTCTGCTTCCCTGTCAAGGCCCAAAACTTATATCT
Source organism: Homo sapiens (assembly GCF_000001405.40). NCBI lineage: Eukaryota > Metazoa > Chordata > Mammalia > Primates > Hominidae > Homo > Homo sapiens. The sequence continues at coordinate 201,498,875 of NC_000002.12, read as the reverse complement.
CTGCTTAGGAATATGCCATATTCTCCTTAGAGAATGGTTTTTTGATGTTTGGGAGAGTGACTGGGAAAAGACAGTGCTGCCAGCAGTGTTTGCTCTGTGTGCACAGAGAAAGAGAGGGGTGATAACGAAGGGTCCAAGAGGTCCAGCTTTTCCAAATGCAGCTCTTTAATAACTATGGACATTCCCATGATCTGATTTTCTTTGTGTATGCTGAGTGTGATGGTTAATATTAGGTGTCAACTTAACTGGATTGAGAGATGACTAGAGGGCTAGAAAAGTATTGTTTCTGGGTGTGTCTGTGAGGGTGTTGCCAGAGGAGACTGACATTTGAGGTGGTGGACTGGGAGAGGAAAACCCACCCTCAATGTGGGTGGGCACTGTCCAGTCAGTGCCAGCTCAGCTAGAACAAAGCAGACAGAGGAAGGAGGGATGAGCTTGCTTGCTGAGTCTTCTGGCTCACTCCCTCTTCCCTTGCCAGATGCTTTGCTTCCTCTCCTCCTGCCCTGGGACATCAGACTCCAGGTTTTTCGGCCTTTGGACTCTGGGACTTGCAGTAGCAGTCTCCAGGGGGCTTTGGGGCATTCAGCTACAGACTGAGGGTTGCACTGTTGGCTCCCCTGGTTTTGAGTCTTTTGAACTTGGATTGAGCCACTACTGGCTTCTCTCTTTCTCCAGCTTGCAGATAGCCTATTGCGGGAATTCACTGTGTAATCGTGTGCGCTATTCTTCCTAATAAACTCCCTTTTATATATACATATATCCTGTTGGTTCTGTCCCTCTGGAGAACCCTGATTAATACACTGACTTGGAATGTATTGCTTCTCAGACCCCCCTGATTTTACATCTCTAATAACTATTGTTTAAGGTTATGGTTTTTCTGATTGGGTTTTTCCATTAAGTCAATTATATCTGCTCTCATATTTTCTGTATTTTCTCAAAGTTCTAGATCCTGGTAGCTCACCTTACTGATTTCTAGTATTGCCATGGTTCTTTCTTTTTGAAATAATATTTTCTGTTAATGTACTGGAACCTTGGGAGAAAGGAGAGTAGACTCACATGTTCAGTCTGCCATCTTGAAGCTCCGGTATTGGTTTGTTTTATTGTCTTTTCCTAGCTTCCTAACATGAATACCTAGAGCATTCCCCCAATATTACTTTACTGAAGCTTTTTATTTGTGAAAGAATTATATGTTCATCTAATCAATAATACCCAGTTAAACGGAGTAAAAGTTAATAGCATCCTCCTTCCTCTCCTCCAGAGCTACTTTCGTGTGAAAACAATGTAAGCATTTTGAATCCATTCACACATTTGTCCATGCTTGTAATAGGGGGAATTTTTTGTTTGCTTTGTTACAAAAATGAAATTATATTTTTCTACTACTTGTTCTTTCACTTGTTTATCATACATGTTTCTTTTTTAAATTTTTCTATTCATTTAAAGCAATGAGCCTTCAAATGTTATAACGTAAACTGTGTTTAAGAGAGATTTGGGAGAAATTTAAGCAAAGAAAAACAAAAGGAACAAAAGAATAGGTATGGAAGTACAAGATGTATGTCAAGAATTCAGAGTTAGACACATTTGGCTGAAGGAGAGGAACGATACTGGCAAATATTGAGCAACTTGCAGAGACAATATAGAGTTGGTATGTGAGGACAATGAGTGGGAAGCCATTGAGGCTTTAAGAATAGGGTCATTTATTAACTGCTTAATGTTAATTAAACCTTAAAATAACCTAAAAGTATCTCTAATAAAAATGTTACTCATTGAATTGTTATTTTAATTAATTTAGTCCATAGTGAACCCTCTACAGACTAAAGGAGATAATGTATAGGAAAGTCATTTGAAGTACCAAGTGTTCTGTGAAGAGATGTGTCACGTTTTCTCTCTGTATGAGTTGGCAGTGTGGATGCACATTATGATGCTTCTAAAGCCACTCATTCTCCCTCACTGCTATCTGGATTGTGTGGGGGACTGAGTACCCAATGAAAACTTTGGACACCTAGGATTTAAGCTACTAGTCATCTGGGTAACTTGGGACAAGAAACTTCAGCTTCAGATTCTGTGTAAAATAAGAACTAGAACTAGATTGTCTCTAAAATACTTCCATCTCTAAAAATTCAATGGTTCTGTGATCCTGTAATTGTTCCCACACATCTTGATTTAGATTTCTTTAGGGAGTTTTAAATATTCATTTAACAGTGACAGGTTGATAATCATTGAAAATGCTATCTATGGCCGGGCGCGGTGGCTCACGCCTGTAATCCCAGCACTTTGGGAGGCCAAGGAAAACGGATCACTTGAGGTCAGGAGTTCGAGACCAGCCTGGCCAACATGGCAAAACCCCGTCTCTACAAAAAATACAAAAATTAGCCAGATGTGCTGGCACATGCCTGTAATCCCAGCTACTCAGGTGGCTGAGGCACAAGAATCTCTTGAACCCAGGAGGCAGAGGTTGCAGTGAGCCAAGATCATGCCACTGCACTCTGGCCTGGGCAACAGAGCAAGACTCTGTCTCGAAAAAATAATAAATAAATAAATAAAATGCTATCTCAATATAATATGAGCTGCCATGTATTGTGTAAAGGCATCTCACAGCCTTTTAAAAATCAGATTACATTTCTTCTGACAATTCTATTTTATTTTTACTTTTGTTTCTGCTTGAAGTTGCTGTGCATTATTTTGACTTTACAAATTCAATAGGGTGACTATTATAATACCAAAGAATCCAATATTTCACATATATAATATGTATATAGATTTCTTTCATAATTGGCAAGGTATAGTTGTTATGATAAAAATATTTAGGTTTAAAAATTTTATATCTCTAATAACTATTGCAAGAATAAAATGATCTTGATATTCTTATATTACAAGTAATCTAAAATTAGAACTTCTTTTTTTATAAGGTGGCTTTTTCACCAAAAGAATATAATTCACCATCTTTCAGACCAGAATATATAGAATTCAAACCAAAATTTCAGGTGAGTCCTGAATTATTCTATCCCAGTATCATTATACTTAATTACTAGGTTTCTTCAATACTTTAATTCAATAGTTCTAAAAAGCTACTCATTAGAAACACCTGGCTACTGTAAAAAATACACATTCCCAGGTCCACTTCTGACCTAATGAATCTCAACTTGGAAACAGAACCTGGGAATTTGTATTTCTCAAAAAAAAAAAAAAAAAACCAAGGGGATTCTTAATTTGTCATCTTGGTATCCACTAGAATTTGAAAACCAGTTACAATAAGTTGCATCCATTAAAAATAATTTTGAACTACTAAGTTGAAATAAAATAAGACAAATACTAGGCTGATTCTTTCACATTTTGCTTTTTTTAGTTAGATAACACAGAAGTACGAAAAAAGAGTTTCAATAAGAATTTTTATTTTGAAGGCTGTTTCAATGATTAGAAGAGCTTGATCCCAGAGCTAAAAAGCTGCTTATGAATATTACACTGAATTTTTACTGTAATCCTGAGTTTTCTATATGGTTCTCCCTCATCCATTTCTGAGGCATTATACAGTATGCATCAAAAAGCAAGATGAAACTGTGACATGTTAAGGACTGGGTGGAGCTCATTATCATTGTTGAAACTCTCAGACTTAAAGGTAGATGATATATGCCCCCAAGTCAGTTTTTAGAGAATATTTATGATACTTTTCATGAGTTTCATTTCAGTACTTTTCACTACTTGCTTGAATTAAAAAAAAAAAATTTCCTACATTGCTATGAATGTAGCAAATATTTAGGTAAATGAGACTTGGATCCTGATGTTAGCCATTGTCTAAGGAAATGAAGCTAACACCAGAAATTGCGTTGTTAAAAATAAACTATTTATGGGTGGCTTTTTAAGTATTTAAAAATATTCCAAGTAGCAAAAAGCACTTGGACACAAAATAGTGTCAGAATTAAGAATTTGAAATTTTTCCATTAAAATTTTTATTTCAATTTCAAATATTTTAAAATAATTAAAGTTGATTTTCTCCCTTTGTGGAGGGTAGGAGACTGAATAGATACATTGACAGATTGCTCAAGGAAAATTAACTAGAAAATATATGATAAATTCAAAATCATTGCTACCAAATGTCTTACCTTTTTTTTAATATTGCAGTTTCAGAAATTCAACAAGAACGGTTTTGATCCTTTTCTAAGGAATATAAACAAAATGTCAGTCAGAAAAAGAAAAGATCAAGATATATACAAATATAGAAATATCTTAGGTGCAGAGGTCATAGAGCATGAAGACCAGGATCCTCCTTATCCAGCACAATCAAAAACTGCAGGACCTGCTAATACAACCTGGGCCCATGACCCTAATATCTTCACAACAAAGATGTTAGAAACTGAGAATAAGTTAGCCCCTGATCCTACTATCAATACAATAAAGGGTTTAGATACAAAGAATAGTTTAAAAGAAAATCTACCAAATGTATCTTTACCAAGCATCAAAGGAGAATCATCAAGGGCTGGAAATGTACAGGCAAACACATGTCACCTCTCGAAGTCTTTAAATTTTACCCCCCATATAGAATATTTAAAACAATCAATGATACTCAAGTCAATTTTAAGTGAAAATCTGCAAGACCTTTCAGACAAATTATTTTCTAAACCAGAAGTTAGTATGAACAGTGAAGCAAGAGAGAAAAGTAGTTCTCCACTTCTAAGCATTCATGATAAATCATCAAGTAGTATGGAAGACAACGTATTGGAAAAAAAACAAGATTTAAACAACTGGCTTTCAGAAAAAGACATTTTAAATTCAAAGACTACTTTAAGTCAAATAATTAAAAATATTCCTGCAGATTCATTTTCAGAAGGTAGTCAAATAATTGAAAATATTCCTGCAGATTCACTTTTAGAAGGTGGTCAAGTAATTAAAAATATTCCTGAATATTCACTTTCAGAAGGGGGTCAGATAATTAAAAATATTCCTGCAGATTCATTTTTAGAAAGTGGACCAGGACAATCTCCAGAGGTAGAAGAACATGTCTCTAAAAAACACTTCGAAGCTGATGAGAGAGATTTTCCAATTAAAAAAAATAGTAGTACCAAAAAGAAACATTTAATAAGCGAAGTACCTAACTCCAAATCAGGTTCAAGTGGCACTGTACATGACTACATTATGAGGCAAATATTCACTGCACCAATATTCTCAGAATTGGAGATAGAAGTGAAAGAGCCAAGTGAAACACCAATGAACTTGGAAAATCAATTACCTACACCTTGGAAGAGAAGTTTGTCATCACATATTCTATTTCATGAAGAAAATGCTGATGAAATAGAATTGCCACAGCCCAGATCTGCTACAAGCCAGATAATACAAGCATTTCCTATAGATACACTTTTAGAATCTGGGATAATCAAAGTGATAGAATTAGATAAAGAACACCATAAGAGTTCTTTGCTGGGTACGGGGATCACTTCTCCTAAAGGAAACCTAAAGGATTCCCAAGAGTATTATTCAGAAATCAGAAGCGAGACAGAACCTCTTTCTGAGCAGAGTATACCCATCATTCCCAAAGACACTACTTCTGTTAGTAGAGCTGAATTTATACAGGAAGACCAAAATATGTTCCCACAAGATTCAAGTTATTATTCAATAGCAAATAAAGAACTGTATTTGCCAAGAAATGGTCAGAGGCTTTGTAAAGACAAAAATGATCTCAGTTCTACTTTAGAAAGTTTAACTAACTCATTAATGGATAAACTTAGTGAATCAGATGAAATAATGTTAAAATCCTTTTTAAAAAACATCTTCAATGTTTTTTTCAAATATAATCATTCTGAAAGAAGAGGACAACCAGAAAAAGAATTAGAAAGACTAATTCAACCTTCTTTTACAAGTGACACAGAACACCTTGAAGAACTCCAAGAGGATTTTGATAAAGCAGACAAATTAGACAGAAAACCTATTTTGAGTCCAAAGTTGCGTGTGTTTCTAGAAGAACTCTCAGAGTCAGAAGTAAAACATTTAAAATCTGAATTAAGTAAACAAATCCAGCATTACCTTGTAGAAAGACTTTCAGAATCAGGACATATCACCAAGGAGGACTTACCAAAAATCTATCAAAATCTGTATCTGATGAATGAGAAAGCAGAGCAGAAAGGGCCAAACAGTTTTCAGGGGAAATATTCTGAAACTGTGAAAGAAATCATGTCTTTTGTCAACAATTTCAATCATCATTTCATAGATAAACATTTGGAAATAAAGCTGAGATCTTTTTTAAAAGAGATTCTCCAAAACTATTTCCTAAAAAACATTTCAGAAAGCAGTTTATTTAATGAGACAGCATCTGAGACTATATACCCAAACATATCTTCTCTAAGGACTAAAAGTGTCTCAATATCTTTTCATGAACTAGAACAAGATATTTCAAAGGGGAGTTTTGGTAGAAGGTTTGAAATAAACATGAAATATCCTTTAAGTAAATCTCTACAAAACTATCTGATAGCTTTATCAGAAAATGAATTATTACATCTAAAAGCTGATTTAAGCAAACACCTCCAGAGTCTTTTTATAGAAAAACTTTCAAAATCAGGACTAATGACAAAAAAGCAATTAGAAGGGATCAACCAGCATATAAATTTGCTTAATTCTAGTTCTATACCATTAAAATATATAAAAACACATTTACCTTTTAGAGATGACTGTCACTTTGTGGAGAAGCATTCAGAAAAGCAAAATAAATATTCAAGAATTGTTCAACAAACCACTTTACAAACGGTTTCTGAGGATAAACTTAGAGAAGCAGAATTGATTCGAGAGAAAGAAAAGAAATATTTTCCCTTACAGAATTTAAAGGGAAATTCATCTTTAATTAAGGAACAGAAAAGTTATTACACTAAGGAAGAAGCTAAAACACCAAGTTTAATCAAAGTACAACCTTCTTCCAATGAAAATATCCAGGCAAGTCCATTAAGTAAGTCATCAGAAATACTTACAGATATACTGCTTAAGAAACTAAGGAAAGAACATGTATTCACGCAGCTTCCTCAAGCAGAAAATTCTGTTCATAAAACAGAGATTCAAGACCCATATAGTTGGGGTGGTAAATCAAAAATAACTCAATCAAAAGCTTGGTGTGAAAAGACACTGAAAATGAAGTCCCTTGATAGAAAGGAGCATGTAAACATCTATAAATGGACTGTTCAGGAAAAACCTGAAGCAGTATTAACATCGTATCCAAGAATTCCTAATGCCAGAATGCCAAGGGAAGATGAGTACTTAAACAGAATCACTTTCCCTTCCTGGCAAAGTAGCACTTTAACTCATTTCAATACAGAGACTGGGGAAAAATCAAAATTAGAAGACCAGTATTGTCAGACATTGAAAGGAAATAATAACAATAATAAAAAGCATTTAGTAACATTTGCACAATACAAAAAAGAAATACAAACTCTTTATATAAAACCAGATGAAATTTGCAGTGAAAAATGTGCCAAGTTCCCTGAAATACAGTCATTCCAATATAAGGTTGTAGAAGATGAGAAAAACTTGAAACCACACCTCTTCCCAGAATTATTTAAGATAGAAGATCTAAAACCCAAGGTCCGAAAAGAAAGAGACCGTGTCGCCCAACCAAAAAAGTCATTTAACAAGATAGTCAGGATACTACCAACCACACTGCCCACCACAAGAATTCACCTAAAGAAGTCTGTTCCAAGGACACTGCTTCACTGGACTGCAAGAAGAACTATACATGTAATAATGTTTTTCTAAGTCTTCTACTTCTGTATTTGGCAAAGTTCTGGCAATAATTTAGGGTGTATATATCTGCATCCAACTGTGTGTATAACCTTAATTACCCCCAAGACATACAGACCTCCAATTTAAAAATTCCTCTGAAAGACCAGGTGTGGTGGCTCACACCTGTAATCCCAGCACTTTGGGAGGCTGAGGCAGGTGGATCACGAGGTCAGGAGATCCAGACCATCCTGGCTAACATGGTGAAACCCCGTTTCTACTAAAAATACAAAACATTAGCCGGGCATGGTGGCGGGCGCCTGCAGTCCCAGCTACTCGGGAGGCTGAGGCAGGAGAATGGCATGAACCCGGGAGGCGGAGCTTGCAGTGAGCCGAGATCGCGCCACTGCACTCGAGCCTGGGTGACAGAGTGAGACCCCGTCTCAAAACAAACAAACAAAAAAATTCCTCTGAAACTTAAATATCACCTCACCTGATTCAAAATACAATCACAAAATCAGCGGGACTGTTAACACACCTACTACCTTTTTATGAAATAAACAGTGGCACCCCTCCCCCAACCCACCATCTGGGACATGAATTAGAAAAAGGTGCCCTCTTCCTCTGGGCAGATTCTCCCAGCTGACACAGCCGAGAGTCAGAGTACACAGTCCTGATTGTGGAAAACTGGCTGGATTTTAGCCCTGACTAAAATTAGTACAACCATTGGCTGTGGCCAGATACTGTGGAAACATAGCCGACATTTTCTTTTCATAGAGATATAACTACAACTATTAGAGGTTTTTTTTCACATAGCGAATTATCTTTGCTTCAGTTAAACAAATATGAAGCTCCCATGTGCCAGTTATCTGGCTAAAAATTAGGGATATGCAAAATTTACAATCCATTGGATTATGAATTGCAAAAATTTAACTTCTAGTCTTTTCTTTTTTCACCACCATGCTATATCATGTGCTGAGAAACTTGAGAATTCAAATATATTTTTAATATTAACATAAAACAATTAGGAGGCCAGGCGCGGTGGCTCACGCCTATAATCCCAGCACTTTGGGAGGCTGAGGCAGGTGGATCACTTGAGGCCAGGAATTTGAGACCAGCCTGGCCAACATGGTGAAACTCCATCTCTACTAAAAGTACAAAAATTAGCTGGGTGTCGTGGTGCACGCCTGTAATCCCAGCTACTTGAGAGACTGAAGCACGAGAATCGCTTGAACCCAGGAGGCAGAGGTTGCAGTGAGCCAAGATGGTGCCAGTGCACTCCAGCCTGGGCAAGAGAGCAAGATCAGTCTCAAAAAAAAAAAAAAAATTAGGAAAGTAAATCTGCGACTAGACTTTATACAAATCATTCTAAAGCAAATTTAAAATCTAGGAATGGAAGGGATTTTTAATTTTCTGAATCACTGGTCTTCCCTATAGTATGCATAACAGGCATGACCCATAATTGGAAAAACTGCTAAGTAAATATGAGTAAGTAAAACTCATATTAAATTGATACTTTGATGTGCATAATTCTACCTTTGAGAAAATCTAATTTCTGCGTAATTGCTTTGAATTTATTTTCCACAGTAAAGCAAACTATTAGCTTTATAGTAACAGGGTAAATATTATATAGCTATATATTATACACACTATATATTATACAGCTAAATATTAGCTATATAGTGACAGGGTATAAATATCAGCTTATACTTTCAATTTTGGATTTTTCTTTTCTATCTAAATTCGGAAACTTAGTATTGAGGGGGTGAGTGTATATACACACGTGTCTACACACTCGGAAAAAAGGTAGAAGATGGGGTGATAGTCTTCAAAGAGGATTTTCTGAATTTTTTAAGACAAATGGAATCTTTAATACAACTTTTCAAGCAAAGTAAGAAATTGTGTTTATGTTAAATGATATAAGATTATATAGGATCTCAGAACCCTTATCCTAAGAGCAGGCAAGGGAGATAGAGTTATCTTTATTTCTCTCAGTTAAACCAACTGTTCCTAAACTTTCCTCTAATAGATAATTGTGTGGTAAGAGGGCATTTTTCAGATGATAACAACTTACTCATCTGATTTTCTAAAATCCAGGAATCTCCCAAAGGAATCAAGACAGAAGAGAGAAATTGAGTCGTAGGAGCACCTAGAAAAGTGACCAGTGGCCTGGGTCTCCATGCCCTTCCACTGCCACTCCAGTAATCAAGTTATATCAGCTGTGAAGGAAAATTATGTGTTACTCACTAACATAGCATAAATTATCTCATTGTGGCTTCCCTAATTGTCTTGTGTACGTAAGAGGGAAGAGGAAGAATGTTTTCTTGCCTTCTCCAAACTCAGGCAGAAATGTTAAATAGGTAGAATTTATCTTTAGACTCGTTATACAGTCTTTTTTGTAAATCTTTTTCTGACTGCCTAATTCTTATTAGTCCTGCCCAATGTTCCCTGATCCCCAGTTCTATTAATCCATCCCCACCTGTGTTCAAATCAAGCAGCCCATTCCCTTGGTGTGGCTATCTTTGCAAAGTATTATGAGATGAGCTGCTCAAACTGCTGAGGAAATTGTTTACCCTAATTTGAGGGTAACTACTAGATTCATACCTTATATAGCTATATAATAGAAAATTTGAAAAAGAATCATTTACTATGGTATATATCCTTCCAGTTATTTTACCAAATGTTTTACTTGTTTACTCAGAGTATACATGCAATTTTTTATTTTTAATGTAAACATTATAACCATATTCTTGGGTGTGGCACACACTCTCTCCCTCTGTATGTACATAAATTAAAGATGGTTATTAAAGGATGAAAGATCAAATTTTGGATGATATGAAAAGTAAAATATAAGAGTTCATAATTTATATTTGGGGTCGGAGAGAGAGATTTTGTTGGAGAGAAATTACAAAGTAATCTGGCCAGCATTGCTTAGGAGTCTGACCCCTGAGGTCAGCTCTCAAGTTTTTCAGGTTTCTAGCTTATCTTCAATATCTTTTGAAATAACGGATACTTTGTAACAGATCTTTTTAAAGCATGGTTGCTAGCATAGTATCTAGCACAGTATCTAATGGGAGGCATCGGGTGTAGGGTCTGAATTTAGAGACTGCCTAAGAAACGTTCAGTGTTTTCATTCTTTGTCTTTAACTGTTGCTATTATAAACTTTAGTCCTTGTTTGTTTTTCTTTTTTCTTTTGACCATCCATGTCAGAAGTCCTTGTAAATTTAAAACCTACTTTTAAGAAACCTAATTTACCAATTGGATCTTTTATTTTATTATTTAGGATTGTTCAGATAAATTTGAGGATTTACATGACATGACCTCATTTACACACCTTAAAAAAGTAAAATCAAGATCAAGGCTTTTAGGAAAAAGCTCAGATGATATCCATAACCATGCCAGACACTCTGCAAGACCATATACTGCTCCGGAGGTTAACAAGCAACGAGAAAGCTACAGTGGAAAGTTTACAAGTCGTCGAATGGTTTCATCAGGCTTAGTTCATATAAATGATAAAACATCAGATTATGAAATGCATAAAATGCGGCCAAAAAAAATTAAAAGAGGATATTGAAAAATGTTCGCTCATTTGTGATATTATAAAACATGTTTAACTCAGAATGATATGTGAGGCCAGCAGTCAGAATATCACTTCTCCATTAACAAAATGGTTTGGAGATCTCTTCTTTTGTGTGACAGAAGTCAGCAACCAAATTTCATCTTGTTAGAACCATTTTGTTTTGATTAAAATGAAAAACAAACACATTTGATGTAAATGTGTTTTTGTTCATGAACCTTAGGGAACAAACCCAGAAATACGTATTCAGTTTATATTCATTAACAAAGTTTTATTTCTCAGTTTTTCTTAATTTTTCCACTATATAATATCACTCCAATTTGTATTTCTCTGACTTCTCCAACCTTTGTTACACTGTAAATTTTCCCTTTCTACCCAGTTTTCAGGTGATTTGTGGTTATCAATGTGTGCAGCCTTTTGTTATGAATATATACTTTTAGGCCAGGCACCGTGGCTCACGCCTGTAATCTCAGCACTTTGGGAGGCCAAGGTGAATGGATGGCTTGAGCCCAGGAGTTCTAGACCAGCCTGGGCAACATGGCGAAACCGTGTCTCTACAAAAAATCAGCTGGGCGTGATAGCGTGCCTGTGGTCCCAGCTACTCAGGAAGCTGAGGTGGGAGAACCACCTGAGCCTGGGAGGCCAAGGCTGCAGTGAGCTGTGAGAGTGACACCCCTCTCAAGAAAAAAAAAAAAGAATACATACTTTTACTCTTCAGCTCTAGTTATATTTCTAGATTCAACAGTTTGCAATTCTCTGGGCCTTATACTTGTTTATTAACTTTTTTGGGACAGAGTTCTCGCTATGTTGCCCAGGCTGGTCTCGAACTTTGGGCTCAAACGATCCTCCCGCCTCAGCTTGTCAAATAACTGAGATTTAAAGGTGTGTGCCACCACTACCAGCTGAACTTTTATTCATTTTAACATCATCTGATATTGCATCTTTTTACACAAAAAACATAAGAATATAGTTAATATTAATTCCTGAAGCATCTCTTACACAGCAGTGACTTTCTAAGTTACTCATACAACTGTGAAAGGGCCTCTTAGTAACACCATGCTTGGGAAACTGCATAAAATTGTAGAAACTGAATAAAATATAATCTAGCTAAATCAACATAGGATTTAAATCAGACTTCTGAGAATTGGTTCTATTTCTTTGTAAGTACAATATTTGGATCTTGTTGAACTTTGATCCACTCTTGAAAAGCAAAATTCGATTTACAGAATTTTTGTTTCTATTTTTCTACCAGAAGTTATAAAGACTATGGGGTTTAAATAGAATTGGCTGATGGAAAACATAATTCCTGATCATTCAATGTTATAATCAGGATAGAAATTTTTTATAGGGACTAAGAATTTCCAATAATCCTCAAAGTTGTAAGTATTTTTTTCAATCACCATGTAACTGGGAAAACACAACTCCAGATCTTTCAGGTAGAAGGAATACAGGGAGTTGGTTTTGTGGGTGATGGAATCAAGGCTAAGAAGCAAAAAGGGATGTTGAAGCAACCCAGGGATTAGCAAGAGTGGGAAGTGCTACCACCACTCAGATGGAAAGGACAGCAGGAGGAACTGGTGCTACCAGAGTCTTGAAGCTAGAGACAAAGATGATACCGCCACTGCCAGGGACACTCGAAGCAGAAGGGGAGTGGGGCAAAGGGTGAGAAATACCATGTTTCTCCTCTCTCGTTCTGCTCTCTGATCTTCTGTTGCCTCCCTGGAAACCAGAGTTTGTGGGTACATGGGAAACGTAGATCCCAGTGAAGCAGAACAGGGAGAGAGTGGAAAATGAACTTGAGAGCTAATAGGCAATTGGCCAACAGTACTTATGAGGGAAACCATTGATTTGGTTTGCAGTAAAGGAAGAAATATTAATCTCTGCCTCATTAAATTTTTAATGGCAATATTGTGACAAGCAAAGAATTTAAAACTTCTTACCATGGAAATCTCTTACATTTTCTTTTCAAAAGTCTTTTTTTTTTAATTCAAATACTTATTCAAGAAAGAATTCAATAAATATTAAACATCTACAAAATGCCAGACACTTTTACTAAACAGCAATATACCAGTGAATGAGACAATATTCTCCGAAGTCCACAGTCCTTTGTGAACATAAACACAGAAGTAATTAGAGTTGTGTAAGTGCTTTTTGGGGAAGGTACTATAGAAGCTCATAGGAGGGCATTTTAGCTAAAGTGACTGCTAGTTTGGGTCCTTTGAAAAGCAGACACCAAAATGAAATTAGATGTGTGGTAGTCATGGCCCCTACTAATGTGTCCATGTCCTAATCCCAGGAACCTGTGAATGTTACCTTATGTGATGAGAGATTTTTGCAACTGTGATTAAACCAAAGGTGTTGAGATCGGGGGAATTATCCCAAATTATCTGGGTGGGCACAATATAATCACACAAGTCAGAGAAGGAGATGGGACCACAGAAGCAGAAGTTGGAGCAGTGCTGTGCCATGAGGGAAGGAAGTAGGAAGCCTCTAGAATCTGGGAAGGCAATAGATTCTCCCCTAGAGACTCCGGAAGGAGTGTAGCACTGCCAATCCATTTTAAACTTCTGACCTCGAGAACTGTCAGATAATAAATGTGCATTGTTTTAAGCCACTGAGTTTGTGGTAATTTGTCACAGCCGTGATAGGAAATTAATACCACCTGCAACAGATGTTTTGCGGGGAAAAGTCTGGGAGGGAAAAATAGGGAGGCAGTAGAAGATGGCTGGGAGAGCTGTCCAAGATGTAAGTCTGACCAATGTGGAAGAGAGGGAGGAAGACAAGAAGGCAGAATAGGAAATGTCTTAGACTGCAGTGTCATTCCTTTTTTTTTTTTTTTAATACTTTAAGTTTTAGGGTACATGTGCACATTGTGCGGGTTAGTTACGTATGTATACATGTGCCATGCTGGTGTGCTGCACCCACTAACTCGTCATCTAGCATTAGGTATATCTCCCAATGCTATCCCTCCCCCCTCCCCCCACCCCACCACAGTCCCCCGAGTGTGATATTCCCCTTCCTGTGTCCATGTGATCTCATTGTTCAATTCCCACCTATGGGTGAGAATATGCGGTGTTTGGTTTTTTGTTCTTGCGATAGTTTACTGAGAATGATGATTTCCAATTTCATCCATGTCCCTACAAAGGACATGAACTCATCATTTTTTATGGCTGCATAGTATTCCATGGTGTATATGTGCCACATTTTCTTAATCCAGTCTATCATTGTTGGACATTTGGGTTGGTTCCAAGTCTTTGCTATTGTGAATAATGCTGCAATAAACATACGTGTGCATGTGTCTTTATAGCAGCATGATTTATAGTCCTTTGGGTATATACCCAGTAATGGGATGGCTGGGTCAAATGGTATTTCTAGTTCTAGATCCCTGAGGAATCGCCACACTGACTTCCACAATGGTTGAACGAGTTTACAGTCCTACCAACAGTGTAAAAGTGTTCCTATTTCTCCACATCCTCTCCAGCACCTGTTGTTTCCTGACTTTTTAATGATTGCCATTCTAACTGGTGTGAGATGGTATCTCATTGTGGTTTTGATTTGCATTTCTCTGATGGCCAGTGCAGTGTCATTCTAAGTAAGTTTCAGTCGGGCTGATGGGGAGTGCTCCAGCCGAAGCCATTAATCACAAAAGGCCTTTGTCTCCCAGGAATGGGCCTGACTTGCAATCCCTGCTTCCAGGGGTAGGGATAGGATGAGGCAGGTATGGTAGGTAGCATAATGTTCCCCCAAAGATGCCTACATCCTAAGGCCCAGAACCTGTTAATATGTTAGGTTACGTGGCTAAAGGAACTACGATTGCAGACAGAATTAAGGTTGCTTATCAGCTGACTGTAGACAGGGAAGCTATCCCAGATTATCTCATTATGCCCAGTGTAATCACAGGGGTCTTTAAAAAGTAGAAGATAGAATCAAAGAGAGAACCAGAGAAATGGCAGAATGAGGATTCAGCCCCAAATTGCTGACTTTGAAGATGGACAAACAGGGCCATGAGCCAAGGAACATGAATAGTCGCTAAAAACTGGAAAGGCCAAGGAAACAGATTCCCATCTGGAGCCTCCAGAAGGAATGGAGCACTGCCAAAACCTTGATTTTAGCTCAGTAAGACTGATTTCAAACTTCTGGACCAGAACTTCAGAATAATAAATTTGTGTTGCTTAAGCCACTAAGTTTGTGGCAATTTGTTACAGCAGCCATTGGAAATACAGCAAGCAAGGAGCCTGAGGCACAAAATTTAAGAAAGCACTCACAGGGTGAAGTCATCACTCATGGTGATACCCATGGTGATGGTTGATTTTGTGTGTCAACTGTACTGGGCCACAGGTGCCCAGATACTTGGTCAAACATTATTCTGAATGCCTGTAGTCCCAGCACTTTGGGAGTCCGAGGTCAGGAGTTCTAGACCAGCCTGGCCAACATGGTGAAACCCCATCTCTACTAAAAATGCAAAAATTAGCTGGGCATGGTGATGGGAGCCTGTAATCCCAGCTACTTGGGAGGCTGAGGCAGGAGAATCACTTGAACCCGGGAGGCAGAGGTTACAGTGAGCTGAGATCATGCCACTGCACTCCAGCCTGGGCGACGGAGCAAGACTCCATCTCAAACAAACAAAAAATAACATTATTCTGAGTGTCTCTGTGAGGATGTGTATTAGGGTTCTCCAGAGGGACAGAACTAATGAATATATGAAATGGAGTTTACTAGGGAGAATTGGCTCACACTATCACAAGGTGAAGTCCTGCAGTAGGCCATCTGCTAGCTGAGGAAGAAAGAAGCCAGCAGTTGCTCCATCCAATTCCAAAAGCCTCAAAAGCAGCAAAGCCAACAGTGCAACCCTCGGTCTGTGGCTGAAGGCACAAAAGTCCCCAGGAGGCCCTTGTGCAACTCCCAGAGTCCGAAGGCCAAAGAACCTAGAGTCTGATGTCCAAGGGCAGGAGGAGTGGAAGGAAGCATCCAGCATGGAAGAAAGATGAAATCCACAAGGCTCAGCAAGCAAGGTTATCCCTCTTCTGGCCGCCATCTAGCCGTTTGGCAGCTGACTGCATGGTGCCCACCTACATTGAGGGTGGGTCTTCCTCTCCCAGTCCACTGACTCAAACGTCAATCTCCTCTGGCAACACCCTCATAGACACACCCAGAAACAATACTTTACCACAGGAGTCCCCAAACCCCGCTGTGGACCCATACGGGTCAGTGGCCTGTTGGGAACCCAGCGTCACAGCAGATGAGCAGCAGGGTGGGTGAGCATTACCGCCTGAGTTCTGCCTCCTGTCAGATCAGCGGCCACATTAAATTCTCATAGGAGCACCAACCCTATTGTGAACTCACACACAAGTGATCTAGGTCGTGCTGCTCCTTATGAGAATCTAATGCCTGATCTGAGATGGAACAGTTTCATCCTGAAACCATCCCCCACCCCATGGTAAAACTGTATACCACAAAACTGGTGCCAAAAAGGTTGGGACCACTGTGTTATCAGCTATCTAGACATCCTTCAATCCAATCAAGTTGACACTTAATATTAACCATCACACGGTGTTTCTGGATCAGACTAACATTTAAATCGGTCGACTAAGTGAAGCAGATTGCACTCTCTAATATGAGTGGACCTCATCCAATCAATTGAAGGCCTGAATAGAAGAGGAAGGCTAAACTTCCCCCAAGTAAAAGAGAATTCCTCCTGCCTGAATGCATTTGAACTGGGACATTGGCTTTTTACTGCCTTTGGACTCAAACTGAAACACTGACTCTTCCTGGGTCTTGAGTCTGACAACCTTTGGATGAGAACTACACTATCAGCTCTTCTGGATGTCCAGCTTGCTAACTCACCTGGCAGATCTTTGGACTTGTCAGCCTCCACAATCGCATGAACCAATTCCTTATAATAAATCAGTTTATGTATGTATGTATATAAAATATAGATATATTATATACACACATCGATTCTGTTGGCTATTTCTCTGGAGTACCCTAACACACCCCATAGTAGAAGATCTGAGAAGCACCATTTCGGGCCCTCTATGGTCCAATTTTTAAACTACACACATTCAGGAGAACCTCCACACAGATTTGAAAGACCTCTAAGGTCTCTGTGGGCCTCTCTTACGGAAGGGAAATTTAGAAGGGGGAGGTTAGTAGGATGAACTATAGCCCTTACCACTAGAGTTGCTCTTAGGGCCTCAGCGGTCTTCATCTTCTCCCTTTTCCACTGTCCATTTTAAATTCTTTCACTTTGGTGGGTCTTGGTGGCTTAACGGATGGAGTAACCCAAACCTTCATTCTTGAGGGGGTCCAGTCAATAAACATGAAGATAATTGTGCTTGAAATCGCCTATGGATTTGTATATTATTTGTCTTTTTAATTTTTTAGTCCTGAGGTAATCATTTTAAAATAACTTTTAATGTAATATAAATAAGATTGTATAAATTAAGAAAATCAACTGAAGTAGGTCCCAGTTTACCACACCTCCAAACTATGTATTCTTTTTGAGACATGGCAGAGTCTCTTTTCTAATTAGGAAATATTAATTAATTAAGACCTCTATGCCCTCATATGTTGTATCTCCTACAGGAGCAATAACCATACAAAAGGCCAGAATGCCTTCTGCCTCCATTTAATCAAATACTCAGTTGATTATAGATTATGTAAATAAATCTGCTTGAGAAAGGGCTTTTCTTGGCAAAACAAATCAGAATCTGTATATTAGCTCTGTCAGACTATGCAAGGAAAATAAATAAAAGCATAAACTCAATTCAGTAAATCTTTATTGAGCTCCCACGGGGTGCGTGAATTTAGGATCTATAATTTACATAAGTAGGAAAGTGTTACTTTAGCCCCCTTGTTTAAAAAAAAGCAAATTACAATTTCTGTATATATTTCAAGTGAATCATTTAATGTGAGTGAGGCTCAGTTAGGTGTTACCATAAGTATTAACAGAAGAAAAAGGGAAAGCACAAACATTTTCCCTCTACCAGAAAAGGGTCTGATGTAAGATAAACTAGCCTGTTGGTTTAACAATAGCTCATTAAAAAGGCCAGAGAATCTGGGAGAAGATGTACTTGGAAGCACTGTCCTCTGAGGGCCCATTCCCAAGGGACAGCAAAATACTGAAAAAAATTAACTGGCTCAAAAATTATATTGAGAGATAAAAAGAGTTAGTCACAGCTTAGAAAAAAATTCCAGAATAAATGACACTAGCTAGATTAGTAATTCTGATGTTTCCTTGTCATAGTACTCTGTGCGAAACAGAGGGACTACAAACTGGTGCCCCTTTGAACAGAGTGGTTTTAAATAATAGATTCTCCAGTGCACCAACTGTATTTTCAAGTATAATTCTGGTATTTGTACCTAGAAATACAGAAGAAAAAGCAGCAAGGAGAAAGTGTCAAGTATATAGGACATAAAATGATTTGGCAGCCCTAGAATTCCCAGTATGAGTCTTTTTCATCAGGAAAATCACATTCTGGCTCAGTCCAAGGTAACACTGGAGGCAATGATATTGATGGCTTGTTATAAGCAGGAGGCAACAGTGAAAGTATTGAATCCTGGCTTTCTTCTTTCATCTGTTAAAGAAACTCAAAATAAGGCTGTTGATATATCATTTCAATATATCAGTTTTGTTAGCAATAAATAACTTTTAAAGAATTTATGTTAAATGTGTTTAAAATTGTTTTCAGGTATTTCCCCTAAAACTGCCTTTGATTCTGGTCATCTGAAAACAGGAAGAAGAGCCAAAGAAACTGACTTCTTATCAGAGTTACTTTGCCCTTTCATCATTTCTAGCCAACATAGAAAATGTCTCTAAATTAATCAAAATATACACCAAGCATCAGTAATGTGATGATAGTCCATTTTATTTTTACTCATTCTGTTTTGAAGAATGAAAGTATTTTAGAAAGTCTATAATTGAACTACCAAAAGTTTTCTTGTTTTTAACTTTATTTTGTAACAAAGTTATTAGTAAGAACCTTGGTAACCAAAATATCTCATCAAGCCAACAAAATAAAGTGACTTTTTAATAGTAATTAAAAACATCGAGACAACGGATGATAGATCAGCTCACCTGTTTGAAGAAAACATGGGACAATAAACTGCTTGCTGATGGCCTGAAATTTTTAAGAAAGTTATAAAAAAAAAACCTTTATATTAGAATGTAGATTTCAGGTGTAAAAATATGTTAGAAATTAGGTTTAGTGCTATAAAACCCAATACGAAAAAGATTAAAAAGAATGTATGTCAGAAGCCCAATTCTTAGCTACAACCTTGACTAAAGGAAATAATTGTAGAGGTATCCTTCAATTAATCCATACTCAACATTTACTGCACACAGTATTTACTGACAGTAACTTAGTAGGGTAGCAGCAATTTACATTTTATACTACTTAGAGTCTTAACGTAAATGTGCTAATTAATGTCTAGAAAGAGTAACTGATTTTTACTCTCATTTTTATTGTAAAAATCAGTTAGAAAATGATACAGCTGAGACTGGAGCCCAACTCTTCTGATTTTTTTTTTTTCTTTTGAGATGGAGTCTCGCTCTGTCACCTAGGTTACAGTGCAGTGGCATGATCTCGGCTCACTGCAACCTCTGCTTACTGGGTTCAAGCAATTCTCCTCTCTCAGCCTCCCGAGTAGCTGGGACTACAGGTGCATGCCACCACACCGGCTAATTTTTGTATTTTTAGTAGAGACGGGGTTTCACCATGTTGGCCAGGCTGGTCTTGAACTCCTGACCTCAGGCAATCCACCCGCCTCGGCCTCCCAAAGTTCTGGGATTACAGGTGTGAGCCACCGCACCCAGCCTCTTCTGATTTTGAATCCAGTATTCTTCTCATTTGCTTGTTCCCACTAATTGTTCTTAGCATTGATATTTTCTAGAGCAGACAATATTTTGATCAAAAGATTTGTATTCTCCTGGAAGGGCAATGTTACAAAGCTTCTATAAAATGTAAAACATGTACATTTTGTGCTATTTAAAAGAGATCAATATTACCTTTTCTCAGGATCTTGTTGCAAACAGAGCTGTACCAAGCTAAAGAAGGCAGGAGAGAAAGTTTTTGAGGATGGTGTGTGTAATCGGTCACTATTTACTGTGTGAGTTCCACTGGAGACAAGCACACTTTCTCCAATCCCAGAGTCTACACCTGACTGGGAATTTTTCATTCTGGATTCTGATTGAGGGAAAATACTGATATCCAATGGGCTATAAGGAGGACCTTTCAGTTTCTGTAACAGCATCTAAAAGAAACAGAACTTTCCTTCAACACTTTTCAGGCAAAATATTAAAACAGTAACAACAATAAAGCTCCTAAGAGTCTATAGCAAACATGTTTAACAGAAATTATCTAGAATGTAAGCAGTCTTATGAAAGGCAAGTAGCTCAGGGATTTTAGCAGCACTTACCTGAGTTCTATGCATGTCCTGGAAAGGCACCTGCCCACTGGCTAATTCACATGCTGTAATCCCAACACTGTAAATATCTGACTTCACATTATACCCATGTAAATCCTGTAGGACACAATTAATTTGAAGTCTTTTAGTGCAAATAAGTTAACCAAAAGTTATACACATGTGCTTTTTTGATAAAGAATGGTGAACAATAATGGAAAAGAAACCCATAAGCGACAAATCAAGACACACTTCATATATGGTATTTAATTTCCTAACATAATTTTGACAAGAAAGAGAAATAAAGTCTTGCAGAAGGCCATTCACCAATCCAAATATAAAGACACAACTGTACTTTAGCCAAACTCAGAAGACACTTGAGACACAGACAACCCAATCCAACGGCCACACCTGACCTGTCTCAGTAGTTCTGGACTCAGCCACGGCTGCACTGATGTGCTGAACTGTGGGAAATCATACACAGCCCTATGCCTCTGTCCATGCTTAACCAAACTATGCAGATGGGACAGGCCAGAGAGGGTCACTAGGCCATCACCAGAAATGAGGATATGGCTGGCTTTAATACTCCTAGAACAAAAAGAAACAATGCTAAGTAACAGGAAACTGGCCAATGAAGAAAGAATAAAAATCTGGCAGGAACAAATCCATATATTCTCTTGGAAATTAAATACCCTTTACAAAACAGCAGTATAAACTGCAAAACAGTACTGCAAAACTGCTGTTTACACAGGAAATGTTCAGGGAATAGGAATTCTTTCAGCTACTTACTACAGCACCAACACAAGTAAAGATATAATTGAAAGCTACGTGTTAAGAACTGATAGCCGGGTGCGGTGGCTCACGCCTGTAATCCCAGCACTTTGGGAGGCTGAGGCGGGCAGATCACGAGGTCAGGAGATCGAGGCCATCCTGGATAACATGGTGAAACCCCGTCTCTACTAAAAATATAAAAAATTAGCCAGGCGTGGTGGCAGGTGCCTGTAGTCCCAGCTACTTGGGAGGCTGAGGCAGGAGAATGGCATGAACCCAGGAGGTGGAGCTTGCAGTGAGCCAAGATTGCACCACTGCACTCCAGCCTGGGGGACAGAGTGAGACTCTGTCTGTCTCAAAAAAAAAAAAAAAAAAAAAAAAAACTGATAATATTTTTTCAAACAAGAAATGGAATCAAATAATTAATTTCACTTTTTTTTTTTTTTTTTTTTTTGAGACAGAATCTCACTCTGTGGCCCAGGCTGGAGTGCAGTGGAGTGATCCTGGCTTACTGCAACCTTCACCTCCTGGGTTCAAGTGATTCTCCTGCCTCAGCCTCCTGAGTAGCTGGGACTGCAGGTGTGTGCCACCACACCTGGCTAATTTTTTTTTTTTGTATTTTTAGTAGAGACAGGGTTTCACCATCTTGGCCAGGCTAGTCTCAAACTCATGACCTCAAGTGATCTGCACGCCTCGGCCTCTCAAAGTGCTGGGATTACAGGCATGAGCCACCATGCCTGGCCAATTTCACTATTTTTGAATGCTGTTACAAAACACCTAATAAGCTATCTAAAAAAAAATCAAACAATATTTGAAATATAAGGTTATAAAGCTAAATGTAATACTATCCAATAAGTCTCTCATACATCATTTATAAAAATATATCTTATACATTTCCTTTAATTGTCAGATAAATTATAAGAGCCTTGTTTTTCGATACCAAACACTGAATTTAGAAACTTAACAGAGGAGGATGGCCAATCATCTGGTGACATATAATGAAACCTCAGTTAACCAGAATATAGTGTGTTGGAAATCCTTGGTTAACTAGAATTTTGCTAAAAAAAAAAAAAAAAAGTAAGACAAAAAGCTTTAAGGGGATTGAAACAAACAATAGGAAAGCAAGCTTATTTAAAAGTAACTTAATTAAAAAGTAAGACAAAGTCACAGTATATCTTAGAATAGCACTGTTTTTAACATTCAATCACTTTTGCATATACACTTTGGTAACAAGAGAAGTGATATTTAGGATGATAATCTCAAGGTACTGCAAAATAAGAAATCAAAGAAAAGTTTAATTCCAATTTATGCATAAGATGGAAAGCAGATAATGAAGCTCTTCATTTGCTTAAACAAAAACAAAACGAAAAACACCCAGCTAACTAGGATCCCATTTCCTACAGCTCATCTCCTGAACATCCTCATTAGATTGAGACTGTGAGCTCCATGAGGGCAGGCACTCCACCCCAATCCCAATAACTGCTTGGCACAGAGGATGTGGTCTGAACATGTTTGGCGAATGGACATAAAATGTAAGCAATCCACTGCACCTAATGGTCCCTTCCTCCCTCAATTTTCACTTACAAGTTTCCTATCCCTTTTTTCTAATATTCAACTGCTCCTTCCTAAAACCTCCTTCAAAGAGTTCTTCCATTAAAATTATTTCATTTAATAAATACAAATAAGTAAATACCTGTGAATACAGCCATTTTGGTGCAGATAGTTCAACCCTCTCACGGCTCCAAAGAGAATGTTTCTTATTAAAGTTTCACTCATTCCTTCAGGAAAATAGGTCCTCAAGAGTTGACTTGCTGAACCTGAAAGAAACCCCTAAAATCCTTAGATGAACATTGAAAGTGATTTTGCTTCCAGCTGTATTTTAATGTTCTTTTCAACCATAAACACAAACATACCTGTTACTTTTTGGAGTCTAACCCAAACAACACTTTCCCACACAAACATGATTTTCTTTCAAGAATCTTTAAACAATTTTTTGTAATGACACTTTAGAGATTAGGGAAGAGAATTAATGATTTGTCAATATTATTGAATAAAAATACATTCTGTGTGTATATATATATATTTTTTTTTTTCTTAAATCCAGAAGCAATTCACAAAAGCTGTCCTAAAAATCAAAGCTCTAGAATCCATTCACTATTTATTCAACACAATTATTGAACACTACTTTGTGCTAAGTACTACGTGAGCACCTGGGGACACCACAAATAAAAAATATATAAATGATCCCGGCCCTCAAGAAGCACAAGTCCAGTGAGGGACATGGACACACACAAAGATGTTTCTAATACAGTGAAATAGTTTACAATGCAGTGAAACGGACAGGGATGGGGGGCAGAGGTGGAAAAACAACTTCTTCCTGCAGAATAACAGTAGGTCTCCATTAAAAGAGGGGAAGGAAGCTGAAGGGAAGACACAGCTTGTGCAAAGGCACGGAATTCTTGGAAAAGCAGTGGTGGTTCACTGATCATCATACCAATTCTTACTTTTTTCTGCAGACTAAAATTCAACATGTACCAGATATAGAAATATACCATGAAATCTAAAATCAGTCATTAGACTTATAAATTAAATGTGGCAAATCATAAATCTAAAATCCCAACTCATCTATATAATTATAACATCTAGGCTAAGTTAATTTATTTAAAACCAGCATTCTTACCATAGGCCATAAATGGAGAAATAACCCAAAGCCAGCTGCCAACAGTGAAAACTGTCCAATAAGTTGTAATATTGGGATGCCGGAAAAAGTGGGATAGAATCACGGCTTTCTAGGATAAACACACAAGAGACAAGACATTTAAAAACAACTGTTTTTTCCTTATGATGAAAATGGCGGTCGTGGCAGCTAATACTCAAGGGTGCTTATTAGTGAAAGCACTGTTCTTAGTGCTTTTATCTATTTAAATCTCACAACCACTCCACAAAGTATGTGATATTATGATTCCCATTTTTCAGAAGACAACACTTAAAAATAAGTTAGAAAACCTGTCCAAAAGCATGCAATTAATAAAAAGAAGTGGAAGTAGAATGTGAACTTAGTTTCCCTCTAGGGTCATACTCTTAACAACTGTTCTATGTTCTTATCATAAAAACATTTAAAAATACATAAAAATCCCTCTATTGCTACCTCACAGAGAGCCACTGTTAACATTTTGGTATAGTTTCTCCTAGTCTTTTTTTGTTTGTGTAATATACATGTGCACATATAAATATTTTAAGAATTGGGGCCGGGCACGGTGGCTCACGCCTGTAATCCCAGCACTTTGGGAGGCCGAGGCAGGCAGATCACGACATCAGGAGATCGAGACCATCCTGGCTAACACGGTGAAACCCCGTCTCTACTAAAAATACAAAAAGTTAGCTGGACGTGGTGGTGGGCGCCTGTAGTCCCAGCTACTCGGGAGGCTGGGGCAGGAGAATGGCGTGAACCCGGGAGGCGGAGCTTGCAGTGAGCCAAGATCGCGCCACTGCACTCCAGCCTGGGCGACTGAGCAAGACTCCGTCTCGAAAAAAAAAAAAAAAAAAAGAATTGGAACAATATCCAAATAAAATCCTTTCCCCCTTTATATAAAAAATGATTAGTGACGATAAAAATGGTATTATAAGATACCTGAAATGCAATTCTGTCAAAATTTGTTATTCAGAAATTAATTTTGCTTAACTGGATGAAAAGGAAACTGTTTTTGATTTCTTCCATTTCCCTATGTGACTATTTAGGATGGGACTGACTAGGAGTATTGTAAAACTCCAGACTAGCATTTTGAATATGATATTCATTTGAAGGAGCAGCAGTTACCAAAGTTTGAATATATTTGTTCTTTCATATAATGAACCTGGCTTCCAAGTATTCTTTCCAATTCTGTAACTGCATGTTAATTAGAAGAAATCTGTATTTCCCTAACAGAAGAACTATTAGTTTGGGGGAGAAAATTCTTACAGATGTAATCTCCTCAAATAAACATTATATTAAATACAATCACCCCTTAGTATCCATGGAGCATTGGTTCCAGGACTGCATCCCCTGACCGCCTCCTACACACCACCCCATAAATGTACTAAAATCTAAAAATGCTCAAGTCCCTTGTATAAAATGGCATAATATTCGCATATAAGCTATGCACATCCTCCCATATACTTTAAATCATTTCTAGGTTACTTATAATGCCTAATACAATGTAAATGCTATGTAAATAGTTATGCTGTGTTTTATTTGTACTATTTTTTATTGTATTATTTATTTTAAAATATATATTTTCTATTCACAATTGGTTGAATCTGCAGATGTGGAACCAGTGGATACAGAGGCCCAACTGTGTATCATTTTCTTCATATTGTTACCTGTAAAGCTTTCAGGCGTTCTTCATTGCAGTTTTCCAGATTTGTAATTTTTATAGTTACCAGTGTTCCTGTGGGAGTATGCCGTGCAAGATGGACAGAAGTCAAGTTGTCAAATCCTCTTCCTGTAATCAGACATAAAACTCATGTTAGTAACCAAAGAAGAAAAAAAACTGACAATTTAGACATCATCAAAATTGAAAAGTCTTACTCTTCAAAAAGTACTGTTAAGAAAATGAAAAGGCACACTACTGATTCAAAGTATTAATAATACTTATCAAGCAATCCAATTAAAAAACAGGCAGAGGATTAAACAGGCAATCCACAAAATAAGATATAGGAACAGCCAATATGCCTATGAAAAGATGCTCAAGATAGAGAAATGCAAATTAAAACAGTGACACACCATTACATATCTATTATGATGACTAAAATTGTGACTTGATAAACCAATTGCGATATACTCACACAATGGAATGCTACTCGGCAATCCCATCCCCACTCCCAGTCCCTGGCAACCACCAATCTGATTTTTGTCACATAAATGGTATCAAAAAGAACACAGTTGTCAACTTCTTTTGTGTTTAGCTTCTTTCACTTGGCATATGCTTCTGAGACTCATCCACGTTGCTGTATGTATCAGCAATTAATTTCTATTGCTGAGCAATAAACAATTGTATGGCTATACCACAATTTATTTATCCATTTATAATGCTGATGGTGGCTATTAGCTTGTTTTCAGTTTTTGGTGACTATAAAGCTGCCAAAAACATTCCTATACAGGTTTTTAAGTAGACATGTGTTTTCATTTATCTTTGGCAAATATCTGCGAGTGAGATTGCTGGGTCATGTGATAAACATATGCTTAACGTTATAAGAAGTTGCCAAATTGTTTTCAAAAGTGGCTGAATCATTTCATATTCCCACAAACAATGTATAAGAGCTGTCACTGCCTGACATACTCACCAGCATTTGATATCATCAGCTTTTTAAATGTAAAACACCTAGAGTGGCATCTGCTGGCAGCCACCTAATAAATATTAGTTACCTCCCTCTCTCCATGGTCACCAAATTTTGTCAGTTTTATTTTTGAAATGAAGTTAATCTCAAATTCGTCTCCTCCCCTCAGTGTCAGCATCACTGACTTAGTTTGAGCCCTGTCCTGTTGCCCTGGATGTATGCAGTGACTCCCTCATATGCCCTGAATTCTCAGCCAGGGCACACACCAGAATTACTGAGGGAACTACTGCAAAATGCCTCTGCCTTGGCCCTACTCCCAAGAAACCCTGGTTCAGTAGCTCTGTGATGGAATATAGGTGCTGTAATTTTAAAAAAGACACAGGTAATGAAGATGACACTTCTGGTTGTGCATTGCTGATCTACTACATCTTCCTGACTGTTGCCTGAGTTGTTTTAAATTTGGCATTTTATCAATAGCAGGTCCTGCAGCAGCTGAGAGCTTAGATCCTACAGTCAGAAAGATCTGGTTTCAAATCACTAACTGTATGACTCAGAGCCTCGGTATCCTCATCTGCGAAATGGGAGTGGCAAAGGGTTAAAGAAAAAAATACATAATGTTCAGCATAATGCCTGTTAGATGCTATTATTGTCATCATGATTCCACAATGTCTCTCTAGCGGAAGGACAATTCCAAATCTCCACCTTAAATCCTCTGAGTAATAAGGAGGGTAGGTTGTGGAGGCCATTCTAAATCCAACCACATGAAGTCCTTCACAACGTGTTCCAAACCTGCCTTTCCAGATTCATCTCCTACCACTGCCTACTCTCCCCTTGTTCCCACTTGCAGTCACAGAGGAACTATATGGTATTCTCCCCTAACCATCCTTCCTCAGTCATTTACTGAGGTAAACATGTTTTTACCTTTTTAGAATTGGCACCATTTGAAACTCCTTTCTAATTTTGGGGCATTTGCCACTTTGTGTTATTTCAAAAAGGTCAGATCCTTACTCTCCCTTAGTCTCCTTGACCCTGGCATGCGACCTATGCTTGGCCAACTGGAGTACGGAGTGAAGGACAAAGCAGCAGCAGTCGTCAGAGCTATCAGCAGGGGGCCAGCGTCTGGTGGCGGGCAGTACATTCACTAGGCTGCTCCTATTCCACAGTCCTGGTCCTTGTCATGCAGCTTCTCTTGGCTTCTTCCAAGCCTAGTTCTCTAGCCAATAATTCTGTGAGTTAGCAGCACTGTTCAAATATTCCTTTTTCACTTAAGTTAGCCAGGATTGTTTATGTTGTCTATAACAAAACCTATGACTAGAATATCTAGCAAACTCTTCCTCATTCAAGATCCAGCCCCTTTTTGCCATCTCTCTTAACTCCCAGAGGTGGTTCGTTGTATGCTCCATCTTCTCTGTTCCCATAACACTTAGGACATACCTCTACTAAAGTACCCTCCAGTGCATAAAACGAAGCTATATTGTGTCTTCATCTTCCCAGAGATGATGTCAATTCCAAGTGTTCTACCATGCTTTGTTTCCCTAGCACCTAACACAATCACCGGTGTGTAGTGTTTAATAGATGTTTCTAAATATTCAGAGCAAATGTTTCACATATGTAAAGCTATAAACAATAACCCATCCTATTCCACACTTAACTGAAAAAGCTTTCTACTACAAATGATATTTTAGATAAATTTTTAAACTGAGAAGCAATTTAAAGGATTGTGACTGAAAAGATTTAGATGACTTGATTTTACTTCATACCCAGTAGAAATTATACCCATAAAATAGATGCTTCCCACAATAAACACACAAATAATAAGTATTTAGTGTCTTCCTCATCTAAATGTACTTCAATGGAAAAGTAAACGTTCTAGACAGTAATCTTGAAAAAATCTGAGTCATTATTTTAAGATAGACATAAATTAATTGAATCCACTTGACTGACACAATTAGCATCTAGTTTTATGCTGGAGGTAACAACAGAAAAACACTTGCCCACAAAATAATCTTTTTGTCATCAATTTAATTTCTAGCACTGAAGGGTCAATTAGAAATTCAGGATTATTACCTATTTCTACTTGGAGCTCATAGTGAGAAACGTTGGTGGAACATAGTACTTCACTGGCTCTAGTGGATGGACGTGACCAGGAAAGGGTTGGCTCATCAACCTGCATTTGTTTTTAAAGATAAAAACAAAATAGATGAACTTCTTGGTCCCCCTGCCCTAATATAAAACACTGGTGTTATATTTTCAAACACAGAGGTGCTC
The DNA here is from genome assembly GCF_000001405.40 of Homo sapiens. NCBI lineage: Eukaryota > Metazoa > Chordata > Mammalia > Primates > Hominidae > Homo > Homo sapiens. The sequence goes on along the minus strand of NC_000002.12, from coordinate 201,469,851 downwards.
ATTAGGAAGGTACTGCAAGGTGGCTTAAGACACTGTTTTAAGATCTAAAATGAATTTACCAATTGCTCATTGATGTTAGGTAGAAAGCTGTTAGCCTATGGAGAGGGCAGGAAAAGCAGATTTACAGATAGCAAGGAATACTTCCCAGTGTAATTTCCAGTAAAATGTTTAGGAGTTGCGAAGAATGTTAATTCTTCAGGATAGCTGACAAATGTACCAAGCGAAGAGCTGCAGGGACCTGTGAGGGATATTCTATGCTTGTGCTCTTGCTTTAAGCTAGAGCCATATTTCACAAGGTACATGCTCTGCTACTGAAGATGTTAACAGTCAAGGAACAGTTTCCAGACTGCAGCCTATTAAAATTGCTGATGAAGTTTTTTGCAAGATGAATCAGATGGGAGGTCAGAAAGAAAAATCAAAGAAGACAGACCTCCTAAGTGAATGACCAAGTACTGATAGGAGGTCTCATGGTGTGCTTTGGAGTGAGAGTCAGGTTTGCACCTGAATACAGTGACAGTGAAATAACATGGATGTATGAAAAAGAAGCCTAAACTACTGGCTTCATATGATAACCATGAGGGTCTCCCAATGGACATAACTACTCCAAAGGACACTTAGGAGCCTCTACAGACAGATGGCAGGGGAAGGAAGAAAGGGGAAAAATAACATTACTATGTGCTAGGAATTGTGTTAACTCCTTTTCACATTCTTGGCTCTTTTTAATCAAGAGACAGAGATGGAGTTTGAAACAGTGACAGGATTAAATGTTCCCTAAACTTTAAGAGAGCAGGAAAAAAGGAATTATAAACCCATGGCTAAAGATAAATAAGGCTGACTATTGTTCAAGAGGAATGAAAGAATGTAAAAAGAAATTCTACTATACGATTGGAAATAATCCTGATGAGAAAACAAATCAAAATAAAGCAATTTAGTTTCTCTTTTTTTCTGCCTCTTTACAATCTGATGGAAGCAATTCAGTTTCTTTAAAACAGGTAGTCTTCAGATAAACTCAGATTTAATGACCACATAAAAGAGACAGAAAGAACATATAACAGCTTTAAAAATTTTTTAAGTGATATCAACCTGTAAGCCTGTCGGGAAGGCTAGAGATGTAATGAGCTAAGGCTTATAATTCACAGGCTTGGAAAAAAACGGCATAATGTTACTGGGTGATGGACTAAAATCACAACTAATCAGCCTCTATTTTGCTTCCATCTATTCCATTGGGGAATTAGTCTTATTTAAACTAGAAGGGACACATGTTGTAAATAAGTATTCAAAGCTCTAAACAGGTTGTTTTAAGTAGGTTCAAACCTCCAGGCCCAGGGCAATTACACTTAGGATACGAAGTTTGCAACTATGATAGAACTCAGATGAAAAACCAGAATAAAAGTAGCAAACAATGACCCAATTTTCAAAAAGGGAGAAAACTACAAAGGGGCAAGCTTGATGCTGTTGCCCAGCAAAGTCAGAGATCAAATTATTCAATAGGTGAATTATGGGCACTTTAAAAAGCCACATGGTAATCACAAGAAGACAACTCAGATTTACTAAGAGTAAATCATCCCAAACTAACCTCACTTCTCTTTTTCATTTGACCAGTTAGATGATAGAAAGCAAAAATTATGGCAAAGTCCTTGCCTTTGCTCTGTTAAACTTTTTAATGACTTCCTGAAACTGAAAAAGGCTGGCTTGAAAAAAGAAAAAGTATGGATCATGCATTGTTGGGCATAGCTAATTACCAAAAAAAAAAAAAAAAAAAAAAAGAAAAAAAAAAGGCAGGACTCACAATCATCCTGAACAGCTAGAAAACTGGGCCCAGATCAGTAAAATTTTACAAGGATAAATGCAAAACCTTACACTTAAGTTAAAAAAAAAAACAAAAAACCAATAGCCTAAATACAAAATTGAGGATACCAGGTTTATGACTCAGAGGTTTCAGTCAATACCATGACAGAGAAGGTTAAATAAAAGCACAATATTGAGCTACATTTACAGAAGCAAAATTGAGCAGACTGGAAGAGACAAGAGTTTCACTGTATTCTGAAATGATTAGTATCTGGAGCACCATGGATAATTGAGACACCACAATTTAAGAGGGAATTGTAAAATGGTGATTGTAAAATGGTGATGCCTAGAGAAGGCCAACCAAATTGGTGAAGGTTCCAGCAACAATGAAGGAGTTGGAAATATTTAATCTGGAAAAGAAAATATTAAGAATATATATAGTTGCCATTTGCAAGTGGCCAAAAGACTAATATAGAAGGGTAAACAATTGTTCAGCGAGAAGAGCTGAGATCAACAGATAGAAGCTCCAGGAAGTAGATTTCAGTTCCGCCTAAGAAATATGGAGTAACCGGTGCCATCCAAGTGTGGCTCAGGCATCAAGCTGCCTCTTTCCATTATCCTCTCTCCATTGATATATTTGGAGGTTGGACGACCACCATTGACAGTAGTTGAGCTACAGGGAGGTACAAGAACTGGAAGTGAAGAGGGAATGGTCAGCAATTGGAAGGCTAGGAAAAGAAAAGTTTTGATGCCCACAAATGTCTGCTTGCAGCGAAAGGAAGTACTGTGATATGAATTTCAAGTACTTTGACAGCTGTCATTACTTCTCCATTATACATTAAACTGCTTCTAATTATGATTTGGTTTCCCATGTAACTTTTCTATAAGAGTGGATTGATAATACAATGTAAGGGCACCATTTCCTCTGGCACTGGGAGACTGGGTTTGTAATGAGCTTGATTAATGTGGATCTGATACTGAAATATGGCTCCACTCTAGGTTTGCTGACTAAATCCAGTTTATGATCCTAAGAGGCTGAGGAACAGACCCTACATCATAGTTCAATAATCAAGCCAATGAATAGCACTCTGAAGTGTTTTCAGAGAGATCCTGCCAGACTTTTACTTGTGGTGAAACATACCTTTCTGTATGTTTCTATTTTTCTATGATGACTATTTTTCTATGATGGAGCTCTTTTTATTTAAATTTCTACAATGAACTCTCAGAGATATTGTAGAGAACACTCCCTACATTAGTTGAAAATTAGACCAGATGGCCTCTCATGAATCACTGTAATGCTAAAATTGCATTATTTTAAAAAGCATCTCAGCTCAAACATCACAGCCTTTCATTTGCAAAGGTTAACTATAGAAAATGAATTTTCCTACAGATAGAGGGGTTTCCGAAGTTATAGGAGACATAAATCACTTGGAAAACCAGACTGTCCTCCAAACATGATATTTTAACATAAAATTTAATTCTATCTATAAAGTCCAGGCCAATGGAGAACAAGTTGTCCAAAGAAAAGACAACAGATGGTGTTTTACAGCATGACTCAGAGAGCGCACAAGGAAGTTTTTCTAGTCATCAGGCACCAGTTTCCAGCTGGTGTCAACTTACATTATACAACTTTTCCAATTCATTTTTCCATGAGAGACTTCAGATTATGCTTCTGCTTCTCTCACTGAAGATTTTAGTCTAAGTCTACTAACAGAGAGAGATGTGACATTTCAATCCTTAAATTATAAAAAGGCTCCAACCTGAAGGTTTGAAGGATTCAGGTGGCAGCTGTGAACGTTTGCTTAGTTCTAGGCCTCTCTCTCAGTAACAGCATGGAGACAAGAATCACTTTCCTTTCTGCCTCACCCAAAGGGAATTACTTAAATTAAAACTCAGACTGGGAGGGAGGTGGATAAAGATGGCTGAATGGAACCCTCCAGCAATCTTCCCTCACCCTTCAGGAACACCAAATTGAACAACTATCCAAACAAGAAGGCACCTTTGTAAGAATAAAAAATAAGGTGAGCTATCACAGTACCTGTTTTTAACTTCCTATCACTGAAAGAGGCACTGAGCAGGGTAGGAAAGACAGTCTTGAATAGCTGATGCCTCCCCTCCCGCATCCCCCGGGGAGGGAGAGTGCAGTGATTGTGGGACTTTGCACTGGAACTCAGTGTTGCCTGTCACAGCAGAGAGCAACACAGTAAAGAATGCAGCCAGTGCCCAAGGAGGGAGCATTTAGATCAGCCTTAGCCAGAGGGGAATCACCCATCCCAGCAGCTGGAACCTGAATTCCAGCAAGCCTTGTCTGCCACCACAGGCTGAGGCCCTCTGGGGTCCTAAATAAACTTGAAAGGTAGTCTAGGCCATGAGGACTGCAATTCCAGGGCAATTCCTGGTGCTGTGCTGGGCTTGGAGCCAGTGGACTTGGGGGGCCCATGACCTAGTGAGACACTAGTCAGGGCAGCCAAGGGAGTGCTTCTGTCACTCCTATTCCAACCCCAGGCAGTGCAGCTTGTAGCTCCAGGAGATTCCTTCCTTTCCCTTGAGGAGGGGAGAGGAAAGGAAAGAATAAAGAGGACTTTGTCTTGCAACTTGGATACCAGCTCAGCCACAGTAGAATAGGGTACCAGGCAGAGTCCTGAGGCCCCCATTCCAAGCCCTAGCTCCTGGACAACATTTCTAGACACACCCTGGGCCAGAAGGGAAACTGCTCCCATGAAGGGAAGGACCTAGTTCTGGCAGGATCCATCACCTGCTGACCAAGACCTTGCGCCTTGAATAAACATCAACAGTATCCAGGCAGTACCTGCTGTGGGCCTTGGGTGAAACTCAGGGCCATGCTGGCTTCAGGTGTGAACCAGCACATTCCCAACTGTGGTGGCCACAGGTAGAGGCTCCTTCTGGTTGAGTAGAGGAGAGGGGACAGTAAAGGGGGCTTGGTCTTGCAGCTTGGGTACCAGCTCAGCCACAGTAGGCTAGAGCACCAAGCAGACTCCTGGGGTCCCTGATTCCAGGCCTTGGCTCCTGGATAGCACTTCTGGACTGGCCCTGGGCTAAAGGGTAGCCCACTGCCCTGAAGGGAGAAACCCAGGCCTGGCAATATTCACCACAAGCTGACAGAAGAGCCCTCGGGCCTCAAGTGAACACTGGCAATAGCCAGGCAGGACTCTGCAATGGGCCTGGGACAATGGTGGCCATGAGGAGAGACTCCTTCTGCCTGAGGAAAGGAGAGGGAAGAATGGGAAGGACTTTGTCCTGTGGTTTGGGTGCCAGCTCAGCTGCAGTAGAATAGAGCACAAAGTAGATTCCTAAGGTTCCTGACCCATGGCCCTGGCTCCCAGAAGGCATTTCTGGACCCACCCAGGGCCAGGTGGGGAGCTCACTGCCCTGAAGAGAAGGACACAGCCTGGCTGGATTCAACACCTGGTGACTGAAGAGCCCTTGGTATCCTTGAGTGAACATCCAGCTGGGCAGTGGTGGCTGCAGGCCTGGGGCAAGACCCAGTGCTGTGCTGAGCTTCAGGTCTGACCCAGTGCAGTCCTAGTGGTGGTGGCAACAGGGGTAATTGTGTCACCCCTCGCCCAGCTCCAGGCAGCTCAGCATGGAAAGAGAAACTGTTTGGGGGAAAAGTAAGGGAAGAAAACGAGATTCCCTGCCTAGTAATCCAGGTAATTCTCTCAGACCTTACCCAAGACCACCAAGATGGTACCTCTGTGAGTCTGCAAGAGTCACAGTTTTGCTGGGCTTGAAGTGGTCCCTAATGCAGATAGAGTTACAGTGACCAAAGACTTAGATCACAATACTCAATTCCCTGTGAATACTTGGAAAGCCTTCCCAAGAAGGATGGGTACAAATAAGTTCAGCCTTCAAAGACTATGATAAATACGTAACTCTTCAATGCCCAGACATTAATGAACATCCACAAGCATCAAGAACATCTAGGAAAACATGATTTCACCAAATGAGCAAAGTAAGGTACCAGTGACCAATCCCGAAGTGACAGAGATACGTGACCTTCCAGACAGAGAAGTTGAAATAGCTGTTTTGAGGAAGTTCAACAAATTTCAAGATAACACAGAGAAGGAATTCAGAATCCCATCAGATAAATTTAACAAAGAGATGGAAATAATTTTTTAAAAATCAAGCAAATTCTAATTCAACTGACATACTGAAGAATGCATTAGAGTCTCAATAGCAAAACTGATCAAGCAGAAGAAAGAATTAGTGAGACTGAAGACAGGCTATTTGAAAATACAGAGAAGACAAAAGAAAAAAGAATATGAAAGAATGAAGCACACCTATAAGATCTAGAAAACAGCCTCAAAAGGGCATATCTAAGATTTATCGGCATTGAAGAGGAGGTAGAGAAAGAAATCAGAATAGAAAGTTTATTCAAAGGGATAATAACACAGAACTTTCCAAGCCTAGAGAAAGATATCAATATCCAAGTATCCAAGAAGTTATCCAAGTATCCAAGATATCAATATCCAGTATCCAAGAAGGTTATGGAACACCCAGCAGATTTAACCCAAAAAAGACATTTAACAATCAAACTTCCAAAGGTCAAGGATAAAGAAAGGATACTAAAAGAAGTAAGAAAAAAGAAAGAACATATAAAGGGGCTCCAATACATCTTGCAGCAGACTTATCAGTGGAAACCTTACAGGCCAGGAGAGAGTAGCACAACATATTTAAAGTGCTGAAGGAAAACCTTTTTTTTTTTTTTTTTGAGACAGTCTCACTCTGTCACCCAGGCTGGAGTGCAATGGTGCAATCTTGGCTCACTGCAACCTCCACCTCCCAAGTTCAAGCAATTCTGCCTCAGCCTCCCAAGTAGGCGGGATTACAGGCGTGTGCCACCACGCCCAGCTAATTTTTTGTATTTTTAGTAGAGATGGGGTTTCACCATGTTAGCCAGGATGGTCTCAATCTCCTGACCTTGTGATCCACCCACCCTGGCCTCCCAAAGTGCTGGGATTACAGGTGTGAGCCACCAAACCCAGTGAAAAACTTTCATAGTTTATCCAGTGAAAATATCCTTCAAACATGGAAGAAGAACTTTCCCAGACAAACAAAAGCTGAGGGATTTCATCAATGCCAGACCTCTCCTACAAGAAATGCTAAAGGGAGTTTTTCAATCTCAAAGAAAAGGTTGTTAACGAGCAGTAAGAAATTATCTGAAGGTACAAAACTCACTGGTAATAAATACACAGATAAAAACAGACTATTATAACATTGTAATTGTGGTGTGTAAACTACTCATATCTTTAGTAGAAAGATTAAAAGATGAACAAATGATAACTGCAATACCTTTTCAAAATAGTACAAGAAGATATAAATAGAAACCATAAAAACTTAAAAAACAGGAGGAATGAAGTTAAAGTGTACAGTTTTTATTAGTTCTCTTCGCCTGTTTGTTTTTGCAATCAGTGTCAAGTTGTCACTTTAAAATAACATGTTATGTTATTTGCAAGCCTCATGGTAACCTCAAATCATAAAATCTACAACACATACACACACAACAAAATAAAAAACAAGAAACTAAAACATACTGCCAGAGAAAATAAACTTCACAAAAAAGAAGAAGACAGGAAGGAAGGAAGAGAATACAAAACAAATAACAAAAGCCAGCAGTTAAGTCCTTATCAATCATAACACTGAATGTCAATGGATTAAACTCTCCAATGAATAGACATAGAGTAGCTGAATCGATTAAAAAAAGATTCAATTATCTGTTGCCTACAAGAACCACACTTCACCTATAAAGACACTCATAGACTGAAAATAAATAGTGGAAGAAAAATATTCCATATAAATGGAAACCGAAAAAGAACAGGAATCGATATACACATATATCAGGCAAAATAAATTTCAAGGAAAAACTTATAAAAAGAGACATGGAAGGTCATTATATAATCCTAAGCAAAAAGAACAAAACTGGAGGAATCACATTACCTCACTTCAAATTATACTACAGAGCTATTATAACCAAAACAGCATGGTACTTGTATACAAACAGACACACAGACCAATGGAACAGAACAGAGAACTCAGAAATAAATCCATACTACAGTGAACTCATTTTTGACAAAGAAGCCAAGAACATACACTGGGGAAAGGATAGTCTCTTCAATAAGTGGTGCTGGGAAAACTGGATATTCGTATGCAGAAGAATGAAAGTAGACCCCTATCTCTTGCTATATTAAAAAATAAAATTGAAATGGATTAAAGACTTAAATCTAAGACCTCAAACTATGAAATCACTACAAGAAAAGATGGAGGAAGCTGTCCAGGAAATTGGTCTGGGCAAAGATTAATTGAGTTATACCCCAAAAGTAGAGGCAATCAAGCAAAAATGGACAAATGAGATCACAGCAAGTTAAAAAGCTTCTGCACAGCAAAAGAAAAAACAAAGTGAAGAGACAACCCACAGAATGGGAGAAAATATTTGCAAATTACCCATCTGATAAGGGATTAATAACCAGAATATATAAGGAGCTCAAACAATCCAATTTAAAAAATCTAACAATCTGATTTAAAAATGGGCAAAAGATCTAGAAATAAACATTTCTCAAAAGAAGACATACAGTTCTGGGCACATTGGCTCAGACTGTAAGCCCAATACTCTGGGAGGCTGAGGTGGGAGGATCACTTGAGGCTAGGAGTTCAAGATCGGCCTGGTCAACATAGTGAGACCTCTTTTAATTAGCTGGGTGTGGTAATACACACCTGTAGTCATAGCTTATCAATAACCTGAGGTGAAAGGATTGCTTGAACCCAGGAGTTAAAGGCTGCTGTGAGCTATGATTACACCACTGCAGTGCAGCTGGGTGGCAAAGCAAGATGCCATCTCTAAAAAAAATAGAAATAAAAATAATTTTTTTTAAAAGATGACATACAAATGGCAAACAGGTACATGAAAAAGTGCCCAACATCACTGATCATCAGAGAAATGCAAATCAAAACTACAAGGGAATATCATCTCACCCTAGTTAAAATGGCTTTTATCCAAAAGACAGGCAATAACAAATGCTGGTGAGGATATGGAGAAAAGAGAATCCTCATATGCTGTTGGTGATGATGCAAATTAGTACAACCACTATAGAGAACAGTATGGAGGTTCCTCAAAAAACTAAAAAAAAAAAAAAAAACTACCATATGATCCAGCGATCCCACTGATAGGTATATATCCAAAAGAAAAGAAATCAGTATATTGAAGAGATATATACACATCCATGTTTATTGCAGCACTACTGACAATAGCCAAGACTTGGAAGAAACTTAAGTGTCTATCAACAGATGAATGGATAAAGAAAATGTGGTACATATGTACAATGGAATACTATTTAGCCACAAAAAAGAATGAGATACTACCATTTGCAACAACATGGATGGAAGTGAAGGACACTATGTTAAGTGAAATATGGCAGGCCCAGAAAGACAAACTTCACATGTCACTCACCTGTGGGAGCTAAAAATTAAAACAATTGAACTCATGGAGATAGAGAATAGAGGCCAAGAAGGGGTGCAGGGCAGAGTGGAGATGGTTAATGAGTACAAAAATATAGTTAGATAGAATGAGTAAGATCTAGTATTTGATAACATGACAGAGTGACTACAGTCAACAATAACTTATTATACATTTTAAAATAACTGAAAGTATAATTGGAATGTTTATAACACAAAGAAATGATTTATGCTTAAAGTGATAGATAAACCATTTACCCATTTAGTAATTATTACATATCATATGTCTGTATCAAAATATCTCAGGTACCCCATAAATATATACATCTTCTATGTACTCCAAATTTTTTTTTAAAAAACCCCTCAGATACTACTTCCTATTTTATGAAGAGACAGGTAACCAGAAGACTAGGGTATTAATGAATAAAAAGCCAAATAACAGAAATAAAGACAGCTGAAGATAGGACTGGGGGTTAAATTATAAGCAAAATTAACTGGGATTCACTAATTTTGTAGTGAATAAGGCATTTGCAAGGTAGGTTCCATTCTGTAGTAAAAAATGCAGTATAAAGTACGGAATAAGGAGAGGAAAAGATCCCAAAGAAATATCCTTAGATATATCTAAGATACACGGGAGCAGAACCAAATAAAAAGTGTAAGTGGAAAGGCTTCACAGATACAATATTTGAACCAATTCTTTATGGATGAGGAAGAATTTCAGAGGCAGAAAAGAAAGAAGAGTATCTCAAGTAGAGAATGAAACTAAGACATATTCTACACCAGTAAGAGCCCTCATATTATGCTAATTTAGACTTTATCCCATAGGCTTTAGGAAGCCAATGGAAGTTTCAAAGCTGGAAAGCGATACAAGCAGGCCTGTATTGGTAGCATTACTGAACACTGAACAGATGTGAGTGGTGGGAGAAGACTATGTGTGTGTCTAGGAGCCTAGAGGCAAGGAGTCCACCTGCAAGAGCCCAGGTGAGAGACAATGAGACCTGAGCAGTAGCAGTGCTCATGTGAAGTAGGGGATAGACCCCAGGGCATTTCAGAGACAGATAATAAATATGGGGACAGAGGTAGAGGCCGTGTGAGGATAACTCTAAAGTTTTTAGTTAGGATGACATAGTAGATGAGTTTTCATTAGACAAAGTAGGAAATACCATGAGTTGGTGGGTTTGAAAGAAGATTAAGGTTTTATTCAAACTGAGTAGAGATGCCTTAGAAAAATCCAATTGGAGGTATTCTAGAGACACGTCTGTTGCCCAGGAAAGAGTCTGGGGTTGCAGGTAAAAATCTGAGAAGCATCAGTTCTGCTTGATGCCAGGGTCCCCTCAGGAAACCTGTGGTAACTCCAGGACAATCTGAAATCTGAGCAACTGAAGTCATAGGAACAGGTGAAACTGCTTAGGAAGAGCCACTTTAGGAAGAGCCACTTTAGGAAGAAGAGAAATGGCCAGTTATAGACTCCTGGAAAATGGCAGGAGGAAGAAATAGTAAAGGACACTGTAAAGAAAAAGAAATAGAAGAGAAGTAGGAGTGAATAGTATTACAGAAGGCAAAGTTAGAGCATTCATTGTACTCAACCATTTTTTTTAAAGATGAGATCTCACTATGTTGCCCAGGCTGGTCTCGAACTCCTAGGCTCAAGTGATTCTCCTGCCTTGGCCTCCCAGAGTGTTGGGATTACAGGTGTGAACCACTGCATCCAGCCTAACCATTTTCTTACCAAGTATTGATGGATACTGGTTTCAGACTGTTTTTCAGGTCTGAGTGATTCAACTTGTGTTCTTGAAGTGCAGAAGCAATCCTGGAAGTCAGAAATGCATTATATAAGTGAAAAATAAGTTACAGGATAAGCAGGGGTGGTATGTAGATACAAAAAGGTCTAATGACTACAGTGGGGAAAAGAGAGGAAGGGCAACTTGCAGAAACTTGGAATTGAAGCCAGGATCCACATCATGAGGAACTCAGCATGGGAGAGAAGGGAGAAGTGGCTGGGCATGCAGACAAACTTCATATATGTGAGAATTTTATTTGGTGCTATCACTGATCCTTGCCCTCTTTTCTTGATGTCATAATAATTCATTTTAACTGTTGGTGTTAATTTTTAACTCTGTCTGTCAACATCACTGAGGTTTTCTTCTGAATATTTAGCCAAAGATTATTCTGCTGAATTCATTATAATTATTTTTATTTTGATCCTCAGCTATCTTAAGTATAGAAACCATGTTTATTCACATTAAGCCACATATTGAGTGAAAAAATAATTGTTTTTAAAGGTGATAAACATCTCTAATTATAACTCAAAGCAAATTAAAAGAGACTTACTTTTATTATCGCAATTTACATTTTTCTGCATATTAACCCATGGTTCTATTATTATTTATTGCCAATAAAGAAATGTAACACCTACATGTGATTTATCACATCATCAATCAGTGGGGTGAAGCTGACATACTATTTAGGAAGAAAAAGTATGTCAAAAGAAAAGTATAAACACATTGTATGAGAGGCTTTTATAACAAGATAACTTCAATATTTGAAAAAATTTCTTTCTTTTTTTTTTTGAGACGGAGTCTCAGTCTGTCACCCAGGCTAGAGTGCAGTGGTGCAATCTTGGCTTGATGCAACCTCTGCCTCCTGGGTTCAAGCAATTCTCCTGCCTCAACTTCCTGAGTAGCTGGGATTACAGGCACCTGCCACCACGCCCCGCTAATTTTTGTATTTTTAGTAGAGATGGGATTTCACCATGTTGGCCAGGCTGGTTTCAGACTCCTGACCTCAATCAAGTGTTCCGCCCACCTCAGCCTTCCAAAGTGCTGGGATTATAGGCGTGAGCCACCACAGCCATTTCAGAATTTTTCATTTCAAGCATCTTATTTTTATATTAACATTAAAGTACAATATCAAATGAGTCTCTTAAGATATGTCTACCTATGTCTACTTAACACTTTGTAGTCAATTACTTAAATATAAATTTCCTTTTAAGATATGCCAGAATTTCTCACTAATCAAACTAGTCATTGTCCCAGTTAGCCTTCATTACTGATTATTTTAACTTGAATTCCTACAGTCTGTATACTTTATAAATCTATTACAAAAATTTGGTATATATTCCCACTGTTTTATGTAAAACTCACCCTGAAGAATAGACGCTAACAATGTCAAGATAGCTGTACAACTGATTCCTCTGCAGAGTTTCTAATGGCTTCCTAGGGTGAATAACATTTATAATAAAACAGTTTTTGAAGATACTTATTACTGTTGTTCATATTGAAAATATCCACCAGCTGGGCAGGACATTTATATATTGTTTGGTATTTATATATTTTTACAACATTTAGCTTGAATTTTTCACAACGACCATTAATACCACTGTGCAAAAGAAGAATTAACAGCAGGCCTAAAACTGCTATTCTTAGAAAATAGCTGCTTATAAGGTTGACCCTTGGCTAGTATCTGGGAACTGGGATTTTGCAGAGGTTCCCTTCATAAGAATCGCTCACTGTGTCTAAACTGTTTGTGCAAATAATACAGTTTATGCTGAACACCTGGCTTTTTTTCTGGGAGACTGGAATTTTGTTACTTGCTAGCAGAGCACGCCTACGTGACAAGTCCCCAATAAAAACCTTAAGTCCAAGTCTCTAATGAGCTTCCCTAGTAGACAACATTTCACATGTCACAACTCTGGGGGAACTGTGCATATACTATGGAACTCCACTGAGAAAAGATTCTTGAAAGCTTGTGCCTGGTTTCCTCTGAACTTCACCCCACATACCTTTTCCCTTTGAATATTTTTGAATATAATTTCTTTATCCATTATCATAATAGCCAAGTAAAAAGTAGTTAGACCTTACAAAGAAACTGAAAGAAGATATTTTTACATATGCTGCTCCTTTGAAAACAGCATTTCTTAGTTCTCAAATAGAGGGTAAAACTTGAATGGGGAGGAATCCTTAAGTAAAAGTATCAACTTTATCCCAACTGCACAAATTTCTCGTTTAAGGAAAAAAAGTAAATATTTCGATTCAAAGAATTTAAAATATTTCACCATTGCAGAAAAATGTGATTTAAAGTTACAATCATTAACGATATAAATCACCCATTATCACATTCTATTATTTTTCACAAAACCCATAATTATGGAATAATAGGCTAAGATATTCTTTTTCCAAAATTTGAAAGCCCTGGGCAACACACAGCCCTTTGAATCTCACAATTCTCGCCTATCAAATGAAGGGAATAGACTGAATGCCCTTTCACATCTTTTCCAACTTAAAAATTGATATAAAATTGTAAATCTTAAGTAATCCTTTAGAGTAAGGGTCGGCAAACTATGGTCCATGAGCCAAATCTGACCCACCACCTGTTTTTGTGAGTAAAGTTTTACTGGAACACAGATACATTCATTCATTCATTTATATATTGCCTATGGCTGCTTTCATGCTAGTATTTCAGCAGAAAAGTAGCTGTAACAAAGACCAAAGGGTCTGTAAATACTATCTGGCCTTTACAGAAAAGCTTGCTGATCCCTCCTTTACAGAATAAAACATTTCACCTCCGTGTATTTTCCAGATATATAAAGCTTCTCTTTCAAGTGGTAATGCTTTACTTTAAACATGTAAGTAACTGTGTTATGTATTTTCCATATTACTAACAATCCAGTCTTCTAACTTCATAGTTCTGCCTCTCAGCCTTGGTAATTGATAGAATAGATTGGCAGGTATGAGTCTGGCTCCAACTTTTTGCAATCTTGGACAAACTGAAAATGAGGATAATGCCACCTGCCCTGCTAAACTTACACAATTTGAAACTATGAAAGAAATATATGAAAGTATTTGTAAACTATAAATCATCATACAAATATACTCATCCTTTTTTTTTTTTGAGACAGGATCTCCCTCTATCACCCAGGCTGGAATGCAATGGCATGATCACAGTTCACTGCAGCCTTGATCCCTTGTTCAAGGGATCCTCCCACCTTAACCCTCTGAGTAGCTGAGACTACAGGCATATGACACTACGTCTGGCTAATATTTTATACAGACAGGATCTCACTATGTTGCCTAGGCTGGTGTTGAACTCCTGGGTTCAACTGATTCTCTAGCCTTGGCCCCTAAAAATGCTGGGATTACAGGTGTGAGCCACTACACGTGGTCTACTCATTACTTTTTTAAAAACCACATTTTAATATAAGTATTCCCTATTCAAATATTATTATTATGTATAAAACAGGATGAAAGTCCTCAAGCTACTTAATCTAAAGTAGATACCACGGATCTAAATATAAATAGAAAACCAGTTGGCAGCTATACCTCATATATACATTGATCCAAATGATTTTATTTCGGTTAAGTCAAAGGGGTTATTTTTAATACTGTTTGGCTTGCTTTTGGTCAGATGGAAATTTGTAAAAGGAATTTCTGAAAGATTTAAAAGATAAGGCATAGCTAACTGGTGTGGGTGGCATATCAAAGTATAACACCTATGAGAAAAAGTAGATATGGGACAAAAGATTAGAATAATGAACATATTGAAGTATACGAGAAGTTCTTTATGAAAGAAAGAAAAACTCAATGAGAATGTAATTCATTTCTCAAGTCCAGAAGTCAATCAGGTCAAAACAATATCTCAGAGCATAAGAATATCCCATCAGAATATGCCTTTTATTATGGCTTGGCATTAACATCCAACTACTCTGACAGAACAAAATCAGATCTATATTTACAAAAACTTACCAAAAGAGACATTGAATCACTTTAGTTCACACAGAAAGTGACAAAAATCCATCTATTCCAAAGAAGGCTTTTGTTTTATCTTCCTTTCAAGATGCAGATATATCCTACTATAAAAAACAAAAGCAAAATAATTTAGATTCACATAAAAGTTCCTTAAAGAACCAGTTGCCTTAAACCCATCCAATATTTAGGCAGCTATTCCCTGATACCCAATATTTAGGCAGCTACTCCTTGACACAAGGAGACATTCCTGAAAAGTATCTTTAAAGAGCATTTATTTTTTACTGAACATTATTTGTGATCTGACATCACAACCAAGAAGCAGAGTGAAAACAAAAAGAAGTCCTGAATATTTCCAAAGCCTCAATATGTTTGCATTTCTCCTTCCCTATCTTTTCTATACTGTTTTTTGTTTGTTTTTTAAAGAACGCTGAGCAAATTTGAAAGCAATGTAGAAAACCAATTTTTGGCCCACTTTTGATATAAACAGTGTCACTTACAATAAACCCCAAGAATTTTCAATGGTTCCACATATTACAACTAAACTTTGAGACTTTCCAAAGCCCTTTCTTATTGGATTAATTACGTATTAAATCATTTGGGGTCCCTGACCAGCAAATATGGGAAAGAATCAGAATAACAGACTAGGAAATTAATTCAAGGAGATACAAAAGCACCATCCACGGTTTCCAGACCTTTACTAATAGAAAGGGTGGCAATCTTGTAAGTTTGTGGGTTCAGAGCATCCCTTTACATCTAACCAACATCATCTCTTTCATCTAAATTGTGCTTCATTATTTCAACTCCCCAAATTTGATGAACCCATCTACAAATATGTGAGCAGGATGAGAAAGGGAAGATTTTGTAAACCATAAAAACCATAAAGCAATATCCAATTTTATTGCTAAAGAAAGAGGTGAATTTATTCAGGATGTTCACTATGAACCAAAGGTAGAGATTGGGAGGAAGACGGACCTGAAAGGCTGTGATCATTTAGCCACCTACCATTCATTACCGTCAATTTAAAGCACTGGAGTTTGCTGTGCTGCAAAAGGAGGAAAGCAATGCCTGCCCTGCCAACCTTCCAGGGTGAATGAAATCAAATGAGTTACATCTCAAAGTGCCCCTAATTAGCAAACACTGTATCAGCTTGAACTATGCTTTGAAAGGTACACTCAAATGTACTGATGGCAGTACAAAACTATAAGGTTTATTTGGAAAGCAGGTTGTCAAATGTTTCAATAACCATGAAAATATTCATACTTTTTGACCCAGTAAAATTCCCCGGAGTGATCTATTCTAAGGAGATATCCAAGTAAATGAAGAAACTACACATCATAGTCAATACACTGTTAATCTGTTAACAGCCAAGTAATCATTACACAAGTGTTTAATGAGTGGTTACCATGGGTCAGGCACTGTGGACACCCGCTGGTAATCAGGGCAGACAAGACCCTGGCCACTTGTAGCTGACCTTCCCACAAGCAGAAGGGTTATGGATGTCATGATTAACCAAATTTTCTGGTTATCATGATTTTGTATCCTGCTTTTTTCACTCAATGTCAGCAAGTTGTTACTGATTTTGTCTTAATAATGTGAAACTCCATTACGTTGTCTATTTTTTTCTCTTTTTCAGAAAAGCTCAGAAGAAACAGACACAATCTGGTAAGAATTGTTAGTAATAAAAGGGTTGTCCCTATGGGGTGGTTTAATCTCAGAGATTTTTGCCTTAGATACACCAGACTATTAAGAGATAATTTTACAAGACATTTTGAGGTCAAGGCAGCAGCTGCACCCAGCAAAGGGGTGGGGGTGGGGGATTTGCTGTTATTATAATTTTCTCCGGCATGCTCTTTCACGAGATATGAATATAAACCCTTTCTTAAAAAAAAGTCATATTTAAGAGACTTATATTTCGTATTCACAAGTACATCAGTGCAGTCCCTTACACTTGTATCCAAAACGCTAATTACGATAAAGCTTTATAAGTAATTTCAGTTTGTTCCATAATAGAATGGTTCATGTGAAGACTTTGATCTGAAAGATTAACACTTTCTGTAGAAACCAAAGGGCGCATCTTCTAGAACACGGGTTTTGAGTTAATTTAGGCATTCAACAGAGGCCACTGTTACAGGGAATGCAAAAATGACCCGATGTAACTCTTTGTTGAGCTTTAAAATTACTGTAATTTTCAAAGTGATCTTGGGAACCCATAAAATCTTAACAAAGATCATAGCGACGCACAGTTCAGGAGAATTTTCCAAGCTTAGTGACTCATGCGTTCAACAAATCTTTACTGAGCGCCTACTGGGTGCCAGGCACCGTGCTAAGCAGGCGCCGTGTTACACATCCGTATCAAGTTTTGGGGAAAAGGTACTTGACAAAGACCCAGCAGGGAAAAACACAGCGTTGAATTGAAAAACCGAAGACAAAACGACACTCGAGTATTTAATTTTGTAAAAGGTTCCTTCCTAGTCCTGCTATGGGGGACTTTGCAGCGAACTTGCAGAAGGCGGCAGATAGAGCTGGGGTCTGAGGGTGTCTTCGATATGGCAACTCCCCAAGCCCGAGAGCGCGGCCAAAGGTGAGGGGTGCGGGGAGAGGGCGCCCGGGCGGCCTGGGCCCCGCGCACCTGGCACGGCCGGCACGGCCAACCCGGCAGGCACCACTGGGCGGGCTGCGAACCCGCGGCCCGGGCCCCGCTGAGCCCGAGCTGCACTGGCGCAGTGGCTGCTCGCCACCTCGGGCCGCATTCTTGCCACGGCTCCCGCCAGCCGCCGGTGCTCGGGCTGGAGGTGGGCTAGCGCGTTCTGGCCTCTGGCTTCCCGGGCGTGCGCGGACCAAGGCTCACTCCCTCACACGTCCCCCACCGGCCCCGACACCTTCCCTTCCCGGGCCTGCCTCCCGTCTTTACCCTAGCGGCGACCACGGCCAGCGACTCTCTTCAGGCTGCCAGCGGTGCGGACAGGGGCGGGCGCCAGAGCCCTGCTCGCGGAGGGGCGAGGCGAGCGCTCTAGGCCCGCTCCCGGCGCGGGGCGCGGGAGGGCGGCGAGGCCGCGACCGGGGCCGTGGGCTTGGAACTCTGCACCAGTCCCAGGCTACCCGCTGGGAACGCATTCGCCCCACCCGCGCCGGGGTCGCGGCCCCGCCTCCCTCCCCGGGGCTGGGCAGCGAGAAGGCGGGGCCTTCGAGCTTGAGGCGGGGCGGGCAGGAAACTACAATTCCCAGCAGGTCTTGCGCTGGGGCCGTGGAGGCCGCTGGGAGAGTGGCTCTCCTTTGGCTTCCCCAATTGTGTGGGGGCTGCCATTGACCCGGTGTCGCCGCAGAACCGAGGTCGCCGAGTGATGATGTTGTGAAGTCGCCCGCCTGTCCCTGCCACGCCCGGGCGGTTGCTGGCAGTGGGAGCAGCGGCAGCAGCTTCGGCTGCTGCTTTCAGGCTGCCGCTGCATTAGGGGCTTCCTGAGGAAGCGCGGGCGGACGACAGAGGATGCCGAACCACTCCAGTGAGTAAGCTGTCCGCGCAGAACCCGAACTTGCCCTTGACAACTTCCCCGGAAAGCGGAGGGACCTCCTCGTCCCAAGGTCCTCCGGTACCCGGAGGTCACGCGCGGACGTCGGAGCCGGAGGCTGGGTGCTGGAGGGCTGGGTCCGGGTCCCGCGGTGAGGCGTGGGTTGTTTCCTAAGTGTGGGTGCAAAGTAATGGGCGCTAGGCGCTGGCGTCGGTATTCAGCCCAGCTGCACATCTGAGGCTTGGCAGCTTCTCATAGCGCCTTATCCTCTGCCATACAGCATCCATCTGGAGCCCTGTCTTTTAGGATGAGTGGCTTTAGGGTCGGGCATTAAACCTTAAGCTTCAGTCGCCATCTGTGATGTAAGTGGGAGGAGAGGGTATTGGAAAGAGCTCTTTCTGGGTCAAATAGAGTTGGGCTTTTCTTGCAATTGATTTTGAGCCAGATGCCACATATCTTGAAAAAGAAAAACGGCTGACTTTAGTTTGAAGCGTAAATAATAGATATTCGCACATGTCCTTTTTAGTAGCAGCCCAAAAATTGAATTTCAACTTAAAAAAAAATCTGCGTCATAATAATAGGGATGTTACTTGCTCTTGCTCATGCACCTTTTGCTTAGACCTGCTGTTTCTACGTCAGAAAAAAAAAAAAAAAAGGTAACTTCACAGGATATTCATCAAGTTGATGGAATGGACCATAGGAACAAAAGGAACACTTTCAGTTCTTGGTCTCCGTAAATCTTCCCGACCTTTAGATCTTTGCTGTTGACTTGGAAGTCTGAGGTACAGTAGTCTCCAAATAGCAGGTTAATGGTGGTGACATGACACTTAAAAACAAATTGTGAAGGACATTTGGAGGTGAGAAAGGTCAGGGATGAAGACATTTTATCATCCTAGCAGTTATTCCAACTTTCTTTTCTTTTTTTTTTTTAAGACAGAGTCTCGCTCTGTCGCCAGGCTGGAGTGCAGTGGGGTGATCTCGGCTCACTGCAACCTCCGCCTCCCGGATTCAAGCGATTCTCCTGCCTCAGCCTGCAGAGTAGCTGGGACTACAGGCGCGCACCACCACGCCCAGCTAATTTTTGTGTTTTTAGTAGAGATGGGGTTTCACCATGTTGGCCAGGATGGTCTCGATCTCTTGACCTCATGATCCACCCGCTTTGGCCTCCCAAAGTGCTGGGATTACAGACGTGAGCCGCCACACCCAGCTCCAGTTTTCTATTTTTAAAATTAAGTAATGTCCAGCAAGTCTCAGACATTTAGCAAGCACATACCATGTGAAAGACAGTGTTTTGTTATCTTACACACTTATTCATATGATGGAAGAGGTTTGTTAGAAAGAACCAACATTTGGCCGGGCGCTGTGGCTCACTCCTGTAATCCCAGCACTTTGGGAGGCCAAGGAGGACAGATCTCCTGAGGTGGAGAGTTCAAGAACAGCCTGACCAACATGGAGAAACCCGTCTCTACTGAAAGGAAATACACCAGCCTGGCCAATATGGTGAAACCCCGTCTCTACTAAAAATACAGAAATTAGCCGGGCGTGGTGGCACGCGCCTGTAGTCCCAGCTACTCGGAGGCTAAGGCAGAAGAATTGCTTGAACCCGGAGGCAGAGGTTGCAGTGAGCCAAGATTGCACCCCTGCACTCCAGCCTGGGCAACAGCGAGACTCCATCTCAAAAAAAAAAAAAAATTAGCCAGGCATGGTGGCACATGCCTGCAGTCCCAGCTACTGAGGAGGCTGAGGCAGGAGAATCGCTTGAACCCAGGAGGCGGAGGTTGCGGTGAGCCAAGATCGAGCCATTGCACTCCAGTCTGGGCAACAAGAGTGAAACTCAGTCTCAAAAAAAAAAAAAAAAAAAAAGAACCAACATTTTAGTATTTGCAATCTGCCAGGCACCCCAGGTGGGAGCTCTTCATACTTTAGCTCACTTAATCACTTTAACAAACCTATCACACTAATCTGAGGCTCAAAGACTTGCTTATGTAACAAGGGGAGATTTAAATCTAGATCTGCCTTGCTTCCAAGTCACAGATCAGGTAACTAATACGTACTTCAGAAATTATAGACTTTAAAGGTTGAGTGGTTAAAGAGGATTGTCTAGTGTTATTGTCTAAGACTGGTTCCAACACACACCTTGGACATCTGGAATAAGTCCTGAACCCCTGCTTTAGTACTTTTGAACAAACTGATTCTCTCTGCCTACAATTCCCATTTCTTACTGAACTGCTCAGTAAGACCCGAAAAGCCCATTCCAAATCCATCTCACTTATGTAAGAAATTATAAGACTGGACTTTTATCAAAAGGTTCTTTTCAGTTTACAGGTTTTGTGAGTCTGCAAATAAAAATATGACCCTGCTGGGTGTGGTGACTCACACCTGTAATCTCAGCACTTTGAGAGCCCGAGGCAGGAGGATGACTTGAGACCAGCCTGTTCAACATAGCAAAACCCCATGTCTACCAAAAATAAAAAATAGCTGGGTGTGGTTGTTTGTGCCTGTAGTGCCAGCTGAGATCAAAGGATCCCTTGAGCGATGATGGCACCACTGCACTCCAGCTTGAGTGACAGAGTGAGACGCCATCTCTAAAAAAAATTAAAATACGAGCAGAGAAGTGTTATTCTCCACTGAAACTTTCTTTGCTTTAGTGCCCCAAATATGTTAAATACCAGTATAAGGAATGAGACAGATAATGTCTTATTTCATGTTTATTGTGAGCTCTCATTATATTATCTGTACCAGTTTTGAACCTCTTTAGTTACCATCCTGTTTAGTTGGTAAGAAATAGGAGGCAAAAAGGTAATAGTCACATTTAAATGACTTAGTAATTAAAAGAACTAAATTATTCATAGTTGAGTCATTATCTGTTCAGATCTGCAGTGTTCTTATAATAATAGGAAACATTTATGTAATACTATGTGTTAGATAATGTTTTACCTATATTAACTTATCCTCACAATAGCACTGAGGTGTTTTTATAGATAGGCAACTAAAGCAAAGAGAAGATAGTAAATATACCAAAGGTCATGTAGCTACTACATGGTAGTACTGAGTGTCAGAGAAGACAAGATCAAAATCTGTAATCTAACATTTATTGAGAACCTACTGTGTACCAGCCCCACAGCTGGGTGCTTTCATTATGAGTTAGTCATTTGTCTTTACAACTACCTTATTTAAAATGGAAGTTCAGCATGTAATGACTTGCTCAGAGTCACAGATAAGTAAACTGTGGAATCAGGATTTGAACCCATGCTTGTCGTACTTCAAGGTTCCTGTTCTTTCTTTCATTTTCCTTCAGTGATCAAATCTTTATTAAACACCTTCTGTGTGCCACACACTGTGCCAATGCTAGGAATTTAGTCTTTGCTCTTAAGGAATGTAGTTTGAAGAAGGAAAGAGACAATTAACATAGTGTGTTGAGCAATGGGATCACAGCTTGCCGAGGTACTTTGGGAGCACAGAGAAAGAACACTGAAGTTACTCTGGAGTGGGAAGGCTTGGACCAGTCTTGGGAAAACAAATGGGAATTAGCCTGGGCAGAGAAAAGGGGAAGGGGTTGTTATGGGCTGAATTGTGTCCTCCCAAAATTATATTGAAGCCCTAACAGCCGTAACCTCAGAATGTGACTGTATTTGGAGACAGGGCTTTGGGGTGATTAAGTTCAGATGAAGCCGTTAGGGTGGGTTCTAATCCAGTCTGACAGTTTTCCTTATAAGAAGGAAATTTGAGCACAAAAAGAGACACAGGAGTTGCACACACAAAGGAAAGACCATGTGAGGATTCATCAAGAAGACCAAGGAGAGAGGCCTCAGGAGAAACCAACCTGCCAACACCTTGATTTTGGACTTCCAGACTCCAGTATTGTGAAAAAATAAATTTCTGTTGTTGAAGCCACCCAGTCTGTGGTAGTTTTTTATGGAACCCCTAGCAAACTAACAAATAGGTGTTCTAGGCAAAAGGAATGACATACAAAAAGGCTTTAAGCTGTGGTTAGGTGATAGAAGTTGACATACAAAAAGCCTTTAAGCTGTGGTTAGGTGATTGAGGTTTTTTGGTGAAGAGATAAATGTTGAGAGAAATGAAACTGGAGACTAGGCTGGGGCTGGATTAGGAAGATTTTACATGAGATGCCAAGGGGCTTAAACTTTATCCTAAGGAAGATGGGATGGAGGTGGTTTGTAGCAGTGGAAAAGCATTAGATTTGCATTTTAGAAAGACTAAGACTTGTAAAGGATAAATGAAAGGTAATAAGACCGGAGACAAGGTAACCAAGGTAGCTAGTGCCACAGGATGCTGAACTAACAGTTTTCCCAGAATATTGAAATGTCTAACTAAAACAGAGCCACTGTTAATATAACATTATAAAGGGCACAGCTAACCCTTAGGGTGTACATAAGAAGATAGGGAAAGAATTTGTATATAGCTGTTTGTACCCAGAGGCTGTCTTTATTTTGACATTTTGCTTTTCCTTGTATAGATCATAAAGCTTTATACAACTATCAGAATATTCAGATTTTTCCACTCTAAAAAGTGATCTTATGTATTTAATAGACACTTTTATGGTGCTGACACAGATTTAAGCCAAATTCTTTGACAACCTTTTGAAATACCTACTATTCATTTTAAACGTAAACATACTGAAGCACAGAGAGATTAAGTAGCTTGTCCAAGATCACATAGCTAACAGGCAGCAGAGTTAAGATTCAAACTCAGTCTGTCTTTAGAGTCTGTGTTCTTGGCTTTACACTGTGCTGTTGCTATATGATATTTATCTAGCTCTTTATTTGTGAAAAGAGGGCAGAGTAATACAAAAATAAGTATGTTTGCTGTAAGAGGCATGCAGTTTATCAGAGGAGATAAGGAACAGCTCTAAGGTTTTAAAAACTGTTTTAGAGAAGAGCAGAAAGTGTTCGGAGGCAATACCTCCTTCAAGTTGGGGTTTCTGGGAAGGCCTGTTGGGAAAAGTGGCATTGAGCTGGTGTGGGAAGCATGGCTAGAATTTGGATATGTAGAATGGGGAGAGGACATTAAAATTAGAAGAAATAGCATGGACAGAGTTACAGGACTGAGAATTTCCTGGTGTGTCTAGGAAGCTAGTAAATGCAGTTCTTTCTTTTGGCTGGAATATGTTGTGTGGTTGGGGAAGATGGAGAAGCTAGTTTGCAGGGAGGGGAAATGTCTGGGGAAGAGAATTCTCGGGGAGTGAGGGGCAAGAGAAGTTGTAAGGTTTCAAGCCTGAGTAATTGAGGCATATGCCAGATGTAGTTATCTTTTAGGAGAGGAAAAAGTTCATCTATCCCCAACTCATCAGTTAACAGGTCCTGTTTTCACTATCTCACAAACCCGTAAATCCTTCTTAAAATTTCCATTCACCTAGTTTATACCTTTATTAAAATAATCCATGCGTAAATGTGATAAAATTTTCTAATTATTTTTGTCTCTAATCTCTCCATTCCAAAATTTATCCTGCATCCTGCATTTACATTTATTTCTCTCAAATGTCACTTCTATTTAGAAATGTGTTCCCTGCAGGATCAAGTTCAGACTTCTTAATCTGAACTAGTCAAATTTAAATCTCCAAATACCTTCCCCATAATTCTTCCCACTCAAATTGGTCTGTATATGCTGCCAACCTGGCTCTGTCTGCTACTTGCTGTTGGATATTATCATTATTATTTTCTCCTACCAGATAGTCTCCTCACCTATCCAAATCTTTTCCTCCTTAGGGAGTCCACTTAAATCTTACATCCTGTGTGAAGCCAGACCACCTCAGCTAGAAAAGAGCTCTCTCCCGACAATTCTGTTGTAACACTCATCAAATATTTATTATCTGGTACTATCTTATTTTCTTAGATTTCTTAGCTCATTGGATATTAGATCTAATCCAGATCATTAGAGCTGTCCCTTTTGGAGCTTAGACTTCTTAAATCTTTAACCTCCCTTTGGGCAGAGGCTGTTGTATACTACTATTTATCTTTTTTTAGTACTTTTGGTTTAATTCAAGTGGCATTTGTTGAAAGCTGTTCAATGAACAGCTGTTTGACCAGTTGTTAATTGAGGTCATTGTATTGAAATTTTCTTTTTCAACTGGCTGCTTAATATTTATATATAAGTGATGTTCTAGCTTTATTCTTAGCTTTACTACTGACTCACATAACCTCTTGAAGATACCCTGTTTAACTACCCCGTATTGTGGTTTATTCATGCTAGAAAATGAGCGTACAAAGTCTGCTGGTGGTATAGCAGTGGAACGAATTCATTTTGTAAAGATCCTTGAGGTCCTTGGAGCTTATCTATATTTATTTGTCAGTGTTTGCCAAACTTTGAGTTCTTTCTTTTTAGAAAGCTTTTTGACAAGTCACAAAAAAGGAAGGAATGATTAAATAGAGTCTAATTTAAGAGTGTTATACTCTATTGTGTAACAATGGAGTTGATGAATTGTGCATGTTAATGGTGAAAGAATTCCCCCACCAGTTTAGCTAATAGTTCATTTCAACACCAATTATTTATGGAGTTGCTTGAGCTTCTGGCATATTATATTCCTCTTCTGATCAGCAAGGAGGAGAGAGAAAATGGCACCCTCTCTTTCCTTTCAAGAAAAAGTAAAGTAGCCTCCTCTGCCTACCTTTGTTCTCTAACTTGGCATCTAATTTGTTTCTTTCACACATATATTATAATTTTGTATATTATTACAAATATATTATTACAATTTATGTGAAATTATAGTGTGAAAGAAACAAATTAGATGCCGAGTTAGAGAACAAAGGTGGGCAGAGGAGGCTACTTTAGATCAAGTAGACTGGTAAGTTTTAAAATGAGACTTAAATGTGAGAAGGAGTTAGCATATAGAGAACAAGAGAGAAAGAGTATTCCAGGTACAGTGAACAACAGTTACAAAGGCCCAGAGTTAAGAGAGTGATGAAGAATTAAAAGAAGTAACAAAAGGTCTGTGTCTCTGTGACTGAGTATGAGCAAGGAGGAGAGTGGTACAAGATGAGGGAGGAGAAGCAGGCAGGGGCCAGACTAGGCCAGACCTCACAGACTGTGATGAGAGGTGTGGTTTTATTGTCGTTACTATGAGAACCTTTGGATTTTTTAAGTATTATTATTATTTTTTATTTTTATTTTATTATTTATTTTTTTGAGACAGAGTCTCACTCTGTCACCCAGGCTGGAGTGCAGTGGTACGATCTCGGCTCACTGCAACCTCTGCTTCCCGGGTTCAAGCGATTCTCCTGCCTCAGGCTCCCAAGTAGCCAGGACTACAGGCACGTGCCACCATGCCTCCTAATTTTTGTATGTTTTTGTAGAGATGGGGTTTTACCATGCTGTCCAGGCAGATCTCGAACTCCTGAACTCAAGTGATCTGCCCACCTTGGCCTCCCAAAGTGCTGGGATTACAGGCGTGAGCCACTGCGGCCGCCCTGGATTTTTTTTAAGAAGGAGTTTAGCTTTAAAAACACTATTCTTGCTGCTTATAGAGAATGGAGAAGAACCCTGTTTAAGGCCATGATTAAGCATGGAGCCTTGTTAGGAGGTTTGTTGGTTCATAGTCTAAGAGATGATGATGGCTTGAACTAGGATGGTGGAAGAGAGGATGGAGAAAAGTGAGTAGATTTGAGGTATATATTGGTAGTAGGGTGTACAGGATTTGTTAATGGATTGGATGTGACAGGATGAGGGATGGAGGAATCTAGTATTCAGTGGATCATAATCAGCCTGTGGGAAATTTGAGTGGAGTCAAGAAGTCTGTCTGAAGAGCCAGATTGGGAGTCACTAACACTAAAAAGATAATTTAATCTGTGGTAGTGGTTGGTTGGCAAAAAGGTAATGAAAAAGCAGCTACAACAAGAACAATACAAAACGTGGTCACAGTTGGAACTCTGGAAAACACTAACATTTAAAGACCAAGGGGAGGGAATGGGATGATCCAGTGAGGAGTTTGAGAATGAGCATTGTAAGATCTCTCTCTCTCCAGGAGAGCCAAGGAAGGGAAGTTGAAACAGGGAGTAGTCAACAATATAAACCAGAGATGACATCAGATAACAATTAAGAAGTCATGATTGGATTGATTAGCAGGGACTGTTGATGACCCAAGGAGGGTGGTTTAGGATGAAATCAGGTTGTAGTGGGGTTGAGGTATGAATGAGAGGTGGGAGAGACAAAATGAGAGTATTTGAAGAAGCTTGAGTAAGGACAGAGGGTAGGTAGAGGGGAACTCAAAGACTTGGGAAAGGTAGGGGTTTTTTTAATTGTAGTTTTTAATAAAATAAAAGAATTTGAGCATGTTTAATAAGCCAAAGAAGAAGGTGAAACTGATGGAGGATAGGGATAATTAATGGAGCAAGGTTTAGAGAAGGCAGGAATAGGACTGTTGAGTTATATTTAATTACTTTTTAACTGGGTATACATATACACATGGTAGAAAAATTGAAAGGTATATAATAAAAAGTAAGTTTCTCTCTCCTTTCTGTCTTCCAGCCACCCAGTTCTTTCTCTAAGAGGAATACTAATTTACACTCTGATCAACAAGTGTGCAAGTGCATAACTGAGATTATGTTTGTCCATAATTCTCAGTTTGGAGCGAAAGCTAGCTATAGATTACATGGATTTATCAGTGGGAGGAATGAGAATAAGAGAAATGGAGAACAGATAGAGGGTCAGAGATAAGTGAGAAAAGATGTGGTATGGAATTGTCTCAGAAAAGAAAGGATGTTTAAGAGGATAATGGGGGGCGTGCCTGTGGAGTGAGGCCCACAGTTGATGACTGAATTTGCCTCATCCCTATTCCACATGGTGTTGTGACCTTTTCAGAAGTTAACTGCCTCTTTATGTTTAAAATGCAAGTCAATTTAGAAAATTGATTGCTCAAAAATTCATCATTTTTGTAAAGTAAATCATGTTTGGGGTCCAAGCGTCAAATCTCTGCTCTCTGCCCTTTTCTTTTTTTTTTTTGAGATGGAGTCTTGCTGTCGCCCAGGCTGGAGTGCAGTGGTGCGAACTCGGCTCACTGCAGGCTCCGCCCCCTGGGTTCACGCCATTCTCCTGCCGCAGCCTCCCGAGTAGCTGGGACTACAGGCGCCCACCACCTTGCCCAGCTAATTTTTTGTATTTTTAGTAGAGACGGGGGTTTCACTGTGTTAGCCAGGATGGTCTCGATCTCCTGACCTCGTGATCTGCCCACCTCAGCCTCCCAAAGTGCTGGGATTACAGGTGTGAGCCACCATGCCCAGCTTGCTCTCTGCTCGTATCGCTTTCCACTATAGGCACCTACCTCTCTTTGGGGTTATTCAGGCCAGTGGTGTAAGTTGAAACAAAAGGAAGTTTGTTGGTTTAGAAAGAGCACACCATCGGCCGGGCACAGTGGCTCACACCTGTAATCCCAGCACTTTGGGAGGCCCAGGTGGGTGGATCACGAGGTCAGGAGTTCGAGACCAGCCTGGCCAACATGTGGTGAAACCCCATCTCTACTAAAAATACAAAAATTAGCTGGGCGTGGTGGAGCACACCTGTAATCCCAGCTACTCTGAAGGCTGAGGCAGGAGAATCGCTTAAACCCGGGAGACGGAGGTTGCAGTGAGCTGAGATCGCGCCTCTGCACTCCTGCCTGGTCGACAGAGCAAGACTCTGTCTCGGGGGAGAAAATTAAAAAAAAAAAAAAGAAAGAGCACACTGTCTGGAGGAAGAAAGGAGGAGGAGGAAGAGACTAGAAACCAACTAAAATGCTTCTGAGATGCTACTACTGTTCCCAAAGCATGTAATTTAACAACTAAAAAAACATTTCAACCATTCTTAACTTTCTCAGCAAGTACTAGGCCAAACCACTGAATTTGCCTTTGTTTTATTTTTAGTTACAAAATTGAAAGACTACAAATGAAGCTTTTATTAGCAATTGTGAGTTTTTAAAAGAAGATATCTGACCATTTCTCATTTGATGTGGGGCTTATTTTAAATGCATTCATGATCAGCTGCAAATGCTCTTAGTGGAAATTGTGATAAAACTAAGCAATGAGCCAAATGAATGTTGAGTTTTGGCTTTCCTATGAGACTGACAACTAGTTCTTTTTAGTTATTACAGAAAAGTGTATAGTGTGTCATTGCTATAAAAATGATAAAGCACCCTTTTAACACCAAACTCTTTTATGCAGATTTTTTCATAAAGCACATAAGTGTTTTTCTTTAGAATATTCAATCTTAGCTTAACTGTGTTTTTCAAGGCAATTCATTTAGTTGATGTTGTATTGAAAATGTATTAATATCAACTTTGTTCATTAAATTACTTCTGTAACTCAGTGTATTGATATTTTTAATGATTAAGCTTCTAGGTAGTAGGCACGTATTTTGCAAGACTACTGTGTGTCAGTTGCTGTTAGGTTTTGGACATAACAAAAATAAGGTCCCTTCCTTTGAGGAACTTGCAGTGTAGTGAGGGAAGAATGACTAGTGGGCAGCCATCTTCTGGGATCATCCAAGAAAGGGAATCAATAAACACTGATTAACCCATTTATGCCAGAGGTTGCAAATTTTTTTGTGTGAAAAATCAGACTTTGGCGATGACCTTGAGCAGTAGGATATGACTCCCACAAGCTTAGCATTCCAATAATGGAACAGTAGGCATAAATGGGTTAAAAGCAAAAATTACAGTGAGGGATGTTAAGATTTCCTAAACCTTTTTTCCATATTTATAATCCACTTTATATTTCCCCTAGCAATTAACAGTAAAATTCTCACAAAAGAATAGAGGAAGAGCTGTCTTTTCTAGGGAGACAGTTAAGAAAGGACAGAGTGTGTTCATGTTCATAGCTAGGCTAGGTAAAAGAATACCAGGTGAGAAAAGCACTTGCTGACAGTGCCAAAGGAGGAGGAGAAAGCCAGCTAAATCCCTGGTGCTGGAGGGATGAAAGAAAGAGGTATTTGGGAAGTCAGCCAAGGGCAGAAAAACAGGTCCTGGAGTTCAGTCAAACAGACACCTTATGGGTGTTCTGATAACCTGCTTATCTGGTTTCTCAGCCAACAGCGAGTTAGAAAGGGGAGAGGCAAGCTAGCAACAGTAAAGTGTAGTAGTTGATAGCCTCACAGTGAGGGAGGAAACAAAATTAGAAATGGGCTTAAAATCTTAAAAAAAAAATAGCAATTTGGGATTATTTACTATAGGGAGAAAGAGCTCTTTAACTATGGATGGGTGCAGACTTGTTGGGGTCACATATGAGCGGGTTATTTTCTTTTTCTTTTTTCTTCTTTAAGAGGCACTTTTTTTTTTTAATACTTTAAGTTTTAGGGTACATGTGCACAATGTGCAGGTTAGTTACATATGTATACATGTGCCATGCTGGTGTGCTGCACCCATTAACTCATCATTTAGCATTAGGTATATCTCCTAATGCTATCCCTCCCCCCTCCCCCCACCCCACAACAGTCCCCAGAGTGTGATGTTCCCCTTCCTGTGTCCATGTTTTCTCATTGTTCAATTCCCATCTATGAGTGAGAACATGCGGTGTTTGGTTTTTTGTCCTTGCGATAGTTTACTGAGAATGATGATTTCCAATTTCATCCATGTCCCTACAAAGGACATGAACTCATCATTTTTTATGGCTGCATAGTATTCCATGGTGTATATGTGCCACATTTTCTTAATCCAGTCTATCATTGTTGGACATTTGAGCAGGTTATTTTCTATTTTGCCATCTTGGCTACACCACCCAGAAAAAGCTCTTTAAAAGTTTATAATCCTGGAGGATATCACTGTAGTCATTATATTATAATACAGTAATTGCTCTTCTTAGTAATGATCCTGAGTCATCAAATTATTTTCTGTCTGGCCTAAGGACTTTTTTTTTCCTCCCATGGCAGTTTATTGGACTTTCCTCGTTATCATGTGTTAACTTCAGGAGGAAAACATCTTACCATCAATGTTTTTTAAAATAAGAAAACCATGGAAAACCACAAAAAAAAAAAGTATTAAAGATTCTGTGGTATTTTTGCCATCATGTTGTCAATCCCATCTCTAGGGAATGTTTGCACCTTCAGAGTAACCGATGAGCTTAGTTGGTATAGCCCTGCACGTACACCTACTTTACTGATACCCATGAGAGACCTATGTAGACTTTTGTAAATTAGGCTAAGAAAGCTTTCCATTTCCACATGTTCTAACAGTCTCATATTCCTATGCAGTTCATTTTCCTCCCTACTATAGACTACAAGGATGTAATTTGACTACAGCCTGATTCATTCATTTAACAGATATTTATTGAATGCCTGTCATTTGCCAGATACTAAGATAGAGGTAGACTTAATTTATTGGAATAGAGATTTATTTTTTATCTATGTTCCATTTACTACTTTTAGCAGTTCAAAACAAGTAACAGAATGCTTCCCAATTTATGGTAATACATCTGTATTATTTTCTTGATATTGTAGAATTACCCACTTAAAAACAGAACCAAAGTCAGATTTGGAGTTGTCTCATTAAGAATTGTGTGATGTACATACAACACACACACAGATTATTCTGCCTCACTGTAAATACACCCAACTCTGGAACCAGATAAGTCATTTCTAAAAGCAAATATAAATTGCTCAAGAACAAATGGTTGGGGGGAGCGGATTACTTGTTTTTTTTCTTCTTCTTCTATATTCAGTAACCACTATGTGTTTTTAAAAAGTGGAGTAGAGACATAGGATTGTAGTAGAATTATCTGAGGCTTTTGCAAACTACACACACACTACTATCCTCACACTCCAGTCCCTTGCTAGTAAAGCTCAGAGGATAGAGGCCTCAGCTTTGGAAAAACATAGTTGGGTTTTATTCCTGGCTCTTAGTATGGACAAGTAATTAACCTCTAAGCCTTAATTTTCTTGTCTGTAAAATGATGACAGTAATAACATTCACCTCATGGAATTGTGAGGATTAAAGGAGGTAATCATACACAGAAAGCATTTAACATGATGCCTGGCACCTAGTAAGTACTCAATCAGCTAACTATTATTAGGAAAGACTGATTTGCAACAGAATTGAGAACATATTTCTTTATCATATGCATTTCATTTGAAACACAGAAGGCCCTTGTGTCTTTATCATAAATTGTTTACCATCATTAGCTGGTCTTCAAAACCTTCGGAGTGCTAGTTTCGTTTGTTTTATTGTTCAGTAAAGGCACGAATTTCACTAAAATGTTTTGATTTTTGCTTTCAGTGTCAAAGAGCTAGTTCCTTTTGCTCAGGAAAAGTTTCACAGGGTAGTGGTGTCTCCTCTTCAATTGTGTAGGTCTGGAAACTGAAGTTTTCTCACTGTACTGAGTTGATAAGGCCCTGAGAAAATGATACACTAATCAAATACATTAAAGAATAATAAATAAGCCAGGATGTGTGATCTTGATATACAGTACAACTGCCAAGTGGACTACATATTTGGGTCCCCATAGAGTTAGTATATTTTTCCCTTATAAGAAAGTCTGCATGAAAAACCAAGTTGCTAGGTTTGTGTGTACATTTAGAGGTAGAGGACATTTGAAGCATAAGGACCGGTATGCTGAGAGTAGGGAGGGTGTGCAGAATAGCAGTATGCGTTCTAAGAGCCACATCAGCTCAGAGTAGAGAGGGTTAAGACTGGAGGACACGGTAGGAAACTATGGCCACGGACAGAGAAGGATTAAACTAGGGCCGTAGCAATAGGCTTGAAAAATAAATTGACAGAACTGGTGACTATATAGAAAGCAGGTATTTAGGAAAGGAAGGATGACTCTTAGATTTTTGGCTCTGCTGATCAGGTGAATTGGTGATATCAACTAGTTAGTGAAGCAGAAAAAGAAAAATATTTAATGGGAGAAGGAAAAATGAGTTCAGTTTAGAATGTGGTGGATTTATGGTAATGATTATAAATTGATACTGAGATTTCCAGTATAAAATCACAAAATGCCAATTTGGGTTGAAGATAGAGACTTGGAGAGTAACTATAGTGTAGTTGGAAATTGAGGCCTTTGAAGTAGATGAGATTCCAGAGGAGAGAAGGAGAGAGAGAGGGCCCATGAGAGAATCCTGAAGAACTGGGGAGAATAGCCATTAAACGCAGGTAGAGGAAGAGAGTTCTCAAATTTCCACAGCCTCCTATTTATTATAGCCTTCAAGCTCTGAATCTAATAACCTCCTGGATTGCAGATAGCCAGTAGCCATATCTCAAAAAATTTACCTGTTCTTATTTGCCCTGAAGTTCATGGGCAAACCAAAGGCGTCTATTGCATGTTAATTCTCCCTCAAAAAGTAACCTTATCTTCAAAGCCCTTGAGTTGTCTGTGACAACTGGTTTTGAAAAACAATGAGTCTTATGTCTAAACATACTGTAATTAGAAAGTCTCTCGCCTAGTAGAATTACATTACTAAAATAGGTATGTCTTTAATATGCAGATAATTCTAGAATAAATCTAGAATTATATGTGTTTATAATACTCCATCCTGACCATCACTCACCGCCATTTTAAGTTACCCTCTGTTCTGGTCATATAAGATTGCACGTCCTGGTGCCACTGATTACTTCGTTGACTTGAAGAGCTATATTGCCTATAGTTTTTCTTTTGACACTGATCATATGGGGACTTCTGCTTCTGAAGGCCTTAAGGACTATAATTTTTAAATAACTGAAGGATTTAGAGTCATCTTAAGCCACCAAAAGCAAATTTGTGTTTTATTGTTAGAGAGGACAAAGAGAAATGAGGACATAGATTTTCTACCTCTTCTTGACTTGTTGCTGTTTTTAAAATTTGTATTTTCCTTACTGCTATGTGAAAGTGCCATTTCAAGGGGTCTTCCTAGCTATTTGATTTGAGGATAAATTCTGAAGAGCAGATTATACAGAAATATTCTTAAATCTGTTAGCACAATTGTCATCTATTCAGTCTGTTTCTAATCTTCTGTGAAGTATTTCCAGGTTTTCGGCCAATGGTGTCTTTTTATTGAAACTAGCGCCTAAATTTTGCCAGTCATCATTGAAAGAAAATTCTTTCTGACTTGTTCAGGAAGGATTTATTTGTTTCTAGAAGTACAGTACATATTTTAGTACCCACAGATTCTATTGTATAAAATGCCTCTGCTTGAGATGTATTCCCCCATTTTTGGTTAAGAGAACAGGAAATCCATGAATTCTATGATGCCATTTACTCTGCATTCCTCATTTTTGAAGACCTATACTTGTTTTTTTTCCTTTTTTAATCGTTACTTTAGTCAAAAGGACATAATTTTCTGTTGAAAAATAAAAAATATGGTAACTATATTTTATTAATATCCTGGAATATAAATTATTGACAGCAACTGCCCTTGTGAAGTAATATTTTAATATGTCTAACCCAAGTGTCAGCTGAGTGTCCAGACCCTTCAAGAGTGAAATAGTTGCTGTAAACCTTCAGTTGCATGTGAAGGTTTCATATGGGGAAGCCAAAACCCTCCTTATGATTTTTGCAGATTTCTGGTGTTCTCTCTGAGCTCCTGCCATCACCATGAGACCTCTCTCTCTTCCCTCTCCCTTTTAGGAGAAAGAAAAAACAGTTATTTCCCTGTCTCTTGCAGAGCAGTTTAGCCTTCTTTTTGATGCTATGAGGCCTTACCTTCTACCTTAAGAGACTTTTCCAAGTCTTTTCCCAAACAAAAAGTATTTCTTTCCTAAAAGAAGCACTGTTGTCAGCTGTTAAGATAATAAAATGTGTACTTTGTTAGGTATGATTTGGTAATAATAACCCTTTTATTAACACTTAATTTCTCCATTAATCTAACTTTCAAATATTTAAATAATGCATACTAAACTCAGTCTCCATTCTTGAAAAGTTATAAGAAAGCCTATCTTGAAAAGGCTTTTGCAGTGTTAGATGTGAATATTATTATATAGCCTTGGGTAGCTTTTATGCCAAATGGCAGAGAGAAGATATTGCTCACTTAAGAGACTACAGAATTTCAGGTAGAGTTTATGTCAAGTTGCTCTTTCTTTTAAAGAAATAAATCAAGGCCAGGCATGGTAGCTCTTGCCTGTAAACCCAGCACTTTGGGAGGCCAAGGCAGGCAGATCACTTGAGTTCAGGAGTTCAAGATCAGCCTGGACAACATGGTATAACCCCATCTCTACAAAGACATACAAAAATTAGCTGGGCATGGTGGCAGGTGCCTGTAGTCCAGGCTACTTGGGAGGCTGAGGTGGGAGGATCGCTTGAGCCCAGGAGGCGAAGGTTGCAGTGAGTGGAGATCATGCCACTGCACTCCAACCTGGGCAACAGAGTAAGACCCTGTCTCAAATTAAAAAAAAGAAAGAAATCAAGAATGCCTTATGAATGTGAGACTGAAGTCTACCTGTTTGAGTTTTACTTTTAGTATTTTTGAGCTATCTTATTTCCTTTGACTAAACTACATATGACCGTCACTAAATTATTTTTGACTGGCAAATAATAATTTGCTTTGTTATTCAGATTTCTAAGCCAATCATGACCTTTTATAGAAACAGTGAATTTGAAAACAAATGGATGATGGGACAAAGCATAAAACTAGGGATGTATAAATATTAGCTAATGCTGTATTAAGCATTTTTATGTATCTCCTTTGATACTGTCACTCTGGGACATCAAGCAAAAGATAGAAATCCTGTCCAGAAGTATAGTTTGAAAACATGTTGATATTGCTTATTCAGTTGCTTATGCAATTTCTTTAAGAGTTTGGTGTTCTTTTATTCTATAATCCAAAAATATCATGATTTTAGGGTATAAATCTATAGGACAGAAAGTCTTTATATGGTCTTATAAATCCTTTGAAACTCTTCTGCTTGAAACTTGAAACTTATGAACTTTATGGATAGGGACAAAGTATACTCCAGAGCAAGGGATTTAGCTGTGCTGATCATCAACAGATGAATATTTTAACTCGGCCATTATTATTATTTATAGCATGTTTGTTTTATATGTGCATAGTTTTGAGGTATTCTGTATTACAAATCCCATTTTTGTCCCTGAAAGCAGTGCTAATGATAGATTACTGGGCACAAAAGTAGAAATTGTGTAAAAATTTGATAGTGAGAAACACCGATTTAGATATATCATTGGACGATAAGAATGATTATGGGCCGGGCGCAGTGGCTCACGCCTGTAATCCCAGCACTTTGGGAGGCTGAGGTGGGCGGATCACGAGGTCAAGAGATCAAGACCATCCTGGCTAACACGGTGAAACCCCGTCTCTACTAAAAATACAAAAAATTAGCCGGGCGCGGTGGCGGACGCCTGTAGTCCCAGCTACTCAGGAGGCTGAGGCAGGAGAATGGCGTGAACCCGGGAGGCGGAGGTTGCAGTGAGCCGAGATAGCGCCACTGCAGTCCGGCCTGGGCAAAAGAGCGAGACTCGGTCTCAAAAAAAAAAAAGAATGATTATGAAGGGCAGTCCCATGATGTGTGACAAAAGATGTACCCATGCAGCTGACAATCAGCCAGAGGCGAAGAAATGTGACTGACTGAAATGGTTTTGGCAGAGGATTGTTGTTAAAGTGGAATGCCTGTTCAGTCAAAGGTGAAGGTTAGGAGTTCAAGAACTTTAAGCATGGTGAATTAAAGTGCTGCTGTGGAAACTTATCAAAAACCGCGGTTGACACCATGGGTTCAAGGCCTTTTCTTATCTGCAGGTGAAGCTCTAATAGGGATTCCTTAGCTGCCAGAGGTTACCGCCCTTTTCCTGTTAGTGAAGATTGTGTCAGGGAGGGGTTGCCTGCCTCGGCAGATATTCATTATAAACAAACAGGGCAGTTTTTAAAATGCCCAAAATATTCAACTAGGAGGAAATACTGACCCCATAAACCTAAATCTCACACACGGTTTTGGACGTTTAAACGAATGGATTTAACAGCCTTTTGGAATTCAGCCTGTTTGTAAGTAGAGCGACCTCCATGTATTTCATATTCTGACACCCTACTTATCTTTAAGTCAAATGGCAGTTAAAAAGAGGGACAAAATATTTGCTGGTCACAAATCCTATTTCCTCAGGGTCAACTTTATAAATGCTAATAGAACAGCTGTGCTGAATGTAGCCAGTGTAGCTTTCCCGCGGCATCGGTGCAGCTGGATAGTGATATGTGGCCTCTGCCTTCCTGAGGTCTGCTGCTTACTGTCCAGGCTGGGTTTTGCTGGTGATGCTCCTCCCGCCTTTTTTTCAGCTCTTAGCACTGAAGCCATGATAGAGTCTTTAAGTGGTTTAATATCTGGTTTGTAAATTACTGTGGTTTTTTGGTAAACTTTATCTGTAGTGTAGCCAGATACATTAAAATTAGTGAGTCTCTGTCTTTGTCAAAAATATATTATTTTATGAGGACAAGGTAAATTATCATTTTTTAAATTAGCTTATCTTTTGTCTGGATTAGGTTGCCACTGCCTAAGAGAGCTATTGCTGAATTGGTGATTGGCACTGTTCCTGCATGCATTTCAGCAGCCCACATGTGTTTCAAATTAATCCCCAAAGTATTGCTTATAAAATAAAAATTTTGAATATATTTCCAGTGTAAATGTTTCACTAAATAATTACATTTTTTGCAATCCCAGGCTCTACGCCCAGCAGAGGTGAACTTTCCCAGAGTTGTTTTAGCCTTCTCAATAAGGCTGTTTTGGCCAGAGTATCCTGTTTTAAGGAAGTAGCAAGATATTTTTTAGGCACAGGGCCTATATTTAGGCATTCACTGTTGACCAATTAGTTCTGTGGCTGGGCTAAACTATCTAAGTCATTAGCCATGTTGTGTCCTGCCAGCAATATTTATGTCAATGACATGTTTTGGTTGTTCTTTTTAAGTCTCATCCTTCTTAAAATAAGTTACTTGATTATTTTGCTTTATTTTCTTCTTCTTAATGTGCATGGATTACAAAGGCTGGCTTCTTGTTAAATGATACATGCCTGATTGGTTGTTTTATAAAGAAAAGCAGTGAAGTTGTTCCTAAAAAGGTTGAATAAAGATCCGGCAAAGAAAGTAGATGGCCCTGAAAAAAGTGCACAGAATACGTGTGCACAGACTAGGAAAGGCACTGAAAATGTGTCATTTGTGTTTGCCAAAGTTTAGTTTCTACTGCATTTAGGACTCTGTGTAAGCTTTTGGTTTATTCATGCATCCAAGAGACAGGAAGAGAATGATTAATCACACTAAGCTAACGTCACTCATCAGAAGGCAGGAAGTAAATTCTTTCTTAGGTTGAAAGAAGATGCTATCAAGCAATTGAGAGTAGGCCGTAGATTGTGCCCAACATTGTGTAAGGTACAATAACAATAATAATAATTATAAAATAGTACTTTGGTGATAGAAATACTAATAATAACCAGTACTTGCATAGCATTTACTATATTCTAAGACATTATTCTAAGACCTTTACATGTATTAACTCATGTTATTTCCCAATAACCCTCTGAGGTAGCTGCTACTATTATCCTGTCATAATTCACTTAGTCCCCATAAAGTAGATCCTGTTATTAGGCCCACTTAACAGATGAAAAAATGAGGTCAAGTAATTTGTCCAAGATCACCCAACCAGTAAGTGGTGGGGCTGGAGTTCAAATTTAGGCACTCTAGTTCCAGAATCCACATTCTTAACCACTGAGGTAGGCTGAATACTGGCCCTCAAAGATATGCAGTTCTTGATCCCTGGATCCTGTGAATATTACCTTATATGCCAAAAGGACTTTGCAGACATGGCTACATTAAGGATCTTGAGACGGAAGATTATGCTGGATTATCCAGTTTTACCTTAAATGTAATCACAGGTGTCCTTATAGGAGTGAGGCAAAGGAGACTTGACAGCAGAAGAAGACAGTGTAACAGTAGAAGCAGAGAGAAACTTGAAGATGCTACGCAGCTGGCATAGAAGATGGTGGAAGAAACCCTGAGCCAAGTAATACAACTCTAAAAGCTAGGAAAGACAAGGGAATGATTTTTCCCTGGAGCCTCCAGAGGGAGGGGGCATAACTCTTCTAACACCTTGCTTTTGGTCCATTGACACTTTTCATTTTTCTGACCTCCAGAACTGTAAGATCATAAATTGGTGTTGTTTTAAGCCACTAAGTTTGTGGTAATTTGTTGTAGTAGCAATAGGAAATGTATAGCCACACTGCTATGGAGAAAGATGCTAAGTATAGTTAAGACTTTTTTGTTATTAGCAAACCTTCCTCAGACCCATGAAGGAATGAGCTTTAGGAATCATCACTCTTGATAATCCCAGCTCTATGGCACTTGAAACTTTATTAGCAGGAGCACAGTTTCTTAGTCCTTATGTCCTTCTATGTGAAGATTACTCAGAGGTATCTTCAGACCGCATCTACTCCATACTTAAACGTGGTAGTCATTCTGGGTACACAGTTGGCTGTTGAGCCAGAAATTTAAGAAATACTAGACAGGGAGGGGTTCCAAGATGGCCAAATAGGAACAGCACCAGTCTACAGCTTCCAGCGTGAGTGACGCAGAAGACAGGTGATTTCTGCATTTCCAACTGAAGTACCCGGTTCATCTCACTGGGGCTTGTTGGACAGTGGGTGCAGCCCGCGGAGGGTGAGCCAAAGCAGGGCAGGGCATCGCCTCACCTGGGAAGTGCAAAGGGTCAAAGAATTCCCTTTCCTAGCCAAGGGAAGCCATGACAGACGGTACCTGGAAAATCGGGACACTCCCACCCTAGTACTGCGCTTTTCCAACAGTCTTAGCAAAGGGCACACCAGGACATTATATCCCATGCCTGGCTCAGAGGGTCCCATGCCCACGGAGCCTTGGTCACGGCTAGCACAGCAGTCCAAGATCGAACTGTAAGGTGGCAGCGAGCCTGGGGGAGGGGCGTCCGCCATTGCTGAAGCTTGAGTAGGTAAACAAAGAAGCCGGGAAGCTCAAACTGAGTGGAGCCCACCACAGCTCAAGCAGGCCTGCCTGCCTCTGTAGACTCCACCTCTGGGGACAGGGCATAGCTGAACAAAAGGCAGCAGAAACTTCTGCAGACTTAAACGTCCCTGTCTGACAGCTTTGAAGAGAATAGTGGTTCTCCCAGCACGGAGTTTGAGATCTGAGAATAGACAGACTGCCTCCTCAAGCGGGTCCCTGACCCCCGAGTAGCCTAACTGGGAGACACCTCCCAGGAGGGGCTGACTGACACCTCATACAGCCGGGTACCCCTCTGAGACAAAGCTTCCAGAGGAAGGATCAGGCAGCAACATTGGCTGTTCTGCAATATTTGCTGTTCTGCAGCCCCCGCTGGTGATACCCAGGCAAACAGCGTCTGGAGTGGACCTTCAGCAAACTCCAACAGACCTGCAGCTGAGGCTCCTGACTGTTAGAAGGAAAACTAACAAACATAAAGGTCATCCACACCAAAACCCCATCATGATCAAAGACCAAAGGTAGATAAAACCGCAAAGATAGGGAGAAACCAGAGCAAAAAAGCTGAAAATTCCAAAAATCTTCTCTTCCAAAGGAATGCATCTCCTCGCCAGCAACAGAACAAAGCTGGACGGAGAATGACTTTGACAAGTTGACAGCAATAACAAACTTCTCCAAGCTAAAGGAAGATGTTTGAACCCATCGCAAAGAAGCTAAAAACCTTGAAAAAAGATTAGACAAATGGCTAACTAGAATAAACAGCATAGAGAAGACCTCAAATGACCTGAGGGAGCTGAAAACCATGGCACAAGAACTATGTGACGCATGCGCAAGCTTCAGTAGCCAATTCGATCAAGTGGAAGAAAGGGTATCACTCATTGAAGATCAAATGAATAAAATTAAGCGAGAAGAGAAGTTTAGAGAAAAAAGAGTAAAAAGAAATGAACAAAGCCTCCAGGGCATATGGGACTGTGTGAAAAGACCAAATCTACGTGTGATTGGTGTACCTGAAAGTGACGGGGAGAATGGAACCAAGTTGGAAAACACTCTTCAGGATATTATCCAGGAGAACTTCCCCAACCTAGCAAAGCAGGCCAACATTCAAATTCAGGAAATACAGAGAATGCCACAAAGTTACTCCTCGAGAAGAGCAACTGCAAGACACATAATTGTCTGATTCACCAAAGTTGAAATGAAGGAAAAAATGTTAAGGGCAGCCAGAGAGAAAGGTTGCGTTACCCACAAAGGGAAACTGGCACAAGACAGGGATGCCCTCTCTCACCACTCCTATTCAACATAGTGTTGGAAGTTCTGGCTAGGGCAATCAGGCAAGAGAAAGAAATAGAGGGTATTCAATTAGGAAAAGAAGAAGTCAAACTGTCCCTGTTGGGAGATGACATGATTATATATTTAGAAGACCCCATTGTCTCAGCCCAAAATCTCCTTAAGCTGTAAGCAACTTCAGCAAAGTCTCAGGATACAAAATCA